>NC_000003.12:46373636-46676666 GCF_000001405.40 Homo sapiens | reverse complement strand
GGCCCTGCAGCTGTACCTCAGGAAGGTGAGAGCCCTGCTGGGGTGGCCAAGGGGGTGACATTGTCACTGTCCCTGGTGGGGAAGGGCTCCCATTTTTCATAGCAGGGTGCTGACTGAAGGGGACAGGCCTGTGGATCCCTTGTCCTCAGAGGACCTCAGTGTTCTCGTGTATGAGATGGGAGAAGTGTTGGGAGGCTGGTGTGGGCATGCTGTGCTCCAGACCCCAGTGCTTAGTCTCTCTCTGTTGCCTATGCACTGGCCCAGGCTCTGAGCAACTCACTGCACCCCCTGGGAAAGCTGCTCCGGACACTGATGCTGACCTTCCAGGCTACCTACGCAGGTGTCGGGGCCAACAAGCACCTGCAGGAGCTGGCCCAGGAGGAGGTGAAGCAGCATGCCCAGGAACTCTGGGCTGCCTACAGGTGGGCTCGGTGGCAAACGGGACAGCTACTGCCCTGTGACACTAGTGTGCCCTTTCCAGGCATCAGTTCTGCCTTGCATTTGGGAGGAATGCCAAGTGTCTGATTCAACAATGAACCAGAGGCTTGGTCAGTGTGCAGCTGCTGAGCAAAAGGGTTAGAGGGTGGGGAGGTGAGAGCAAAGGCCCAGCTGCAGCCCTCAGCTAGAGTCCAAGACCCAACCAGGCGCTGGGCTGACTCTGACCGCAGGTGCACTCTCACCCCACTGTAGGCTGAGCTTGGCCCTGGACTCGGAACACACCTGCAGTCCCAGGCTGGGCTGTGACCCCATGAAACACTGCAAATAGAAGCCTTAGATGCTATAGTTCCTTCTGCTGCTGGATTCTCAGGCTAACATCCTGGAGCTCCAACCTTCTAACTTCTGTGGTTTGAGAGGATGAACCCTGCAGGCCATGTCCACAGTTCTGAGAGGCCACCTGCTTTTGCCTTTGTTGACTGGTGGTAGAACTCCAGTTCTGTGGCAAGGGGCAGCCACACCATTTCTCTCTCATTGACTCACAGGGGTCTGCTGCGAGTTGCCTTAGAGCGCAAGGGCCAGGCCCTGGAGGAGGATGAAGACACAGAGACAAGGTGACTGGCGCAGGTCTCCTTGGGGCCTGCCGTGTCCAGGGAGGCCTCATGCGTCTGCTCCTAGGACCTCCCTTGGGGAAAGAGGTGCTTCTGGGGAAGTGCTGGGCATTCACTCTATTGACCAAACATTGTGCATTGATCGTTTGTGGATTAGAATGACCCATGACCTCTGTTCTGTGAGGAACCAGGGAGGGGGCACTGCTACAATGCATTGAATGCATCTTTGTTCTAAATGTATGATCCCAATCTCATCTTTCGCATGCAGAAGGTGAGTAGCTCCCCGAGGCACCCTCCTCTCCCTGCACACAGATGGGGAAACCGAGGGCTGGTAGGGATGAGCCTGAGGTTATACAGGAGTTAGGTGGGCATGAAATTTGTTTCCCCCAGTCCCTGGAGCAAACCTTACAATTTGCCTTTAGATTCTAGACCTGAAAGTGTTCCTGATCAGAGAGGCCTTCCTGTCACTGCCTTGCAGGAGGCAAGGGAAATGGGGTTAGACATTAGGGAGGATTCCCCGCCCGGAGTCCTAGCACAGCAAACCAGGAGGTGGAACTGAATCAGCCTGGAATGGCTGCTGAGAGCTCAGCTGCAAGTTGCTGGTCCATCTGGGGCCCTGGTTTTGCTTTCAGTCAAATGGGGATCCAACTCCTGCCCCACCTGCCATCTTGGTTGTCAAAGTCAAAGGAGGGAATGAAGTTATGAATTGAATTGGGCAAATGATGACTGAGAACAGGCTTGGAAAAGGTTTTCTGGGGAGGAGGAGGCTGGAGGCCAGGACACTGTTTGTTGTGGAACTAGGAGCTCTTTGAGACGAGACTCCAAGTAGTAATCCCAGACCCCACCTTGCTCATCCCAACCTGTTCCGGTCTCCCCATCAGGGACCTCCAGGTGCATGGATTGGTGCTGCCCCTCATGCTGCCCAGCTTCTACTCAGAGCTCTTCACGCTCTACCTGCTGCTTCATGAGCGGGAGGACAGCTTCTACAGCCAGGGCATTGCCAACTTGAGCCTCTTTCCTGATACCCAACTGCTCGAGTTCCTGGATGTGCAGAAGTAAGCCTTCCCTTCCCCCGTGCCGTGTTAGCCAGGACTCAAACTCGACTCAGACTGTCTTCAGCCAAAAGGTGGGGCTGGGGTTGATAGGTTCATGTACCCACCAAGTTCTAAGCTTATGCATTCAGGTGTGGCTGGATCTAGGTGTTCAACTGAATGACAGAGGGAAGCACCTTCCATTTCTGTTGGTCTTTCTCAGCCTCCCCCTTGTGGTGACAAACACCATAAGCACCAACCGCTCAAGGTTCATACCCTCCCAGCTCCTCTCCCAGAGTCCCCACAGGAGCTGGCATTGCCTTCCAACAGCTCCCTCAGAGCCCCTGAAGTCCCTCACTGGCTCGGCTTGGGGCTTGGGTCTTGAGCCCACCCCTGAGTGCCAGCCGTGATTGACCAGGCCTGCCTGAATATCCACTGCTGAGGCTGGGGCAAGATCACCTGCTCTGAGCACTTGGGCTGAGAGTAGGGGAGAGGAGGTCCCTCAGGGGAGACTGAGGACTGCTCTGGGTGCATGTCGGGAGGTGTTTACCACACCCCAGGGCCTCCCTTCCACCCTCAGTCTCCAAAATGTCCTTTCTCTTCAGTGTCCCATCTATCCATTGATGCCACAAGTGACCCCACTGTCCACAGTAGAGGGCACGGGCACTGTCTCTGCTCCCACATCCAGGTCTCCTTTGTTACACAGGGATGGTGCTTCCCACCCACCCTGCAAATCCCTGTTTCTTCCTCTATCTTGGTGACTGTGTCCTGCATCTGACCAGCCACCAGCCTAAAGACCTGGCTGCCAGTGCTTCCCAAGCATGCCCCGCCTCCCTCACCACCTCAGTGTCGCTTCCCCACACCAGCCTCCACCTCTGCTGCATGAGGGCTGCATCCCCCTGCTCACAGCCCTGTGCTGGCTCAGCAGAGCCTCCTGGATGGAGTGCAGTCTCCTCACCCCTCCCTCTCTACTGGTCACCACGACCTGGCTCATACAAGCCCCTGGGCCGCCCTTACCTCCCTGGAGCTTCTGGAGCTCTGCCTTCTCCAGGAATCCTTCCATCCTCCCCATGACCTAGGCTGATCTCCTTCCCCTTTTCAGGACCCAGATCTGCCGGGGGAAACAGTGGCATAGGGAATTTGCCCTCTGACCTCAGACTCTGCCCCTTGTCGAGGCAGAGCCTCCTGTCTCACTTTTTCAATTTCAGGCACTTGTGGCCCCTCAAGGACCTCACGCTGACGAGCAATCAGGTGAGAGGGAGGCCAGAGCCCCAAGCCAGGGGCCCCCAGAGGTCCTGCAGGCTTTGAGGAGCCCTTTGCCTCATGATTGCTGGGCGGAGGCTGCAGAGGAGCTGGGGAGGGGCAGGGTGGGTTGGGAGGAGACACTGTCATTCTGACCTCCCAGTGTGGTGGAGGTAAGCTGTTGGCCTGTAACCACCAGGCTCAAACACAGGTTCTTACCTGGCTGTGTGACCGTGTGCAAGAGGCTCGTGCACCGTGCCTCAGCTGCCTCATCAGTAAAAGGGAGCCAACACTAGAACAACCTCAAAATTCTTATTTTATTTATTTATTTATTTACTTTTCGAGAAAAAGTCTCACTTTATCGCCCGGGTTAGAGTGCAGTGGTGCGATCTCAGCTCACTGCAACCTCCGCCTCCCGGGTTCAAGTGACTAACCTGCCTCAGCCTCCCGAGTAGCTGGGATTACAGGCGCCTGCCAAGTGCTCACTACCATGCCCAGCTAATTTTTGTATTTTTGGTAGAGACAGGATTTCACCATGTTGGCCAGGCTGGTCTCAAACTCCTGACCTCAGGTGATCTGCTTGCCTTCGCCTCCTAAAGTGGTGGGATTACAGGCGTGAGCCACTGCGCTTGGCCAGAACCACCTCAAAATTGTTGTGAGGGTGAAGTGGGCACATGAGGCAGCTGTTCTCAAAATGTGCCTGCCAGGCTGGAAGCATCAGGATCATCTGGGAACCTGTTAGGAAAGCAGATTCTTGGAACCACCTCAGACCTACCGAGTCAGAAATGCAGGGAGTGGGCCCGGGAACCTGTGTTTCACTAAGCCCTTGGGTTTGAGAACCATCGACATAGGCACTCAGAACTGGGCGGCACCCAGTGGCCAGTGCCTGTTATGATTATTATCTTCTTATCCGTTTGGATCCTCCCAACCTCATGGAGACTATTCACCCCGTTTTATGGTTGCACAAACTGAGGCCCACAGTGGAGCTGTGACTTGCCCTGGGTCACTCAGCCCTCAGGGTGGGGCTGCACTAAAGCTGGCAGTGAAGGGAAGGGTGGCGGGGGACTCAGGCCCGGCCCTGGGAAGGAGGGGATGTCAGAGCTGGGGGGCCATGGCCTCATCCAGCCCACTCCCTCCACCATGCAGAGGTACTCCCTGGTCAGGGACAAGTGTTTCCTGTCAGCCACCGAGTGCCTGCAGAAGATCATGTGAGTGTGAGCCGTAGTGGGTTGGGGGTCCGGAGGCAGAGTGTGGGGTGCTCCTGGTTGGGACTGAACCAAGGGCCTTGACCTGGAGCCAGCTACCCTGCTGCAGGACCACGGTGGACCCACGGGAGAAGCTGGAGGTGCTGGAGAGGACATACGGGGAAATTGAGGGCACGGTGTCGAGGGTATTGGGCCGGGAGTACAAGCTGCCCATGGACGACCTGCTGCCACTTCTCATCTACGTGGTGTCGCGCGCCCGGTGAGGCAGTCAGGAGCTGGGGGTGCAGGGCAGGGGCAGGGTCCCACCCCCAACCACGATATCTTCTGATACCTCTGAACCCCAGGGTTTATGGATGCAGCTTCTCTCTGTACAGATGGGGAAGCCAAGGCCCAGAAAAGGGAGGGTCCCAGCCAGGGTGCTGGGGTGCTAGAGGTAGAGTGAGGACCACACCCCAGGTGTCCAGCCATCCAGGCCAGCGCTCCTTCCCCAGCTGCCTGTCCGCGACAGGCCTCTTCTCCTTGTCTCCCTCGCTCTCTTGGTGGGGCGGTGTTCTCCAGAATTCAGCACCTGGGAGCCGAGATCCACCTGATCCGTGACATGATGGACCCCAACCACACAGGAGGCCTGTATGACTTCCTGCTCACAGCCCTGGAGGTAAGGGACAGGGGCTGTGGACCGAGGTGGAAATGCCCTGGCCCCTGGGGCAGACCCTTTTCCCTTCCCAGACATCATAACACCATAGTGGGAGGGAGCTCAAATTCACAGCTCATGTGTGACTCTGGGAAGGGTCCTCACAGTGTCCCTGATCCTGCTCTTATTAAAGGAGCCAGGGAGGGGTCCCACAGTGCATCCCAGCCCTGGGGACCCTGGGGCCATGATTGCTCCATGCTGCATTCCCAAGCACAGTGGGAGAGGAAGGGCCCCATTTTCCTCGCAGACTGTGGCTGAGGGCTGAGTTGGAGACACGCCTCCTCTGGGTTGGGAGGTGGGTGCACACAGCTATTGAGCCCTAGATCCTGTGCATGTGGTTGGGATCAGGCAGGTCAACTGGCCTCAGCCTTGCCTCTCTCCCTCCAGTCCTGTTACGAGCACATCCAGAAAGAAGACATGAGGCTGCACCGCTTACCTGGCCACTGGCACTCCAGGGAGCTCTGGTAGCCTGGCCTTTCCTGGACAGACTGAAGAGCTGAGCAGGGCACTGCCAGCCTGTCCCTCATTACCCAAGGCAAGGGGCAGGACAGGCCCTCAGAAGCAGCTCTTGGAGGAGATGAGCATTTTGTTTTGCACAGGAAGATGCTGCTGCTGCCCTGACTGGGATGAGGGTGAGGGGTGACGGGTGTGGCCCTGGATGTGGTGGTTTTCCCTTGGCCACTAGCCCATCTTCAATGACCCCTTAATCTGCAGCAGCTCACAGGCTGGGGGTGAGGAGTCCCTGGCTTCTCTTAGCCTGAGCCTTTCTCCCAAGTTCCAGAGCCTCTCCGGGCCTCAGTGCTGCCATCTGTACAATGGTGGAGTGAGTACGCTGTAAAGGACCTTCCATTCATTTTGCTGAATTCCAGAGTCCTTTTGGAAAACTGACTTTAGTCTGCTGGGCTGTATTGACCTCTGGCAGGCTCGAAGCCTCACTGGGTATGCAGTCAACAGGATGGGCCTGGAGATCCGTGAACTGCAGGCCACGTACCCATGACGTAAACGGCGGCACTGGAGCAAGCTGGGGCGGGGGGTGGGTAAACCCTCACTGCCAGCAGGCCCCAAGTGGCTTGTAAATCATTCTCCTGTGATGTCTGTGGGCCTGCGTGGGGACAACAGGGGCACATGACATCTGCCTGGGCCCTGACCAATAAACCCTCAGACCCAGGACCCAGGACCCTGCTGTAGTTGGGGAGCAGGAGTACCTTTGGGAGGGGAGGACTTTATTTAAACAGTGGTTCTAGTGTGGGACCAAGAGAGGCAGGAGCTGGGTCTTGGGGCAGCTTTATTCCTGTTGGGCCTCAGTTTCTCTTCCCCACACAGTTTATCTTCCGTCACATTGTGCCGGGTGACGTGCACGGTCTCCCTCTGCCCTAGCCGGAGATGCATGATGACAGGCAGTGTGATGTGTTCTGAAAGTGTCCAGGGCAAAGCGTAGGGAGAGGGTGGATTTGTGCAGGGTGCAGCTCTGGAGAAGAAGCTGGATCACTCTTGGTCCCATTCCCTAGGCCCTGAGCAAGTCAGGCTCCTGGCTCTGGGTGTGGCTCCCCCAAACGAAGTACTGACTTCAGCCTGTGAGGGGAGGGTTGAGGGAGGCTCTGGAAAGCCCAGCCACACCTGAGTCCCTGGCAGTAGCCTTGGGGCAGAGGGCACCCGCAGAGTCCCAGAGATGATGTGGGCAGTGGGCAGAGAGAGCCTTGGCGCCTCTGTTTGCCACCACTTCCCCAGGAAGGAGGGACAGCATTTCTCTGGCTGGTTCCACTAAATGTGCCAGCCCAAATGCAGGGCATGGGCTCTGGTTCTGCCAGGAGCCTGTGACACCCCCAGGAAGGGGGTGGAACTGAGGAAGAGCGAGGATATGCAGGCACTCATGCTTACCGGGACTGGGGCAGCTCACTAGGATTCTATCCTTTCCAATCGGCATCAGCCAGCTCTTGTCCCCTGATAAGTGAGGACAGCCTGACCCTGGCCTCAAATGCAGCCATCCCTGAGTTCATGCGATGCTGACGGGACCCCAGCACACTTCCCTGCCTCCTTTGAGATCTGCGAGCCCTTGCTGCAGTTCAGATTCAACAAGGCCCTCTGCCCACCCTCTCACTAGGCCTCACCCAACACCAGTGGAACTGGAGCCTCTGGCTGGGCACAGTGGCTCACTTTGGGAGGCTGAGGCAGGAAGGCTGCTGGAAACTGAGAGTTCAAGACCAGCCTGGGCAACATAGTGAGACCCTGTCTCTACAAATACAAAATAAAATAATTAGCTGGGTGTGTTGGTGTGTGCCTGTGGTCCCAGCTACTCGGGAGGCTGAGGTGGGAAGATCCCTGAGCCTGGAGGGTCGAGGTTGCAGTGAGCGGAGATCGCACCTCTGCACTCAATCCTGGGTGACAAAATGAAACCCTGCCTCAAAAATAAAAATAAAAATAAAAATAAAATAAATAAAAAAGAGCATCTGGACAGAGCCTAGGGGGCTGCAGTGTTTTAAAAGGGTCCTGGAAGAGTCCAAGGGCAGACAGAGCTATATCAGACCCTTACAACGAAACCCACAGAGCAGGCAGGCAGGCAGGAGTCCTTGCTGTAGATGAGCCTGACCACTGCAGTGAGTGCTTCATGCACAGAAGACCCACCCAGTCCACATTCCAGGGTGACCTCTCCCAGCTGCTGCAGGAGCCCCTGGCTGCCCAGAGAGCCTGCTGGTGCCCAGTCTCTGGATGGCAGGGTTGGCCAGCAGGGACCCTAGCACCTCAGTGATCTCACTGATGTTCAGAGCAGCCTGGCAGGGCCTAGCTCCAGTCCCTCCACCATTCTAGTTCCCACCTCTTTCCCGGGATGAGGATTCTCTCTTCAGTGGTGATCTTGAGGAAGTGCTAAGATTCTTCCTAATAATCCCAAATGGCACTTCACAATCACCTGGGACAGAGTGGAGAGAGGCACAGGGAGACACGGCCCATTCACGGACTCAGGCAGTTTCCTCTCCTGTAAGGGCTGAGTCCCAGGCTACAGTGGGACTCAAACACATTGGCCTTGCCCTCGGGGGCCAGGACGTGGGGCTGAGAATGACAGATACCCAAGGGGCCAAAGGCCTTTTCAGTGAGCAGATGTGTCCAGGTTGCACAGCCGGACCACCTGCTTATCCTAGACGGCAGCCCTGGCCCTGGACAACCGCCCCACCCACAACTGCACCCGGGCCTGCATGCAGTCAATCATACAACCTCTAGTCCTGCTTCCCCCAGGCCCACTACTCCCTTCACCAGTCAACTCCATCTGCCACCCTGTTCTGCCCTGCCCTCCTGCTCCTGCCCCTCTCACTCATCTCTTTTCTTGCAGAAATGCCCTCCTCCAGTCCCACTAGGTCCTAGGCAGATCCATCCTTGCAGGCCTAGGTCATATGAAGCCCCTGTTCCCCTAGGAAGAAGGCTTCTCTCTTCACAGCCCCTTTCCAGACCTGGGCCCATGTTTCATTGCTTTGGCGGGGGCTCTCTTGCCTCCAAAGTCAACAGTCCTCTGTGGTGTCTTCTTCCCATCCTTCCCCCGGGCACAGTGCAGGCCGCCTCGCCAGGGGCCTGTGCTCCACAGCAGTTGGGGACGAGGACAGAATACAGGTTGACACGGGAGGGGTTGGACTCTGAAGGGCCTGACCCCCAGAGTAGGTCAGCATCTCAGACTGGCTGGAGAAGCATCCGTGCAAACAACCCCTCTGGTGTGTCCAGGATGGACGGGCCCCAGGGAAATGGAGCCCCGGGCAAACACAGGCCAGGAGTAGACAGCAAGTTGATGCTGATGCCTCAGGAGAAGGGGAAGAAAAGATGGACACCCTCTGTGCCTTGCTCCATAGTCACACACGGCACCAGAGGCTCAGGCCTGGCCCTCCTGGGGCCGTGTGCCCACACCAGGCAGCTATGATGCCAGTGTGGCAGGACACCTCCAGGCACTGCCCTACTGCTTGGTTGGAGCTCCAGCTGCAGGAAAGCCACAGAGTGGCGTGGCCAGGCTATAGCCAGTGACCCAGAGGTAGTGGTGGATGGAGAGGGCGTTCTGAAAGGGACCAGGGCACAGCATGGCCCCATGAAGTCCTCTGAAGGGACTGCTGACTTCTTTGTCAGCGAGCCTCCCCAGGGGCCTCCTGGATGGCAGCCCTGTTCCCTGTCTGGAGTATGGTCTGGAACAGCTGCCCCACAGTGGGAGCTGGCAGGCATCTGAGGGACCCGAGTGCTGACCAAGCCTCTGTTCATTCACACCACCCCCGAGGATGCTGGAGCCAGTGCGTGAGCAGGGTGCCCACTGTGCATGCCCCTTGCCTACTGCAGCTCCAGAGAAGGCTGGAGGGATGCTGAGGCCAGAGGGGTGACCAGGGGCTGCTGGAGAGGTGCTTAGTGTCACTGTGTGAGTGAAGCAGATGCTCACTAGTAGGGCCCTAAGGAGGGCCCCAGGACCTCAGCTGTCACTCTCCCAGAGGGACGGCTGACCACTGGGGCCCAGCAGGGGACAGGGGCTGCCCTCTTATGGGCACCTGGGAAAGGATAAGGCGAGGGTCTGGGTTAAAGTCAGTGTGAGGGATACAATTAGGGATTAGGGTTGAAGTCAGGGTCAGTGTCAAGTTAGATTTAGGGACTGGAGTGAGAATGAGGGTCAAGGTCAAGCTCAGATCGGGTCAGGGCTTTTCTGGTTGGCTTTGTCAAGGGTTGTACAGACACGTACTCTGGTGTTTACTCTTGCTGCGGGCGAGAACCTGGGATGGGGTCCAGGCTGCCAGGTCTTGGTCTCTCTGGGACCTTGGCCAAGTCCTTTTCCTAACTGGGTCCTGTTTGTTGTCTGTAAGCAAAGGAGCTGCCCAGACACCCTGTTCTGCCATGAGGAGCACCCTTTGCTGTGAAGGGCAGGCAAGAGATGCCGCTTGGGCTCTGGATGCACTGAAGAGGACCCACGTGCGGGCTAAGCACTTTATGGGCTTTATCTCAACTTCCTCATGACCAAAGCCCCAGGAGTCACAACCCAGGAAACCTAGGCCCTCAGGAGCAAGCAGAAACACACACTCTGTCCCCAATAAACAGGGGGCTGAGTAGCTATGATGGACTGGACCCACACGGCCTCATACCAGAGCCCAGGTGCCAGCTGGGTGACTGCACGACTCCAGCACTACCAGGTGCAGAGCTGGAGCCCAGGTGTTTGGCCACCTGTCCCTGTTCCTTGCCTTCAAGACAGGCAAGTTTCTCCCAAAGTGATCTTCTCATATGCCCCCTGGCTGAGGCCTGGCCCCTCATGTCCAAAAGTATTTGGGAGGAGGTGGAAATGAGGGAGTGCGGTCTAGTCATCAGGGTCAGGTGGAGGATGATAGGTCCAGTGGCTCATTAAATTCAGAGCAGTAGCTATGATCTGTGAAAAGCACACAAGAGAGTGTTTGGTTTGTTTGTTCGTTTGTTTTGGCAGTAGGGTACCAGCGATAATAAGATGAGGCCAAGGGAGGCCTCATCAGTGTCTGGAAAATTAATCATGTTTCATTGCTTTGGCGGGGGCTGTCTTGCCTCCAAAGTCAACAGTCCTCAGTTGAGGCTCTCTTGAGAGAATGGGTGTCCAGGAGTTAGACTGAGGGCAGTGGTAATGGTCTGGGACAAGGTGACCACAGCATTCTGAGACGACAGGTGGGCCAGGTGTCCTGCAGGCGAGAGCCAAAAGACGCTAATGGTCTGGCCTCTCTATGCCTCCGGGAGCCTAGGGTGTTCCTTCTCCTCCAGCAGAGCTGCTCCGCTTTTCGAAATCCTCACTATTCCTAACCCACAGTGTTCTTCTGGAGGTGATTACTATGTATCACCCCAGACGTGCGGGCTGCGCCAGCGGCACTCTTAGGAGTGATCACGCCTGAGATAATGATCATGATCATTATCATCAATATCCACAACTGCCCAGCGCTCGCACGCAGAGCCAGGAGGTAAGAGTGACCGGATTAGCATCTCCCACACCAACCCCCACCTTGCAGCCCACGGGTCAGTAGCCCGGGTTCCTCCATGCAGGGATGGAGGTGGGCAGAGAAGAGTGAGGAGGATGAATTATGCAGCAGGGTCTCTCACAGCCAGTGTGGGTCTTTTCTTATTCCCCCTCCCTACCTCATAACTAAATATTTTATTTAAATGAATGGTACCTTCCTGGAGAATTGCCACAATTAGAGTCCACTTATCTTTTCAGTTTTTTTTTTTTTAGTTCATCTTTTAAGTCACCTGCTGTCTGTGGGTGGTAGGCGACATGAAATGTCCCACACAGCAGCCCTCAGATAGCTGCCTATTGCTGGTTCTCTTGGCTATGAGGGCGGCATCATTGTCCGACTGGATGTGCTCCAGGAGTTCAGATATGCAGCAGTACATTTAGGACTTGTCAAGCAGCACGGCCCACGTTCCCCGCAGATGGGAATTGCTGCATCTACGGTCGTCAGCACCCAGTGGTGCTCCTGGCAGAAGGGGAAGGGGTCCGTGGAGTCTGTTTTCCAGGACTGGCCAGGTCAGTGTACTGGAGTGCACAGGTCGCTGTGTGCACTGGAGTCACTTTGTCCCTTGACTGTGGAGCTGGTACACTTGCAGGCTTGCTTGGCCTCATGTGCTGGCCTCACTAGGCTTTGACGTGGGCCCCAGTCCTGAGCTATGGACAGATGGCCAGGCCTCGTGTGATGGTGTATCCAGGTGGCTCTGATGCTTACCTGGGCTATGCAGAATTGGTCAGCTTATTGGTTTCACTGACGTTCACTGCCAAGGGGTCCTTTTCACTGGGTTTTCAGAGGCCCTGGGCCCTGTGCAATCTGAAGCCTAATGTTTGTCCCAACCAGGGTTGGGACTTGACATCCAGTTGTTCCATTGTCAAGTGCCAGACCACATGGTCAGCCCACTGGCTGTGAACTTTGGTGGGGGCTGTTTCCAGGGCAAGAACCATAGCCTGCACCACTGCCCCTGGCCAGACTTCTTTCTTCATATGCAGCTTTCATCAGTGTTTTCTGTGGGTCCTGTAGCTTGGCTGATCTGTCTGTGAATCAGGCCCAGGCCTCCTCAGGGACTGCGCTGTGGTGAAGTTCACAAGGAGCCTGAGGTGCTGGTGCAGACCCCAGGTCTGGGGTAGCTGCCCCTGGCGGGTGATTGCCACTTTTTCAGGCTGATGGGAGATTCCATTGATGCCTGGCTTCCTCCTTTCTTGGCTGTCCCCCTGTCATTTGATGACAGACATTTGCTGGGCAGTGTCCACTGTGTTGGTGTCTTTCCTCCAGACCCACCCTATAAGGGTCTGCCTGGGAGGAACCATGCATGGGGAGCTCTACCCTCAGTGTCTACCTACACCCAGCTGCAAGTCAGTAATTACCACTCGAGGGGGTGTGCTGGGCCCTGTCTGTCAAGTCACTGCTGTACTCAGAACACCAGGGGTCACCTTTGTTGACTGCCAGCATCCTGCTGCAACTGGCTCCAGGCTGAGTAATTGTCCGCCACGCACACTCATAATTTTCAAGGCTCTTCAGGACTAATTGGCTGGGGAGGGCAGTCCGCACAGCTGCTGGATGGTTTCCTTACGCACCTCTTCCTCTACAGCTCTTTAGTGCTGTGGCCCCTGCCCTCTTCTATTCTATGCTGCTTTACTGCCATCAAGTGGCTGGGCAGGTGAAGCCTGGTGGGCTCCCAGGTGTGTGCTTGTCCCACCGGCCACTGTCCTAACTGTGGCCCTTCCCCTGTGGGAGCAGACCTTGCAGTCAGGAGTCACAGCATCGGCTGATGTGCAGAGCTGCTCTCTCCTTCCAGGCCCCCGACCCAGCCTCCTCCTCTATTTCATCCTGTCTGGTTTTGTTTTTGTTTTCATTTTTACATCTCCCTGAGCCCAAGAACTCTCTGGACATCAGGAGGGGCAGCATTTGGTTGGCTGGTTTCAATTCTTCCTCTTGCTACTCAGCCTGCAAACATTCCTCAGGAGGTAGGACAGAGGGGTACCCTGTTCCCCTCCTCTCACCCTCCCTGGGTGACAGCATGCCTGGGCGATCCTGGGGTCTTCCACATCTCTTCATTTGGTCGGCCACGTGGGCCTCTTCTGTCTTCTCTCCAGAAAGGCATTGTACCCTTACTGGCCCCACGTTTGGGACCAATTTATCAAACTGTGAAGCAATTTCCAAGCGACAGCGTGGGTGGCTACATGACTGCAGCTGCTGGTGGATTTGGCGCACTTCCATGCATCCAGCCAGGGATGAGACAATGAGCCCACGTGGATTTAGACAGTTTATTATTTACAAGAACAGCAGAAGCAAAATGGGCAGGAGGTCAGCTCCCTTGTCCCTCATCCCACAGTCTGACTCTGACCCGGAGGGATCGGATGACAGTGTGAGCAGAGGGTCACTCAGCCATTTAGGAGCTGCCTCCATATTACAGCCAAACAATTTTGTAGCCTGCAGCTGAGAAAGACCTCTCAGTGGCTTCTCCCAAGTCTTAGCTCCCCTGGCTGCAGGAGGAATTGTAGGGCATTCAGCCGAGACACAGGTTGGACCGCAGCTGAGCCTTGCTTATGTGGCCTGCGTGGATACGCGCAAGATTCCCAGGGAGTCGTGCAGAGTCACAGACCATTCTCCACTCCGTTTCCTAATGGAGATCTGACACCCTCCCTCACCCATCTTCAGAGCTTCCCTTCATCCCTGGTCAGGCCCTGATTGAGAGTGCACCCCTCAGTGCTGAGCACTCTGATCTGGGATTCCTCCCTCCTCGTCCACACCTCTGTTCCATCAGCACCTCTGTCAGCCCGAAGGCAACATGGGTCTTGGGCACATCTGCTTCTCTCCGTGCCCATGCACACCCTTCTCCAGGCCCTGGTCCCCTCCCAGCTGGACACCTCCTGCCCCAGCCTCCTCCCTGGTCTTCCTGCTGCCTCTCCCGCCCCCATCCCAGCCAGGTGCCAACACTGCAGCCAGAGGCAGCTTCGTGAAATCAACCCTGCTGACATCCCTCCATGGCTTCCCAGTGCCTAGAATCAATCCAGCCTCTTTCTCTTGACTCACAGGCCCGGTCCCTGGGGTCGCCCTGGAATCCCTCTGCCAGCCCCTCATGACTCCTACCCCCTTTCCTCTCTGTGCTCTCGTCACTCTTGCCACCTGTCTTGATGCTCCTGGAGCCCCCTGAGCCTCTCCCACCTCATGGCCCTGCACTGGTGTCCTCCTCCTGGCCCTCACTCTCCCTGGAGCAGTCTCATTCTTGTCCTTCAGGTTCCAGGCTAAACAGTGCTTCCCACGAGAGGCTTCCCTGACCCGCGGTTTGCCGCCTCTGCCCTCTCCCTGTATCCTGTCATTGAGCACGTTTTGTCCTCACTGACACCCTCTCCTGGCTAAATCCCCCACTCCTTGCTGGACTGGGTGCCTGGGGAGGGCAGGGAGAGGCCTCCTCTGTCTTGGTCACTACTTCATCCCCAGGGCCTTGAACTGTGCTCTGCACAAGATCCATTAAGTGAATGAATCACAACAATGAGGCTGCAGCTCCCCAGCACCTTCTATGCCCTCCCCCTCCCCATCTAATCTAGTTTAGTGAATGGAACAGCGGGGGATTCAAGGCAGCTGTTGCTCCTCAGTGTGGCGCTAGTTGGGGAGTTAGAGGGAAGAGTTCAGTTTGACTCCAGGACAGGGCTTGAATAATTCAGAACACTGTTTTTTTTTCTTTTGCCACAGAGTCTCACTCTGCTGCCCAGGCTGAAGTGCAATGGCATGATCTCTACTCACTGCAACCTCTGCCTCCCAGGTTCAAGTGATTCTCCTGTCTCAGCCTCCCAAGTAGCTGGGATTACAGGCATGCACCACCTGGATAATTTTTGTATTTTTAGTAAAGACAGTGTTTCACCATGTTGACCAGGCTTGTCCTGAACTCCTGACCTCAAGTGATCCACCCACCTCAGCCTCCCAAAGTGCTGGGATTACAGGCATGAGCTACCACACCTGGCCCAGAACATTATTGATGACACCCCTGAGGCTGGGGAGCCATGACCCTGCCCCTTTAAGGACCCTGCTCCGAACTGAAACAGTAACACACATCCATGAGCTAGGACAGGGAAGAGAATGACAAGGACTCTAAACCACCCAGCAGTGAAATTTCCAATGGAAATAAGACCCACTGGGCCCCTCTGTGTTGGGGGTGGAGTGGGGGAGGGCAGCACTCCTGGAGACTCAGATCGGTTTTCAGGTTGTTTGCCCCAGCACTAAGCCGAGAAGTGAGCAAGGAGGGTTTGAAGCTTCAAGTCCACACCCAAGGTCTGCTCAGTGGGAAATCCTTCATCCCTGAACCCACCAGCAATTCCAGACCCAGGGGTGAAGGGAGGTGCAGGTGAGGGTGAGTATAACATGTGGCTTTTCCTGGAGGGCAGGGAACAGGAGTGGGAAGTCAGAGCTTGGGCAACGGGGACCGAGCTGCAGGGCCATGTGACCTAGTGCCCCAGGGGATTTGGCTGTCTTCCTTGGCTCCCGGAGCTCAGAGCAGTGCTGCAGCTCATGCCAGGGCATGTGAAGACAGAGCTAACTGGAGTGCATGGGGTGCCTTTGGGTGGAGGTTGCTGATGGCTGGGACAGATGCACCCTGCCCACTGTCTCCTCTGGGGACAGTGACATCTTTCCCTGCTCTGATAGCTTGAAAGGACCTGCATGGCTGAGCTGCCCAGGGGAGCATTGAGGTGCTTCCTCTGTGTCCTGAGGAGCCAGGTGCTCTCTGCACCCCCAGCTGCTGGAGCCCAGAGGGTGGCAGCCTGGAGCTGGGGCAGCGGTGCCTGGTGCAGTGAGGACTCGGTCTGTGTGGCCTGGTTAGCACAGGACCATGAGGAAGGGGTGAGGACCATCAATAAGAGGCCATCTCCAAGGCCTGCCTTCAGAGGCAAGCTCTTCTCTCCCACACAATTGCTTTGATCCTCGTGGGAAATGTGGTGGACCCTTTTAAGGGGCGGCAGAGAGCACTGGAGGAGAGAGAAAGGGGCCAGCAGGCACATGGGAGATACCTTGACCTCAGGGAACCACTGTTTCAAACCAGAAAGGATCTTTTATACCTTGCTGTCATGCAGCCAAACCAGGCGGACATACGAGCAAGCAGGTGCACCCACGCATCTGTACATGAGCAGTGCGGACAAGTGGCTGCAGGAGGCCCCCGGCCTGTCTCAGGCACTAGCACAGGACTATTCATCACTGGTTCCTGCATTTCTTTCAGGTTTGGCCAAGGCATCCCCAGGGACAAGCACGGATGACAGCAGGTGAGCTGAAATCAACCTGTGCTTACACAGTGAGTCTTGCCAGTGCCTCTGAGGAAAGATGACCTTGGGGAAGTGAGTGGTCATTGGTTTCCTGTGTGCCCGGTCCTTCTGGAGAAAGAGTCTGCAAAACATGCCTAGTCTGTGTGGTCACAGCAGGAAGAGGGCAGAGGTGGGGGCCCTGTCTTAGCAGACAGCACCATGAAACTGGATCTTGAAGAATGAATTTGCCAGAGGGAGGAATGGCTTGCCTGGCAGGGGGGAAGGCAGAGTCAAAGGCCCAGAGGTAGAAGGGCATGACTTTCCAGAATGCAGAGAGCTGGGAAATGAGTTGCAGGGAGGTCAGGCAAACCCCAAGTGAGAAAGACTTTCAAAACCTGCAGGGGCATTTCCCCATATCCCCTAATGTTCAGCCTCTCAGTATTTTTTTTTCTGCCCTGGTGGTGGCTTTCAAACATATCCACCAATTCTTCCACACTCTCCCCATCAAGACACAGAGGCCACGAACCTCACCTTAAACCACAGCCCTTAATGATTACAGCAGGAGAGAGCCGAGTGCCTTCTGAGGCTGCTTATAGAAAGCCACATAGGTCCTGCCAGTTCTCCTGGGATCCTTGTTCTGGGAGCCTTTAACCATCATGCTGGGAGTCTGGCAGCCCTGAGCTGCTGTGTGGGGACGCCTCAGAGAGAGAGACCCAATAGGCCCAGCCTATCCAGCATCCAGTGCCTGGAGTCTTACCAGCCCAGACACTGGGCGCGTGAGTGAGGACACTCGCGTGTGACTGCAGCCTCCATGGACTGGAACCTTAGAGATGCCCCCAGGCAACAGCTGCCTAGCAGCCCAGTCAGCCCCAGATTCCTGAGCAAAATAAACCTCGGCTATTGTTTCAAGCCATTGTTTTGGGATGGCTTTTTAGTGCAGCACTAGGTAAACGGAACAGTCCTTGCCAAACCTACTATTCATCATTTAACTTTTAGAGTTTTTCTATACTTCTACTTAAAAATGGGAATCTGTTAAAATGGGAAACTTCATATCCCTGTGTACGTGGAAATCCAGCATCAATGACCGTAAACGGAAGACAATTCTATAAACACAGAGGAAAAAAATGCATGTGTTTGGTTTCTACACAGATGCTGCTGTCTCTTGGGGCCTGCACCTCGGCAGAGGCTGATTCCAGCTTGCAGTTCTCCGCCACTTGCAGGTGCGGCATTGAAATCATTCCTTGGTATTATCTGTCTTTGTGATTAATGATAGTTTAAGATGGTACACAGCCACAACAAGTAACAGAATTTAATTTCACTAGAAATTTTAAATTGCAGAGGTGAAACAACAGAATGCCCCTTGGTGAAAGAGCAATGTCAAGCAGATGAGTAGTTTTTCCACAGTAAAAGTAACTCAGCAATTAATATTTATTTTTGGTTACAGGCGGGCATGCAGAGCATTTTTTTTTTTTTGAGACAGAGTCTCAGTCACCCAAGCTGGAGTGCAGTGGCGCAATCTCAGCTCACTGCAATCTCTGCCTCCCAGGTTTAAGTGATTCTCCTGCCTCAGCCTCCCATGTAGCTGGGATTACAGGTGTGCGCCATCATGCCCAGCTAATTTTTGTATTTTTGGTAGAGACGGGATTTCACTATGTTGGCCAGCCTGGTCTCAAACCCCTGACCTCAGGTGATCTGCCCGCCTCGGCCTCCCAAAGTGCTGGGGTTACAGGCATGAGCCACCATGCCCGGGCTCAAAGCATTCTTTAAATGAAATGTTTAGTATAGTCAAATACTGATAACCTGCTGGGTGGAGATCAAGGCGCGACTGGACTAAATTCACCAGGTGCTAGTCATTGAGTGTCTGCTGTGAGGCAGATGCCTTGCTAAGGCTGGGCATTAAAAAATGCCCAGTAGGCTGGGTGCAGTGGTTCCCAGCAGTTAGGGAGGCCAAGGTGGGAGGATCACTTGAGCTCAGGAGTTTGAGACTAGCCTCGGCAACATAGTGAGACCTCATCTGTATAAACATTTTAAAAATTAGCTGGGCATGGTGGCATGTGCCTGTAGTCCCAGCTACTCAGGAGGCTGAGGCAGGAGGATTACTTGAGC
Organism: Homo sapiens; assembly: GCF_000001405.40. NCBI lineage: Eukaryota > Metazoa > Chordata > Mammalia > Primates > Hominidae > Homo > Homo sapiens. The sequence continues at coordinate 46,658,148 of NC_000003.12, read as the reverse complement.
CCAAGAGGTTGAGGCTGCAGTGAGCCTTGTTTGCACCACTGCACTCTAGCTGGGGCAACATAGTGAGATCCCATCTCCACCAAAAAAAAAAAAAAAAGAGGTCCAGCATTTAGTTCTTAACTCCATTGGTTCAACATGTAAATAATTCTTCTCTGCACTACCTCCTGTCCAGTTCTGCTACCACCCCTTAGTTCAGTTTCTCCTTCCTTCTGTCTTGCAAATGTCATGGGTGATTTCCTGTGGTTAGTGTGGATTCCCTCCACAAATCACAGGGCAACTTTCTAGCATCCCAGTTCTGAGTCAACTGCACAACAGGAAAGGCACCTTCTGGAATTGACTTCTACCCTCCTTTCCAGCCACAATCCTGGCATTTATTGAACCTTGTAATCTATAATTCTGCCATATGAGTCTTCTAAAACAGTGGCCCCCAACCTTTTTGGCACCGGAGACCAGTTTTGTGGAAGACAATTTTTCCACAGACTAGGGGCGGGGTGGGGAGGTGATTTCGGGATGATTCAAGCGCATTACGTTTATTGTGCACTTTATTTCTATTATTATTACATTGTAATATGTAAAGAAATGATTATACAACTCACCAGAATGCAGAGTCAGTAGGAGCCCTGAGCTTGTTTTCCTGCAACTAGAGATGGTCCTATCAAAGGGTGATGGGAGACAGTGACAGATCATCAAGCATTAGGTTATGGTAAGGAACCTGCAACCTAGATCCCTCGCATGCGCAGTTCACAATGGGGTTTGCACTCCTATGAGAATCTAATGCTGCTGATCAGACAGGAGGAGGTGCTCAGGTGGTAATGCCGGTGATGGGGCGTGGCTGTAAATACAGGCGAAGCTTTGCTTACTCACCCACTGCTCACCTTCTGCTCTATGGCCTGGCTCCTAACAGGCCATGGACCAGTACTGCGAAGGGGGTTGGGGACCCCTGTTCCAGAATTTACCCTAATTCTCCATGCCCATTCACTCCTCAATGCCCAGCTGATTTTAATATTGTTCTTCTGATTTTAATGTTGTTCTGTATTGGTCAAGTTTGCAGCAGGAGACAGATGGTCCTCTTGATAGATGGAACCATAGGGCCTCTTTCCAAAAGTGTGGGCTGTGTTTAGAGAAACTAACAAGGAGAGGAATCACCCTGCGGCTAGCAATAATGGTGAGACACTTAGTATTACTAGCCCTGATGGGGCAACAGAGAAGGACTTTAATGAGAAACAGGTGAGAGAAGGGTTGAAAGAGGGCCCCCTGCAGAGGCTGCTGTATGCGTTGGTGTTGGCACTGGGCGGCCCAGAATAAAACAACCACTCCATATGCTGCACCCAGCTGGGAGCCAGAGGCCCCCAGAATCTGGTTGCAGAGAGAGATGTAAAAGAGTGTAGAGCAGGTCTAAAAGGGTAAATGGGAGCTATCCAGCTTGCCTCTTCAATGGATTTGTTTTTATATTTATTTCAATAGTTTTTGGGGTATAGTTGGGCTTTGGTTACATGGATAAGTTCTTTCGTGGTGATTTCTGAGATTTAGTGCATCCATAAAGCAGTGTATACTGTACCCAGTATATGGTCTTTTATCCTTCACTCTGCTCCCAACTGTCCCCCTCCCAAGTTTCCACAGTCCATTATGACGTTCTTAGGCATTTGCGTCCTCATAATTTAGCTTTCACTTATGAGTGAGAACATATGGTATTTGGTTTTCCATTCCTAAGTTACTTCATTTAGAATAGTGGCCTCCAGCTCCATCCAAGTTGCTGCAAAAGACATTATTTTGTTCCTTTTTATGGCTGAGATGTATTCCATGATGTATATATACCATATTTTCTTGATCCACTTGTTGGTCAATGGGCATTTAGATTGGTTCCATATCTTTGCAATTGTGAATTGTGCTGCTATAAACATGCGTGTGCAAGTGTCTTTTTCATGTAATGACTTCTTTTCCTCTGGGTAGATACCCAGTCGTGGGATTGCTGGATTGAATGGTAGATCTACTTTTAGTTCTTTAAGGAATCTCCACACTGTTTTCTACAGTATGGTTGTACTAATTTACATCCCCACCAGCAATGTGAAAGTGTTCTCTTTTCACTACTTCCACACCATCAATATCTATTGTTTTGTGACTTTTTAATTATGGCCATTCTTGCAGGAGTAAGGTGGTATGTTATTGTAGTTTTAATTTGCATTTCCCTGATGATTAGTGATGTTGAGCATTTTTTTCATGTGTTTGTTGACTGTATATCTTCTTTTGAGAACTGTCTATTCTTCTTCTTTTTTTTTGAGGTGGAGTCTCGCTCTGTTGCCCAAGGCTGGAGTGCAGTGGTGCGATCTCGGCTCACTGCAAGCTCCGCCTTCTGGGTTCACGCCATTCTCCTGCCTCAGCCTCCTGAGTAGCTGGGACTACAGGTGCCCGCCACCATGCCCCGCTAATTTTTTGTATTTTTAGTAGAGACGGGGTTTCACCGTGTTAGCCAGGATGGTCTTGATCTCCTGACCTCGTGATCTGCCCACCTCAGCCTCCTAAAGTGCTGGATTACAGGCGTGAGCCACTGTGCCCGGCCGAGAACTGTCTATTCTTATCCACCGCCCACTTTTTGATGGGATTATTTGTTTTTTTCTTGCTGAGTTGTTTGAGTTCCACAGGTTCATTTCTACTTGCTGAGAAACTCTTAGCACATGCATCATCTCCTTTGGGAATTATTCTCTGACCAGCCGAGGCTGCCACATTTATCTCTTCTGGCTTTTCTCACTTCCTGGATATCCCTGTGGTAGAACTTTCTACTCCATAGCAAAAGGATACCTTTACTTGCCTTCATCATTTTTCATGAAATCTCATTGCTATTCCAATGCTATTGAGCTAGCAGAGAATTTGGAATCACATAGTCTAAGAGTTAAAGCCTCACTCTGCTACTTCAACAACATTTAACATCAGATGCAACATTTAACTTCTGTTTAGAAAAATGTTGATGATGATAATACCTAATTAATTTTTATGGATTAAAAGGCAACTCACTGGCATCTTTCATATTCTTGGCTGCATATCAGCTTTTCATTAGACTTTTAAAAGATAGATTTCTTTTTTTGGTCAGGTGTGGTGGCTCACACCTGTAATCCCAGCATTTTGGGAGGCTGAGGTGGGCAGATCACCTGAGGTCAGGAGTTCAAGACCAGCCTGGCCACTGTGATGAAATCCCGTCTCTGCTAAAAATACAAAAATTAGCTGGGCGCGGTGGCAGGTGCCTGTAATCACAGCTACTCGGGAGGCTGAGGCAGGAGAATTGCTTGAACCCGGGAAGCGGAGGTTGCAGCAAGCCGAGATGCCCCACTGCACTCCAGCCTGGGCAACAGACCAAGCAAGACTCTGTCTCAAAATACACACACACACACACACACACACATAGTTTTTAGAGTAGTTTTAGGTTCACAGCAAAAGTATACAGAAAGTGCAGAGTTCCCACACACCTTTAGCCCCTATCCATGCATAGCCTCCCCATCTATTAACAATCTGCACCAGAATGGTGCTTGTTAAAACCAATGAACCTTCATTAACATGTCATTATTGCCCAAAGTCCAAAATTTACATTAGTATTGTTCATTCTATGGGTTTTGACAAATGTATAATGACATAGATCCGTCATTAATAGAATCATACAGAATAGTTTCACTGCCCTAAAAATCCTCTGTGTGGTACTGGCATGGAGACAGAGATATAGACCAATGAAACACACTGAAAAGCCCAGAAATAAACCCCTTGCCATCTGTATTCTCCTTTGGTGAGGTGTCTTCAGGTCTTTTGCCCATGTTTAAATCAAACTGTTCTTTTACTTATTGTTTTTTAAAGAGTTCTTTGTTTTGCATTACAGTCTTATGTCAGGCATATATTTGGCAGAAATATTTTCTCCCAGTCTATGACTTCTCTTCTCCTTCTCTTGACAGTGCCTTTCACAAAGCAGAAGGTTTTTTGTTGTTGTTGTTGTTGTTGTTGTTGTTGTTGTTGTTGTTTTGAGACGGAGTCTCGCTCTCGCTCTGTTGCCCAGGCTGGAGTGCAATGGCGCAATCTCAGCTCACTGCAATCTCTGTCTCCCGGCTCCAAGCAATTCTCTTACTTCAGCCTCCTGAGTAGCTGGGATTATAGGCGCGCACCACCACACCCAGCTAATTTTTGTATTTTTAGTAGAGACGGGGTTTCATCATATTGGTCAGGCTGGTTTCAAACTCCTGACCTCATGATCCACCTGCCTTGGCCTCCCAAAGTGCTGGGATTAAAGGCGTGAGCCACCGCGCCCGGCTAGAAGTTTTTAAATCTTTTTTTTTTTTTTTTTGATACAGGATTTCATCCAGACTGGAGTGCAGTGGCACAATCACAGCTCACTGCAGCCATGACTTCAGGTGATACTCCCATCCCAGCCTCCTGAGTAGCTGGGACTACAAGTGCATACCACCACACCCGGCTAATTTTTGTATTTTTTGTAGAGACGGGGTTTTGCCATGTTGCCCAGGCTGGTCTCAGACTCCTGGGCTCAAGTGATCCTCCCACCTCAGTCTCCCAAACTGTTGGGATTATAAGCATGAACCACTGCACCAGGCTGAAGTTTTTAATTTTAATGAAGTCCAGCTTATCAATTATTTATTTCATGGATTGTATCTAAAAGGTCATTGCCATACCCAAGGTCATCTAGATTTTCTCTTATGTTGTCTTCTAGGAGTTTCACAGTTTTACATTCAGGTCTATGATCCACTTTGTTTTAATTTTTGCAAAAAGTGTAAGGCGTGTGTCTAGATTCATGTTTTGGCATGTAAATGTCCAGGTGTTTCAGCACCATTTGTTGAAGAGACTATCTTTTTTCCATTGTATTGCCTTTGCTCCTCTGTAAAAAATCAGTTGGCTATATCTATGTGGGCCTATTTCTAAGCTCTCAATTCTGTCCCATTTATCTATTTGTTTCTCCTCTTACCAATACCACACTGCCTTAATTACTGTAGCTTTATAATATGTCTTTTTTTTTTTTTTTTTTTTGAGATGGAGTCTCACTCTGTCACCTAGGCTGGAGTGCAGTGGTGTGATCTTAGCTCACTGCAACCTCCACCTTCCGGGTTCAAGCAATTCTTGTGCCTCAGCCTCCCAAGTTGCTGGGACTGCAGGCACATACCACCACGCCTGTAGTCCCAGGCGTGTATTTTTAGTAGAGACAAGGTTTCACTATGTTGGCCAGGCTCGTCTTGAACTCCTGACTTCAGGTGATCCACCAACCTCGGCTTCCCAAGGTGCTGGGATTACAGGCATGAGCCACTGTGCCAACCTATAGTAAGTCTTAAAGTTGGGTAGTAACAGTGCTCTGACTTTGTTCTCCTTCAATATTGTGTTGGCCGTTCTGGATCTTATGCCTTTAGATATGTAAACTTTAGAATTGGTTTGTCAATATCCACAAAATAACTTGTTAGGATTTTGATTGGGATTATGCTGACTCTATAGTTCAAACTGGGATGAACTGACATCTTGATAATATTGAGTCTTCCTATCCATGAACATAGACTAAGTTATCTCTCCATTTATTTACTTCTTTGATTTCTTTCATTAGGCTTTTGTAGTTTTCCTGGATCTTGTGCATATTTTGTTAGATTTATACCAAAGTATTTCTTTTTTTATTGCTGATGTAAATAGTAATGTGTTTTTAATTTCAAATTCCACTGTTCATTGCTGGTATACAGGAAAGAGATTGGCTTATGTATATTAATCTTTTATCTTGCAACCTTGCTATAATTGCTTAGTAGTTCCAGGAGGATCGTGTGTGTGTGTGTATGTGTGTTTGTGTGTGTGTGAACTCTTTCAGAAAAGACTGGGTGCATTCAGGGTGGTAAGGCCATAGACTTGTCAAATCCTTCAGACTTTCTACAAAGACAGACAATCATGCCCTCCGCAAACAAAGATGGTTCTATTTCTTCCTTCCCAATCTCTATACCTTTTATTTCCTTTTCTTGTCTTATTGCATTAGCTAGGACTGCCAGTATGATGTTGAAAAGGAGTGGTGAAAGGGGATATCAGGGATATCCTTGCCTTGTTCCTGATCTTAGCAGGAAAGCTTCTAGTTTCTCACCATTAAGTATGATGTTAGCTGTAGGTTTTCTTGTAGATCTTTATCAAGTTGAAATCTTGTTCTCTATCAAGTTAAGGAAACTCTCTTCTATTCCTAGTTGGCTGAGAGTTTTTATCGTGAATGAGTATTGGGTTTTGTGAAGTGTTTTTCCTGCATCTATGGATATAATCGTGATTTTTCTTCATTAGTCTGTGGATGTGATGGATTACATTAATTGATTTTTGTATGTTGAGCCAGTCTTGCATACCTGCGATAAAGCCCACTTTGTGGTAGTATATGATTCATTTCATACATTGTTGGATTTTATTTGCTGATATTTTGTTGAAGATTTTTGCACCTATGTTCACAAAAGACATTGGTCTGTAGTTTTCTTGTAATTTATTTGTCTGGTTTTGGTATTAGGATAAATGCTGGCTTCATAGAATGAGTTAGAAATGATTTCCTCTGCTTATATCTTCTGGAAGAGATTGTAGAGAATTAGTATTATTTTTTCCTTAAATGTTGGATGTACAGTTAAACAATAAACCCATTTGGGCCTACTGCTTTCTGTTTTTGAAGGTTATTAATTTTTTATTCGAATTCTTTAATAGATATAGGCCTATTTTGATTGTCTATTTTTACATATGTAGTTTCAGTAGTTGTGTCTTTTAAGAAATTGGTCCATTTCATCTAGGTTATCAAATTTGTGGGCATAGTATTTGTTTCTCATTCTTCTAATGTCCCTAAGATCTGTGGTGATGTCATCTCTTTTATTTCTGATTTGTGTCTTCTCTCTTTTTTTCTCAGTTAGCTGGCCAGATGCCTATTGATTTTATTGATCTTTTCAAAGAACCAGCTTTTGATTTTGTTGATTTTCTCTGTCAATTTCCTTGTTTTCAGTTCATGTATTTCAATTTGAATTGTTTTCAATTTCTTTGATTTCTGTTAAAATTTTTATTATTTATTTTCTTCTGCTTTGGATTTAATTTGCTCTTTTTTATAGTTTTCTAAGGTGGAAGCTTAGATAATTTTAGATCCTTCTTATTTCCTAATACATGCATTTAATACTAGAAATTTCCCTGTAGGCACAGCTTTTGGTGCATACCACACATTTTGGTAAGTTGTATTTTCATTTTAATTTAGTTCAGAAGATTTTAAAATTTCTCCTGATAGTTCTTCTTTGACCCACGTGTCATTTAGAAGTGTATTGTTTAATCTCCAAGTGCTTTGGTATTTTCCAGCTATCTTTCTGTTATTGATTGCTATTTCTATTATTTTAAATTTGCTAACTTTTTTTTATGGGCTAGAATGTAGTCTATCTTGGTGAATATTCCATGTGATCTTGTGTGTATTTACTGTTGTTGGATAAAGTAGTTGATAGATGTCAATTATATCCTGTTGATTGATGGTGCTGTTTAATTCAACTATGTCCTTACAGATTTTCTACCTGCTGGATTTGTCCATTTCTTTCTTTCTTTTCCCCACCCCAGATACATCAGACAAATGATAAATCTCTTCATGATCTGGATCTGTCCATTTCTGATAGAGAGGTGTTGAGTCCAACTATATTAACGGAATTCATCTATTTCTCTTGCAGTTCTGTCAGTTTTTGCTTCAAGTATTTTGCCACTCTATTATTACGTGCGTACACATTAAGGATAGTTATGTCTTCTTGGACAATTGACCCCTTTATTAGTATGTCATGCCCTCTTTATCTCTGATAATTTTTCTTGCTTTGAAGTCTGCTCTGTCTGGTATGTAAACTTTAGAATCAAGCACGAGAATTGCTTGAACCTGGAAGGTGAAGGTTGCAGTGAGCTGAGATCACACCACTGCACTCCAGCCTAGGTGACAGAGTGAGACACCATCTCAAAAAAAAGAAAAAAGACATATTATAAAGCTACAGTAATTAAGGCAGTGTGGTATTGGTGAGAGGAGAGAAAAATAGATAAATGGGACAGAATCGGGAGCTTAGAAATAGACCCACATAGATATAGCTAACTGAATTTTTACAGAGGAGCAAAGGCAGTACTTACTCAAGTTCTCTTGAGTAGTGTTAGCATAGAACATCTTTCTCCATTCTTTTATTTTTAATCTATACATGTCTTTGTATTTAAAGTGGATTTCTTAGAGACAACATATAGTTGGGCATTATTTTTTTATCCACTGTGGCAATCTCTGTCTTTTAACTGGTGTATTTAGATCATTGACATTTAAAGTGATTATTTATGGCTGGGTGCTGTGGCTCAGGCTTGTAATCCAAGCACTTTGGGAGGCCAAGGTGGAAGGATCATTTGAGGCTAGGATTTAAGGCCAGCCCGGACAACATAGTAAGACCCTGTCTCTACAAAATATTTTAAAAAAGAATTAACTGGGTGTGATGGCTCATGACTGTAGTCCCACCTACTTGGGAAGCTGAGGCGGGATGACTAATTGAGCCCAGGAGGTCGAGACTACAGTGAGCTGTGATCTTGCCACTACATTCCAGCCTGGGTGACAGAGCAAGACCTTGTCTCTTAAAAAAATGTGATTATTAATAAGAATATATACCATGTTTGTTACTGGTTTCTATTTTTTTATTTCTGTTTTGTCTTTCACTCTTTTTCTGCCTTTTGTGGTTTTAATTGAGGAGTTTATATGAGCCCAGTTTCTTTCCTTTTTTAACATATCATTTATACTTATTTTTTTACTTTTTAAAAGGTTGCCCTGGAGTTTGCAGTATGCATTTACAACTAATCCAAGTCCACTTTGAAATAATTCTATACTGCTTCAAGGTAGCGTGAGTACCTTATAATAACAAAATAATCCTAATTCCTCCCTCTTGTCCCTTGTGTCAGCGCTGTCATTCATTTCACATACATAATCAAACACAGCATTGCTATTATTATTTTGGACAAATGGTTACCTTTTATATCAATTAAGAATAAGGACAATAGCTAGGTGCAGTGGCTCATGCCTGTAATCCCAGCACTTTGGGAGGCCGAGGTGGGAGGATCACCTGAGGTTGGGAGTTCGAGACCAGCCTGACCAACATGGTGAAACCCCATCTCTACTGAAAATACAAAATTTGTCGGGCATGGTGTCGTATGCTTGTAATCCCAGCTACTCGGGAGGCTGAGGCAGGGGAATCGCTGAACCCGGGAGGCGGAGGTTGCAGTGAGCTGAGATTGCGCCATTGCACTCCAGCCTGGGCAACAAGACCGAAACTCTGTCTCAAAAAAAAAAAAAAAAAAAAGAAAAAGAAAAATGAAAGTTTTTATCTTATCTCCACTTATTTCTTTCTCAATGCTCTTCCATTATGGAGATCTAAGTTTCTGACCTATCTCATTTTCCTTTCCTCTGAATAACTTCTATTTTTTACGTTAAATTTTTAAAATTTTACTCAGTTTTCTCTGATGTGCAATAACTTCTTTTAATATTTCTTACAAGGTTAGGAAATTCTGTTGGCAACAAATTCCCCTTATTTTTGTTTGTCTGAGAAAGTCTTTATTTCTCCTTTCCTTTTGAATGATAGTTTTGTAAGGTATAGAACTTTAGATTAGTGGATTTTTCTCTCTCTCAACACTTTAAATATTTTACTCCACTCTCTTTTGCTTGCAAGGTTTCTGAGCGGTTGATGTAATTCTTTCTTATCTTTTTTCCTTTATAGTTAAGGTATTTTTTTCCCTTTGGCCTCTTTCTCTATTTTTTTCTATATCTTTGATTTCATGAATCATATTTATATCAAATGAATATGATATGTATAGGTATAGGTTTTTTGGGTATTTATCCTGTTTGGTGTTCTTTGAGCTTCCAGGATCTGTGGTTTGGTGTCTGTCATTAAAATTGTACCTGAATGTTCATAGAAGCATATTCATCACAACCCAAAAGTGAAAACAACGCAAATGTCATATGTTGTGTGAGTTGGTGAATGGATAAAACAAAATGTGGTATATTCATACAATAAATTATTATTCAGCCATAAAAAAATAAGTACTGATTCATGCTAGAACATGGGTAAACTTTGAAAATATTATGGTGTGAAAGAAGCCAGATACAAAAGGCCACATATTGTATGATTCCATTTTAACAAAATGCTCAGAATAAGCAAACCCACAGGGAAAGAAAGTAGATTGGTGACTGACAGGGGTTGGGGATGGGGGGAATGGGGAGTGATTGCTAATGGGTCTTTGGGGGGTGCTAAAACTATTCTGGAATTAGTGGGGATAATTGCACAATGTTGTGAATATACCAAATGCTACTAAATCTTATACTTTAAAAGGTTAAATTTGATGGTATGTGAATGATATTGCCACTATAAAACAATAGTATGGGGAGTACCAAAACAAATGATGGAGAGAAAAGACCATATGGGACAGAGCCAAAGCGAGAAAGCATAAGAGTCAGTTCAGTCAGAATGAAACGCAGGACAGTGCAATGGTTAAGAGAATGGATTTTGGTGTCTGGCAGACATTCTGGATAGATTATATAAACCCCGTGTGCTTCATTGTTGTTATCTCCAAAATAGGAATAATAATGCCCATTTATGTAGAATTGTTGCAAGTAATAAATGGGATGATATATAAAAAGTAGACTGAACATGATAAGTACACAATAAATAGTAATTTTAAAGCAATAAAAGAAACTTTTACTTTCTGTCTTATGTTTTTCTGCATTATTTGAACGTTTGTATTACATATTTATTATGATAATTATTGTGAAAATAGGAGTGTAAAAGGGCCTGCTAAAGTGTAAGGAAGTGTGCAGGTGAAATGCTAACTCCGGGAATAAGGCACAATTATCCAAACCTATTTCTTTCTCTCCGAGGTCATGGAGGACATTCAGGACTTGAGCACTTACCAAATCACCTTTGAAGTGGAGCCCTGTGTGTGCTGAGACCACTAGGACCCTGGAACGGGTGCCCGTCACTCACAGAGCCTGTCAGCTTCAGAGGCTGGAAATGGAAATCCCAGGCCTACTTGTACACAGGAATCTCCTGGAGCGAGGATGTCCTCTTTTCTGATACCCGCAGAACTGGCATTTAAGGGGATGCCTGTGCAGTATAGCGAAGGATAGAGCCTCAGAAATAGCCCTTCTGGATCAATCACGTCTCTAGTTTCTATAAATGGAAGCTTAACATCTGCTCTGCATGTGTATGCCAGATCCACCTTGTTCTGGACAACCCTGTGACATGCCTGAGTCACCCAGCCTTGGCCCTTCCCTGCTCACTGCCTCCTCTCCCTCCTTCGAGAGAAGTCATCCTCCCAGGAATGTGCTTTTCAAATACAAACCAACCAATCCAGAGTCCACACACCGTACTAACTGGGCTCTCATGATCCAGGCCACTGTCCTCCTGCCCTAATCACCTCAGGGCCAGGTACCAGACAACCAAGGACAGCACCTGTGCCCCAGAGCCTGCGGAGATTACCTACTCACCCTGCCTCGCCCATTCCTTCCTGCAGAAAACACAACTCAGACTCTTGCCCACAGTTCCCCAGCCCCTCTTGTGACTGACCCTGGTGCCTCCCCATGTGACCCCACCATGGCATCATGGGGGCTCCCTCTCTTGGGACCTGTTGGCATGATAAGCTATGTTTCCAATAGCAGTCATCTCCTCATCTCGGCCTCATCACACCTAAAGAATAATAAAACCCGTTGAAACACCTTCAACTCAACAGGACAGACTGGCCCATTGGAATCATTTAGACTTGCAGACATTTTGTTCATGCTGTACAGCGTTTCTTCCAGGTACTCTGTTTCGCAGCAGAAAGAGCAGGGCTGAGATTCACAGACCTGACTTCAGATCCCCCTTCTATCACTTACTAGCATGTGGTCATCTATAATTTACATAGATGTGGAATAATCCACAGTTTTGAGTATTTTACTCTCTAGACCTGTGGAAAATTACTGCTTCCTTTAGTCCTAAATGTGGAAAAGAAAATTTGTGTTTATATTGTGCCACAATCTGGGGGGAGGGAGGGAGGGAGAAAAATGTCATATCTGAAACACTCAAATGAAAACCTTATATGTTACTACATACATAAATATTCATATTTATAGATATGTAAATGTTTATTTAAATGTCAGTGGCACCTTCATTATTGCGGATAAGTAGCCCTGGGTGAACAGTCTGTATTTATCAACATCGAGATTGAAATTAAGGCTAACCATTGACCTCAGCCTGCAATTGACGTAGTTGACGCACTCTTTCAGAGTCAGATGATAGTTCATCAGTAAAATGAGAATAATAATAACTACTTCCTAATATGGTACAGGATTAATTGAGATACATTTTGTAAAGGACTCCAAAGGATGTCTTACACAAAGGAGAAGCTTAAGGAGCTCATCCCTCTAACTCAGTCACCTGAAGATCTCATGGGTAAAGTCAGAGACATCCTCACCCTGAAGAGAGTAGTGCAGGCAAGTGTGGGAATGCTGTGTGTGGCAGAGACGACCCTGACCCTGGTCTTCTAAATCATTTAGAAGAACCGTGTTCTTTCTGATGAAGATTCCCACCTGAAAATGTTCATATCAAGGTGACTGATGTTCTAGAGCAGCATTGTCCAGCGAAACTTTCTTCAGTGATGGGAAGGTCCTGTGCCTCTGCTGTCCAGGATGGCATCCACTCCCACCTTTACCTACTGAGCACTTGAAATGTGGCGACTGCAACTGAGGAGCTGAATTTTTTTATTTAATTTAAATTTAAGTTTAAATTTAGGGAACCACATGTGGCTCATAGCTACCACGTTGGCATAGACCTAGAGCTCATCTAAAAAGTGAAACAAGTGTGGATCCTCCTATAACTAAGAAAAAAGAAAACTTACCCTTTCATCTTGAGGTAGGAGGTGGGACTCAATTCTGGAAGCAGGGCTCAGACATTGGACCAAATTGAGGACTAGTTAAAATAGGAACTAGGAATGGGGTGGAGACACCTTTCCATAAGACATGCCCACCAGTGTGCCATGTCAATTTACCATTGTTGTGGCAACACCTGGAAGTTACCACCCCTTTCCATGGCAATGACCTGATGACCCAGAAGTTACCACCCCTTTTCTAGAAATTTCTGCATAACACGCCCCTTAATTTATATATAATTAAAAATAGGTCTAAATATGACTACAGACCTGTCTCTGAGCTGCCACTCTGGGCACACTGCCTATGGGGTAGCCCTGCTCCACAAGGAGTTATACCTCTGCTGCTTCTATACACAGCCGCTTCAATAAAAGTTGCTGTCTATCACCACTGGCTCACCCTTGAATCCTTTCCCAGGCAAAGCCAATAACCCATCCAGGCTAAGCCCCAGTTTTGGGGCTCACTTGCCCTGCATCAGTCTGATCTTTTGAGCTCTGAGAAAGTCCTACAAATGATTATTTTGTTGAAAAACTATAAGCTCTTGGCCAGGCATGGTGGCTCATGCCTGTAATCCCAGCACTTTGGGAGGCTGAGGTGGGTGGATCATGAGGTCAGGAGATCGAAACCATCCTGGCCAACATGGTGAAACCCCATCTCTACTGAATATACAAAAAAATTAGCTAGTCATGGTGGTGTGCGCCTGTAGTCCCAGCTACTTGGGAGGCTGAGGCAGGAGAATCTCTTGAACCTGGGAGGTGGAGGTTGCAGTGAGCCGAGATTGCGCCACTGCACTCCAGCCTGGCAACAGAGAAAGATTTCTTCTTAAAAAAAAAAAAAAAGAAAGAAAAAAGAAAACCTATAGGCTTTCTGGCCAACTAGACAAAAATGGGAATCAAACAATTTAGAAAAACTTTACTTGCCAGAGGGAAACACTAAACTTTCTGCCGTAGCCATAGATTCCATTTCTCTCACTATGAACAGGGTCTGTAGGAAGCCATGGGTGAAAGCACACACAGCATTGTATACAGGGTGTCTGGAGCCAGACACGGTCATGACAAGAAGGTTCAGGAGCATGGCCTCCAAGGAAGTATTTAGTGAACATCCCCCCCAAAACTTCACAGTCAAATTCAGAACATGTGCAACTAAAAAGAAAGCTCCATTGTTGACTAAGGAAAATATCATCTGGGTATTTTAAGGAGTTAACTGTTTGTAGAAATTGTTTGAAACCTGGAATTTCATGGTTTTTGTGTGTGTGAAAAAGCAAAACTTCCCTGGAAAATATTAAGCAAGTTTGGTTTCTCATTGATGGTGAAATCCCAATGTGAGGTTATGCTGCACACCTTCCTCGTGGTTGAAACTACATTTCCAGTAAAACAGGCTTTGTAGTAAGTTGGTATTACCATAAACAGTAGTTACAGTTGCTAGTAGGTCTATGAGGCTGATGAAAAATTTAATATCCATAGGACTCTGATATATCTCATTAATAGGCATCTTCTTCATGAAGGCTATGCAGATATCTCTCCAGGTCATTTCTTTTCTCAGCTCCCAGGGGCACTGCTCACCTTTCATGTCATCTGAGACCAACAGACTCACCCAGGTCCAGCCAAAATGCAGCAGTAACAACACCATGCCTACAGCCTGAGAGGCCTCCCTGGGGACCATCTAATAAACAGATAGAAACTGGCTTTCTTCACGCAGGAGAAGATCAAAAGGACTACATGTATTCTGAATGTGAGAGGAAAGATGATCAATTTTTTTGTGGACTAGAAGTAATTCAAGGGAGAACAATGTGAAATTTACATCATAAACATTCAAACTTCCATTACCAAGAGGGGAAGAACCCAGTGGATATACGGCATGTTAAATTAAAACAAGAAGAATGGGAGGAAGAAGACTTTTTTTTCCTTTCCATATTTGATTTTTCATCAGACTTCTGAGAGAGCACAGTAAAGCAATTTTTGAGAAATGCCTGAGGCTTAACTCAACTGGACCATGTCTTCATCCTGAAGCTCAATACTTTACTTCTTATCTGTACTTCAAAATATACCCACCAGACCAAGAAAGTTGCGTAATTCTGTGGTCTACTTTGAGAGAGGTATAAGGCCGTTCTCTATGACTTCGTTGTTGCTAGAAAGAGATAAAAAGTAAAACATTTAGGCCGGGTGTGGTGGCTCATGGCTGTAATCCCAGCACTTTGGGAGGCTGAGGCGGGTGCATCACCTGACATCAGGAGTTCGAGACCAGCCTGGTCAACATGGTGAAACCCTGTCTCTACTAAAAATACAAAAATTAGCTGGACATGGTGGTGGGTGCCTGTAATCTCAGCTGCTTAGGAGGCTGAGGGAGGAGAATCACTTGAACCTGGGAGGCGGAAGTTGCAGTGAGTCGAGATCACGCCACTGCACTCCAGCCTGGTCAACAGAGCAAGACTCCATCTCAAAAAAAACCAAAAAACAAAAAAGCAAAACCCAAAAACAAACATTTAAGTCTATGATGACCCTGAAAATGCATTGCTGTGATCTCCTCTGAGGACAGCCTGCTCGACTGATGGTCTCGCCTGCTGCCCCTCTGAGTAAGATAAACCCCTCCACTTGTGCTGAGGTCACGCTTTGGCTGGCTGCTCCCAGCAAAGCACTGAATGTGGCAGGAGTGTTAAGCCAGGCCTGTGTTGGTGAGATGCTGAACCCATGCAGTGGGCGATTTTGGCTTGAAGACTCCTCATCACCCTGGGTGCATATTTCTGAAACAGTGCTGCAGTATAAGATTTTTCCTAAAGGCTGGGCACAGTGGCTCGTGTCTGTGATCCCGCCACTCTGGAAGGCCAAAGTGGGAGTATGCGTTGAGGCCATTAGTTTGAGACCAGCCTGGGCAACACAGCAAAACTCTGTCTCTGATTCAGTGGTTCATGCCTGTAGTCACCGCCACTTAGGAGACTGAGGTAGGAAGATCTTTGAACACAAGAGTTTGAGGCTGTAATGAGCTATGATCGGGACTGGCACTCCAGCCTATGTACAGACCTGGGCCAGACCCTGTCTTTAGGAAAATGAAAAAAAAAAAAAAAAAAAAAAAAGATTCTTCCTATCCAATCATCTTCCCTTCTCTCTTTTGTCCCACAGGTTTAAGATCTGATGTATGGTCTGAAGTTTCTCCCACCTTCTTCTGCTCCCTCACCTCCAAAAATTTCTGTTATATCTAATCCCATTTTGATGTCTGTTTCTTGGCAGACACAAATTAATGTATAGACAGCAGGCAGTGAGCTGGGGATTTGGAACTGGCTCACTCACCCTCTGGCAGGCAAGGAGAATGCCACTCTCTGTGGTGAGAAAGGCTCAGGTAATTCGTGGAAAAATGTTACAGCTCGATTGCTAAAGGTTTCCCTGGTGGTGACCTGACAGGACATCCTGTGGAAAGGAATACTCTGCAGGTGTGATCACTTAGGAATGTGAATATATGTTAAGGGAGTGACATGAAAATGGGAGAGTAGGGAGCTCCAAGAATTGGTCCCTTCAGTGAGGCAATTACCAAGTAGCAAAAATTATCAGAATCAACTTTTTTTTCTGAATTCTGGAATCTAATCAAAAACAGAACAGCCAGGTGAGTGCTTAATGAAGAAGGAAGCTGCTAAATTTTTGCAACAGAGTGTTGTGGCATTTTTACTTAAGTGTCTACTATCCCCAGCTCAGCCACAGCCACAAGAAAGGTGACCCATATTCCTAGGGCAGCCTCCTGCTGCTGGAAGGGGTGGCAATACAGATCTTGTTCTTAAAAAATTCTGGTTGTGCTTTTTGACTTACCTGGCAGTCTGTGAGGGATTGATATGAGGCTAACCTCTGTTTTAATCCCCTTGGTCTGGCTTTGCAGGTATCTGTCTATCAAAAACATTTAAATACATGTTACCCATGTAACCGAACTCAGGTCTAGATGCTCACTGCTTGCAGAGTCCAATTAACAAGGTCTGGTAGAAAGAAAGTGATTTTATTAACCAAAACTAATAAAGGGGAAGTGGCTGGATTCCATCCGAAGCAACCATTTTGATTTTGGGTGGGGGTTGGGGGGAAGGCAGGGTTTAAAAAGGGAAACATTGATAAGGAAGGCATGCAAGAATTGTGCTGAGTAGAATGCCTGTGTGTCTTGTTCTGGTGGCTATTTAGGTCCCAGTCTACTTGGATCGTGGGCTGGTGCCATCTCAACTATGGCTGGGTTGTTAACTAATTGCCTTGAAGTAATCTCTGGAATTTTGCAGCTGGGTCTCCAGGCTTGGTCTGTCTGTCTCAAGATTAGCCCCCGGGCAACATAGTGAAACCCCCCATCTCAAAAAATCCCCCCCAAAACATAAAAAGATAGAAATAAGAAAAAGAAACCAGATAGGAATTCTGGAGCTGAAAAGTACAATAGCTAAAATGAAAAATTTGATGGAGGGTTTCAACAGCAGATTTGAGCAGACAGAATGAAGAATCAGTGATCTTGAATATGGCACAATGAAACTATTCAGTTTGAGGAGGAAAAAGAAAAAAAAATTAAGAAAAATGAGCAGAGCCTAAGCAACTTTGTTATATCATCAAGCATACAAACATATACACTATGAGAGACCTAGAAATAAAAGAAAGAGAGAAAAGGGAAGAAAAAGTATTTGAAAAAATAATTGGTCAGAAATTTCCTGAATGTGATGGAAAACATAAATCTACAAATCCACAAAACTCAATGAACTCCAAGTAGAATACACTCAATGACAGTCACACTGAGATACATTATAATCAAACTAAGTAAAGCCAAAGCTAAAGAGAGACTCTTGAAAGCAGCCAGAGAGAAGTGACTTGTCATACAGGAGACCCTCAATAACAGGGGTCCCTAACCCTGGGGCCACGAGTTGGTATTTGTCTGTGGCCTGTTACGAAATGGGACACATAGCAGGAGGTGAGCAGCAGGCAAGTGAGTGAAGCTTCATCTGTATTTACAGCCACTCCCCATCACTGGCATTACCAACTGCCTCCTGTCAGATCAGTAGCAGCATTAGATTCTCATAGGAGTGGGAAATCTACATGAGGGGTCTTGGTTGCACACTCCTTATGAGAATCTAATGGCTGCTGATCTGTCACTGTCTCCCATCACCCCCAGATGGGACCATCTAGTTGCAGGAAAACAAGCTCAGGGCTATCACTGATTTTACATTATGTTGAGTTGTATAATTATTTCATTATATATTACAGTGTAATAATAATAGAAATAAAGTGCACAATAAATGTAATGCACTTGAATCATCCCCAGATCATCCCCCCCACCCTGGTCTGTGGAAAAATTGTCTTCCATGAAACTGGTCCCTGGTGCCAAAAAGATTGGGGACAGCTGCTCAATAAGATTAACAGCCAATTTCTTATCAGAAATCATGGCAACCAGAAGATAGTGGGATGACATATTTAAAGTATTAAAAGAAAAAAATCCTTATCAGTCCAGAATTCTATATCTGGCAAAACTATCCTTCAAAAATAAAGGAGAAATTAAGACATTCCCAGATGATGAATAAAAACTGAGATAGTTCATTCCCAGATATGACAATGAAATACTAAAAGGAGTCTTTCAGGTTGATATATATGGGGGAAAGTGCCTACAAAGACAGGCATTGTCTGGTTATTGTTGAGTTGTGTTGATGTCCTATAGAGGGTAAGGAGAAACTGAGTGTCATTAACTAGCAGTTAAAGGCTAAGTGTTAGAGTTAAAGGACATATTTAGTAGCTTACAGAGAGGCCTTATCTCCTGCAGTAGGACACCAGACACAGCTGAGTGGCTGACCAAGGATCTGATAGAGCCACAGAAGTCCAGGAATGTTTGATTGCCAAAGCAGCTCCCTTAGGCTAAGGTGAGGACTTTGGCTGGGGAATCCTGGTACTGAAATATGGGATGGGGGTACCTGGATTAATGTCTTTGAGGATGTGAGTTCTGAAGACTACTCCACCCCACCCCACCCCCATCCCCAAACACATAGAGCTTGCAGAGGTGGCCTACCCTTCCCTAGTAAGAGCTAGCACTTCCCCCTATGCGCAAGATACTAAAGAGCCTTCTCCCCAACAAGACAATAGGTGTTTCCCTATTTATCTATCCTACTTTCTCTCCTGGTTGCCAGTCCAATGACTAGTGTTAAATCCCAGCATAACCTGACTGGAGCTGCGGTGTGTCTGATAAGAGAAGAAAGAAATTACCCACCAAAGGAGTTGAAAGAATTAGCTAGCTAGCTGGGACCAAGGATTATCATTAGTATTGAATTTTGAATGTGCTTATTCAAGAAGGTTGGAATGTAGGCCGGGTAAGAAAGAATTCATTGACTTGAAGGCACTGTCTTGAAAGAGGAGATTTAACACCCTGGCAAAGATCCCATGGGATAGGTCAAACTCATGGCTAGGGTGGATTTTAGAAGACTGAAAAACAACAATAGCTAATTTTCAGATTCTGTCGACTCAAGAGATGGCCGAGTCTCTAGGATGAAGATTTCGTTTACCAAAGCAAGTATATACTGTAATGATTGTCCCAGTTCTTCTCAAAGGGACATATGAGCATTTTCTTGGATGGCTGTATAGAAAGGAGAATCCCTAGACATCTTGAGGGCTATTGGATACAGGGTCTCAGTTGACATTAATACTCAGGGACCCAAAGCACCATTATGGTCTTCCTGTTAGAGTGGGGACTTGTGAGGTGCAGGTAATAAGTGAAGTCCTTGCTTCAATAAATGAAGTCTAGTTTACAGTAGGCCTATTGGATCTGGAGAGCCAGCCAGTGGTCATTTCTACAGTTCCTGAGGGCTTAATTGGAATTGGTCTCTTCACAGTTGGAGTAATCACAACACAAGGTCCTTGGCCTGTGGGATAAGAACTATCTTAGTGAAAAAGGCCACATGGAAATCTCTAAAACAGTCCTCCCAGCCACAAGAGTAAATAAAAAATAATATCACATCCTGAGGATGATGATTAGTGTCACCACTAAAGACCTGGGTGGTGTTCCCTATTAGATCTCCATTGAACTCATCAGTCTGGACCCTGCAGAAACTGAGTGGATTCTGTAAACTTAGACTTCTACAAACTTGATCAAATAGTAGCCCTGATTACAGCTGCTGTGCCAGATGTGATATCATTGCTAGAGCGTATTAATAAGACCTCATGAACATGTATGTGGTTATTAATATGGTGGATTCATTCTTTTCCTTTCCAAATAGGAAAAGGAATTAAAAAAAGGTTGCATTTAGGTAGACTAGACAAATATATTCATTTATGGTTTTGCCTCACAGCCATGTGAATTCTCCTGCCTTCTGTCATAATATAGTGTAACAAGATCTGGATTGTCCAGATCTACCAGAGAACATCACATGAAATTCATTATATCGATAAAACATCATGCTGATCAGTCAGAACTAACAAAAGAGGGCTAGTACAGAGGAAGCCTTGTTAAGACACATTAGTTCCACATTTAGTGAGAGATAAACCCTATGAAGATTCAGGGACCTGCCATTTCAGTGAAGTTCTTTGGTGTCCTGTGGTCCCGGAATACTGAGATAGGCATATAGGGGGCATCATGCATCTGCTACCACAGGGAAGGAAATACAGCATCTCGTATCTTCTTTGGTTTCTGGTGGCAACACATTCCACACCTAGGAATACCACTCTATTCCATATAACTAGGGACAGGGAAGGCTGAAAGCCTTGAGTAAGATCTAGAACAGACAAAGGCTTTATGGCAGGTCCAGATGATGGTTTTGCAATTTGGGCCGTATGGTTTGCAATTTGGGCCCAGGCTGGAGTACAGTGGTGCGATCTTTGCTCACTGCAACCTCCAGTTCCCGGGTTCAAGTGATTCTCCTGCCTCAGCCTCCCAAGTAATTAGGATTACAGATGCATGTCACCACGCTCGGCTAATTTTTGTAATTTTAGTAGAGACAGGGTTTTACCATGTTGACCAGGCTGGTCTCGAACTCCTGGCCTCAGGTGATCCACCCGCCTCGGTCTCCCAAAGTGCTGGGATTACAGTCATTTGCCACCACGCCCGGCCATGTGTGGGATTTGAATGCAATAAGAAAAGAATGGTTTATTCAGGAGTCGATGCATGTTAATTGTTTGGAAATTAAAATTCATGTTATCATTTGTACTTTTGCATTCCCAAGTTAATCTCAAAATATTAATGAGTTCAACATAACAAACTACAACAACAGATATTAAAATATATCAGTAAATATTTTTGTAAACAAACATTGTAGAGGTCATGATATCAGATTCAGAAAACATAAGTAAAAGAATGACAAAATTAAAGATTTAACAAATAAAAAGCACTAATTTTACAGTAAAATTCCCGTGAATTAAATATAAAAGTATTATTGGGAAATATTTTTGACAATATTATAGGTAAAATATTAAAATAATTATTAATTATATTAATCATCAATTAATATTTTAGAAAGCTATCGTATATCAAATGCAAAAATTTTCATGGTAGAAAAGGGGGCAAATGGACACCACAGGCGATAACAATAGTGTATATAAAAATGGATAACAAAGAAAGTGAGATCATTGTTACTTCCTTACATTGTTATATAAGGAAGCCAGCATTTAAATTATCCAATATAATTTTTCGTTTACCAAATTTACTAAGGTTACAAAGAATGCTAACACAAAGCTCTGTAAAGTACATGGACTGTATACTCTCACATAAGACTGCTGGAAAGGCAAATTGTTTCACTTTTGCTGTGCAGTTTTTAATACGTATCAAAGTCTCAATGTCCACATGCTTTTACCTAGCACTTGAATTTTAAGAAACTTTTTTTTTTGAGATGGAGTGCGATTAAATAAATCACGATTCATTGGTTTATACTACCTTGAGGTCATTAACATGCAAATATGTTTGTACATTAGACATTTGCTTAGGATAAATTGCTTGATTACAAAAACAGATATAGACGGATTCTATTTTATATAAGTGAATGAAGGAATGAATGTTTAAGGGTTTGGCACTATCACGTAGGAGGAATCACGCCCTTTTGGGCACAGTCATCTGTCCTTGGAGACATAGAGCAAGCATTTGACTTCTCAGATGCTTTGGGCTGGTGATGTTTTCCCCTTGCCACACTGCCCGGCATATGAATATATGTGACAGACAAGAATAACCTTCCTCACCTTCCACTAGGCCCAAGAACAGGGATCACTATTTTATCTTCAGATCCTGCTGCACTCATAAGGGAAGGGCGTTAAATCAAGCACTTGATGTCCACAAGTACACAGACATGCAAAACCTGTCCTTTCCAAGCTATGGCAAGTTGTTATGAAAATATAAGATACAGATGGTGTGAGTGACAGATGGGTAAAGAAACAGGAATACAGGAAACAGGAATATTTGATACAGGAATGAGGAGACAAGAGGATGCTGAGGCATCACACATAAATTCCTCAAATACAAAACCACCTGGGGTTACAATGACTTTTTAGCTGTGAAAATGCATCTGCTTGAAGGGGACACACCATAATGGGCAGACTGTGTCTCACTTACACTTGGTTCAGGCTCTGTTATTAACCAGAAATGCCGTCTCACTCTTTGATCCTATATAGCACTCACAGAGAACAGAGCAAATCTTTGAGCCCTACCTCCTGCATCCCCCTACAAATCGTACAGTAACTATATAAGTCCATTTATGATCAACACAATTTGGTGAAGTGTGGGGCAAAAGCAGCCCGAGTTACTATTGTAAACAAAGTGAAATTTTTGGAAACGGATCCTCAGAGTATTGCTAATTTGTGGCTTGACCCCAAGAGTTAGGAGGCCTGGCACACCCCGGCACAGTATCATTGAGTGTGGCTATTTCACAGGAAACTCACATATTTAAAATAAAGGTCTGCCAGGTGCAATTGCTCTTGCCTGTAGTCCCAGGTACTCAGGAGGGTGAGGTGGGAGGATCGCTTAAACCCAGGAGTTCAAGGTTACAGTGAGCTATGATCACACCACTACACTCCAGCCTGGGCAACAGAGGGAGACCCTGTCCCCCCAAAATAAATAAATAAGTGTCTTTTCCTTCAGTTGAGGAAGAGACATATTTGGCCCCTGTTGGGGTTCATTTATCAATAGTTTCTCACCCTGGGAAGGGAAGCATGAGTTGGTCCTGGACCTGGTGCTGGTAAAGCACTGGCCTTGCCTTTCAGCACTGACCT
Organism: Homo sapiens; assembly: GCF_000001405.40. Lineage (NCBI taxonomy): Eukaryota > Metazoa > Chordata > Mammalia > Primates > Hominidae > Homo > Homo sapiens. Next base: position 46,635,072 of record NC_000003.12, on the reverse strand, counting down.
TGGCTGAGGGCCATGGGTTGGGCCTTTTCCTCTTTGCAGACGGAGGGCAAGGGCAGTGGGGTTGGGCAGGGACAGTGGGAGGTCATTGGAGCTTCTCTGCCTCTTTCCAAGCAGGGGTGTTCTTGATGGTGGGACTGTAGCAGTAACAGCAGGAAGAGGAAATGATACTTAGGAGTTTCTTCTTTGAAGAGAAATCGGTTACAGAAGATGCGGAGTGAGTGTGGCTGATGTGGAAGCCCAGAAATTCAAATTTCATAGATTAGAATCCTCACATCTCCCTTAACCACTTCCTTCAACACTGGGGAGAAAATAAACATTTTTAAAAGGGGCAAAAACTTGTCAAACTCAATATTTTAAATCGGGCTGATTCGGAAATGCTCCCAGTGCAATTCCATATAGTTCATCTATTGTATAAACGGGAAAACCCACCGCTAACAGGGTCACCATCCCTGCAGACATGGTGCTTCAGGGGAAAAGAAGCAGATCTTGTTTTCCACAGATGGTGGAAGCTGCATGAGAAGAAACAGAAAGAAGCCATCAGAGCATCGTCTCCCAGAAACACAGTCGATGCCCTAAATATGTGGTAACTGAGGCACAGCAGGGTGGCGACCAGCAAATGCAGTGTTCCGTCAGTGGTCCACTCTCTCTGCAAATGCCTGTGGAAACAATATGGGATTTGAATCAGGCCCATTCCAGGACAGGGCAATGCTGGAGCACAGATTTATAGATATTATCGCCTTAAGATGTCCCGTGAAGCTTCTGTTATGGACATGGGAGGCTTCTGGCCTCCCTTTCTTCCCTCTTTTCTGCTGAAACTCATGGGAAACCAAGGGGGCTGTTTTTGCCCTGGGCTTTGCAGCCCTGGGCTGTGCCTGGGTACAAACACCAACTTAACATAAGTTTGAAAATCAACTCGTTGTACCCCCAAGGACCTTGATTTTCAGCAAGTTCTACGAGCAGCAATATTCAGAAATAGCCCGAGATGGCACCCTTCCTCCAATGGTATGTGAAATGAGGAACCACATGAAATAAGTTGGCAACTGAGCACCTATGAAGCCTGTGTGAGGGGCCATGGCTAGAAACTTCTAGTCCTAGTTCCAGGGTCAGCGGAGAGCTCCCATCACCACCCCCTTGAGGCAAGCCCTGCGTTCTGGTCAAGCTGCCCTCATGCTCCCCATATCCCAGGCAGTCCTGACCATGCCCTCGGGAGCCCTGCAGGGCTTCCTGTTACACGTTTCAGCAGCATCAGCCATGAGTCAAGCCTGATCAAGTGGCTGGCATTAACCATTCAGGAGATGGCTAATTTTTGTATTTTTAGTAAAGAGTCTTGATCTCCTGACCTCAAGTGATACACCCGCCTTGGCCTCCCAAAGTGCTGGGATTACAGGCATGAGCCACCATGCCCAGCCGGAGATGGATATTTAAAAGTCCATACACCACCACTAAGGTGGATAGGGAAATCGAGTTATTTTCCTCTAATAGACCTTCAACCTCTTTCCTATGCTCATCTTAGCCCAAAATATTTGAGCCATTCCCTTGGTGTTTGAATATCTGCTTTGAGCAAAGTCTGATGCCAGGCATAGAGCCGTGAACACAAAAGACATGTTCAGTCTTCCAGGTTATCACAGACAACAACTGAACGGAGTTTTGTCTTTTCATGACAATAACACTGGCCGCTTTTTTCTAGCTTTCTGTAACCGTTTTATCACGTTTATCAGCCTATTATGTTTTGTTGTACTGTTTGATACCTAAACTACTGCTACCTGTCTTAGGCCTGTGTTATAGAATACTCACTTCTAGGTACCAATTTGTGTCTTAAGTCAGCCTTTTGTTGCAGAATAAACCCTGACCCCCAAATCTCAATGGCATATACAATAAACTTTTTTCCTCACTCCAGTGTTCAAGGGTTGGTTGGGTAGCTCTGCCTCAGGCTGTGGGGCCCTGAGTCTGCTAGGGTGGCTTGCTTTAGGCTGCAGGCTGAGTTCAGATCTGCACTGCAATGCCACTCTCTGCAGCCAAGGCTGGAGAGGGGCAGCTCCCTGGAGCATGTGTTTCTGTCACAGAGGTCAGAAGCTTCCAGAAGGGCAAGAAGAATTTCACAATGTCTCTGAGCAGAGAGGCCTCTGCTCAGAACTGGCCAGTTACTGTTGCTCATGCTCTGTTTGCTAAAACAGGTCATGGGGCCAAGCCCAGCCTCCCACGGAGATAGAGAGTGAGAAAGTGGATACTCATTGAACAACTATCTAATATAGTAAAAAATATATAGGTTCAATGATCTCTAAAAATCTTTGCCAGTTTTGTTTTTAAAAATTCAAATTCTCTTATTGTGCCTTTTTATAATTCACAAATATTACAATGTACTATTTTATTACTCATGATATCTCCATTGTTGTGAATTTGCAGATTTATAGCTATTGCTTCTTTACATATTAGATTGTTGATTATTGTTTTATTGATTGGTACAAGCATAGTCTATTAAGTTTATTATATGATATAAAAAGGGATATATTAAAATATTTCAAACTTTTCGTATGACTTTCTACTTGCTTTTAAATTTAAATCTATTTCATTTTTGGTATTCACAAGTTGGGATATTCAAAAATCATCATAATGTCAGATCTCTCAATATTTTTCTTTAGAGTTTCACCCTTTCACACCATGCTTAGAAAATCCATCCCTCTGTTCCCCTCTACTTTAACCTCAGCTCCTTTAAGGAGAAAGTTTGTTAGGGGTGGGGTGGAGGTCTCCTTTTCCCCAAGATGGGTGCACACACCCATCCAAGTATGCTGGGGAAATTCAGAGAAGGGAAGGACTTCATCTTTCATGGTTTTGTTGGATGCAGACATCCAACTCTCCATCCTATCAGGCCTCTAGGTGACTTGTACCTTAGGATTGGCCACGAGGGACCTCTGAGTGCTTAAGGAAATACCGCCAGTGGATCATGTGGCCCTCAGACAACTTCTAAAATTGCTCCAAAATGAGTAATTCAGTTACTCGGACTCACTATGCATATATACTCTCAGGATATTTTCCCTTATAATGGAAGCCACATAATTAATGGTATGAAATTTGTCCCTGGTTTTAGCTGAAGTGATCACCACCTTGGCAATGGAAGACATTCAGGGCAGCCTCAGCTCACTGGTTCAGGGTTATTACGGATAATGGAATCTCTCTAGACTTCCTCCGTGCAGGCCAACATGGAGTCTGTGCAATCACTAGTACATGCCGCCATTCCTGGATTAATTAAGGCCTCTGGACAAGAGGAACAGTCGATACAGAAACTCAAGTCACATGCCTTTCTAAAGTAGGCCCTGAGAGTTTATGTGATTTGTTCTGCTATTTGGATCAAGGACCCTTGGAGGCATGGCTGTGGTCAGTACTGCAGGTTGGCTTCATCTTGCTGTTTGAAGTCCTTTCATAGTTGACTCAATTCAATGCTGTATGAGACACACTAAATGAATTTGGTCCCAGCTTCTGTCAGTCAGATAAATAGTCTCCTCTGGGGAAATTCACCAGAAGCCAAGACAGTATAGAAATAAGGGGTGGATGTTGTTGGGAGGCATTTTTCCTGGGTCTCTAGAATTCCTGCACATCTTCTGAGCAGAAGCACTGGCTGCCTGTGCTCCAGGCTACCTTTCCAAGGATGTTTGTATGATAAGCAGCCTTGACAGGTATGGAATCTCAATATGGGAGAGGGCAGGTTTTCTTCCAGAATTTGAAGGTAGGGATAGTGTTTTCCACCAGGGCAAAGGTCAGGCAAGCTTACTACCCCTTATTCAAGATTTGAGTTTCCTAACCTCAGGGCTCTTCACCTGTCCTCCTCATGTTTTCAGTGGGAACTGAGGTTTGAGGAATGGGTGCAGGTGCCGATACCCTGACTACTGCTATTGCTGTCAGTGCTAAACCATCCTGTCCCTGATCCAGGAGCCTCACGCCTCCTGCCACATCCATGAAACGATGGCAGGCTAGTGTGTTAACTTGTAAGCAGGGTAAAATCTCAGACTTGATAATGCTTGATAAATGTATTTGGAAAACAAGTAAAATGTCTGCCTTTCCCATTGGTTCACCTCATGCCCTAAATACTTTTTCCTGAGAAAGCTACACTGAAAGGACCTGCAGCACAACCGTTGTCTCAGGAGCCACACACCCAGAATAGCCAGGCCACAACCCTGCGTGGGGTACAAGAGTCAGTGTGGAATGCGGTACCTGTCATCATGAAACAGAATGTCAGGTGACATATCACACCTCCACTCTGTCATTCCCAGACTCTGCCTAGATTTAGGGCCACCTCTGTGGTGGGAGAGACTTTAGCTCCTCCCGGGTCAATATTAGCATGAGGACCCCATTCTTTTTTTTTTTTTTGAGACGGAGTCTTGCTGTGTCGCCAGGCTGGAGTGCAGTGGCGCAGTCTCGGCTCACAGCAACCTCCGCCTCCAGGGTTCAAACGATTCTCCTGCCTCAGCCTGTCGAGTAGGTCTCTGGGATTACAGGCGCCCACCACCACGCCTGGTTAGTTTTTGTGTTTTTAGTAGAGATGGGGTTTCACCACGTTTGCAAGACTGGTCTCGAACTACTGACCTCAGGTGATCTGCCCACCTCGGCCCCCTAAAGTGTTGTGATTACAGGCGTGAACCACTGCACCCGGCCGAAGACCCCATTCTTGAAGGACACACCCACCAGGCCCATGACCAGGTGTGGTTCCACCACAACGTCTCCTGATAGAGTTCATGCTTGTCTCATAGAAATTCAGATCTGGACAAACGCCTAAAGACCGCTTTCCATCTCAGAAGGGAAACTCGGAAAGAAAGGCCTGTCCTGACATGTCACAGCAAATGGAGAGGAGTCCTTATGCCCATCATTCTCGTTCGCATCGCGGGGTCCTGCTGACTGCGCAGCACCTGCCGCCGACCAGCTTGCGGCCACTGGGAGGCGCCGGAGGGAGGCCCAGCCAGGGCGCTTCTCACCTCCGCCTCAGGCGGCGCAGCTGCTGGGTTTCAGCGTCGCCCGCACCGCCTCCCTCCGCAGGCCCAGAGCTTCCTGGGGATACTTCTCCATGTGGTTCCAGTTCCCACCAGGCGACTCTCCTTTGTCCCTGCAGTGCTAGGGATTTGAGCAGCAACTTGGTGCTGAGGAGTCCTGGGTTGCCTGCTGTTTCCTGTTTGGTGTCTCAGCTATTCCAGTACCTTAGTAACCAGATCTATGCAACAGCGACTCTGACGAACCACCTCGAGTGGGCAGGGGCTGCCTCCCCGCCTCTTCCCCTCCTCCTCCTCTCTTCCTTCTCTCCTCCTCCTCTTTCTCCTCCTCCTCCCCCTCCTCTTCCTCTTCCCCTCTTCCTCCTCGTCCCCTCCTCCTCCTCCATTCTCCTCCTCTCCCTGCTCCTCTTACCCCCTCCTCTTCCCCCTCTCCTCGTCATCCTCATTCTCCTCTTCCTCCTCCTGGCTTTTTTTTTTTTTTTTCCTGACTGGCCCCTGGCCAAAACAGCCATGATCAAGAATGAATTTTTCTAAACCCCGTGCAACAGTCTTTCCAGAAAGCTGTATTTTCTCTCCCTCTGCGGGTGTTACTTTCCTCAGTTTTGTTCTCTGCCTTTTTTGTATCTTTCCCTCTTCTTGCCTCAAGTTCCGTGGATACTTGGGAGCTGTCCTCCAAGACAGCCTTCTGGGTCTAGGGAGGGCCTGAATGAAGCCGCTGTTGAGAACATGGTCATGGGACACCCGTCACTAAAGCCATCGCTCGATAGAAAGACAAAATTATGTTTGTTGTGGGGAAACTGCAGGCAGAGAAGCAGCAGAGCACACAGCCCGGAGTTGGGCCTGGGCTGGCACAGCTGTGCTGGGCGCAGGGTGGAAAAGCTCCAGAAGCACCACGCCCTGTAAAGCCCTTCACTCTATAGGCCAAATGGCAACATCTGGGCAATTAGAAAACACTGGAAGCTTCCCGGTCAGGAAGTGGCCTTGTGTGGAGAGAAGCCTCTGAAGCTTAGCAGCTAGTCTCAGTGTGTTTTACGTTGAGCAATTCAGAAAGCTAAGCCAGCTCTCTGCTAAATGAGGGAGGAAATAAGCCCCGAGCTGATCTATTCAGTCTGCCTAGCCCTGCTTTGAATGGAGTTGTTATTCAAGTGTTTCTTATAAGACTATGTGCTTGTGCTACAAGCACCCGAAAGATAATTTGCGTCTCATTAATATATGAGTGTTCCTGTCCCCACGGCTGTTCTGCTGCCAAAGCAGCTGAGATTTCTGCCCTCATATTCAGCCTCTGAGAGCCCTGAGGGGGTCCCGGGTCTTCCTGGCCTCACAGCTTGACTGTATAGTCACAATCTTCCTTTCACAGCTGCTCCCATTGCACTTCTTAGGTTCTCCCAAAGCTGGCTTCCACACCCGCTAGGGGCTTTATCCTGGTGACCCTTCCATAGATTAGGGAAAAGGAAGCAGCTTCTGCTCATCTGTGGGGAGTCAAGGTTTCCAAGGAGCAGCAACTAGGCCTATTCAGATCTCTGGGAGGTCACCGAGCCAATGGTGCAGAGTGGCCTGAGAGCAGGGCTTCAAGGCCTGGGTCAACCTCCAAGGCTATTTTGAGACTGTGAACAGATCAATCCTATGTTACGCATCTACCAGGTTCCACAGAAACATATGTTCCTAGAACAGAACCACTGGAGCCTTAAAAATGATGAGTTTCATCCATATCAGTGAATATGAAAATTTAACTTTATATGTCAGTCCTAATCGAGTAATTTCATTCTATTTGTATTTAGGTACTTTACAGAAAAGCACCTAAAACATTTGTAACCAAAACATACCAATCAATAAAAATCTATTCAATACACATTCAGGTGTTGGGACAGATATAGAGCTCTGAGAAGTCAGCAATGCTTGGGTATTTCAAAAACAGGATGCCCTTTTTAATACTCAGAGACAGAACACCCATAAACTGTTTCACCTGTCAGCACACCTGTAATAAAATCTTTCCCAAGAAAACTGGCTTTCCAAATCCAAAACTGCTCACTATCTCCTTGGCCATGGGCTCATCATTCTCCCTGAGGCTGACTCTGATGGATTCATGTGCTTGCCCTGGATATTGGCCTGGAACCAGCCAAGATTTCTATCAGGTCTCTATCCCCCATGAGGAAATCAGTCAGGCCCTGAGATACCCATTTCTATACTATATCTAAGCAGCGCCCTGAGGAGGTAGTGTTCTAGAGTAGCTGGGCAGCAACCTGGGAATAGAATTTTCCTCCATGCTCCTTGGCGCAAATTGCATGTCTCCTGGGCCGTCTCACTCATCATGCTTCTGATGTGTCCCCACCACCTCTATTCCCACATCATATTTTTCCTTCATATTCCCTACCTTTTCACAGCCTCCAAGAACGTCTGCCACTTCTAACTGCCTGGACACACACCTCCTTCTGCACCCCATCACTCAGGGAGCTGTGCGCTTCCCTCCAAGATGGTCCTCCTCCTTGTCTACCCCTTACCTTCCTGACCCCACCCTCCAGGGCACCAAGGCCTCTCCAGAGCCATCTGCAGGAGCTCGTGACTGGCCTCCCACCTCTGTCCTCTCACCTCCTGTCTCTGGGCAGTGCTCCAGCCGTCTCCTTGCTAATACCCTTCAGGGGCTCCCTGTGCCCTTAGGCAAAGCTCAAATCCATCAGCCAGCAAGGCCCTGTGTGCTGTGCCTTCTCCACAGTCCCACTCTAACTTTGCTGAATGTATTTCCTCAAAGTACCCAGGACCTGCCAGCTCTGAATACTCACTGCTCCTGGATCATGTGTATATGATCTTCCTTAGTCCAGAGTGTGTTCCCACAGGGTGTGGGCACCATGGCCTGCTGTGACTCCCAGTGGCTTCTTCCCTAGACTGTGGCTTCCAGAGCTGACACCTCTGTTTTTTTTTCTGCTGGATTCTGGTTGTCTAGCACAGTGCCTGGCATATGGTGAATGAGTAAATGCACAATGAATCTTCACCTGTATTTCCCGCCTCACTCTACTGCATTTCAATCCCAGCAACAGCATTTGCAGTTTGTGAAGGCAGGCCTTTGCTTCTGAGAGCCTCTCAGCCCCGCAAGCTATGACTTTTTTTCGACCTCTATTTAATTCCTACGTTCCTCCTACACCCAACAAAAATTCCTTCTTCATCTAAACATTCTCAAATTTCCCCAGCTTGAATTTGTAATTTATTAGTTGAATTGAATCCAAGATTGAATAAGAGACCATAGAGGGAGAGAGGGCTCTAAGCCCTGTTCCTTGGATCATATTAAGTGTGGAAGCTGGGGAAATACTCCCCCAGTCCTGCTTTCCTCTGGGAGGTTCCCATTGGCCTGATAAAGCCTAATGGGTTCCCTAGGGATGTGGATGGAAATACTTAATGCTGTATTAGGATACTTAGAAGACTGCAACACCACACTCACCACTGGCAGAATTGGCCAGCCTGACTCTCTGCATCTCCTAGTAATGTTATGTCAAGCCAGGCTCCTATTGACTCCAGTGGAATGGCACCATGTCTGAGAAGACAAAGAAGACACTCAGAGACAGTGAATGAGACATAGGGTTTATTGGGGGAACTTACATAGGGATGGTCCAGTAGCAGTGGGCTGGACAAGAGAACCACTACTGTTTGTAAAAAGCATGCAGTTTATATAGCATTTTCACTTAGCACCCTCCACCTAGCAACCACCATCTAACCCAAAACAGAAGGCTTTGATCCCCTGTACAACCTATGTTCCAAAGGATGGCTGGGGGTTCAGGTGTCCTTCACAATTAAGGTATGAAACTCCCGGTTGGCCACTCCCGGATTCCTTAGCTTGGGACTCCGAACACACATTCTTCTTAGACCATAATGTCATTCTCAGTGTATTTGCTTAACTTATTATCTTGTTATTGCTGTCAGGTGCGTCTGCCATACAGTGCCTCTGTGTATAGTATATAAGGCCTTGCAGGTGCTGCTTACAGCCAGCAAGTACCCAGGACTTTATATCATTGCATCTCTTCTCCCTTCCCTTGGTTAAAATAATTGCCTCAGGCCCAGTTACAGTTTGCACTCTTGGAAGCATCAAACCCTGGTGCTTCTGAACTTGAGAGATGGCAAGGGAGTGACTATACCATTTCAAAATCCAGAATCTGTGTGGTAAACACTCTGTGGAATGGCCAGATATGCTTTGGCTGGGCTGACAGAGAGCCAACCAGTGTAAACATGCAGAGATTAAAATAAAGCAATAAAATGAAGGCATGTGCATAGTGATGACAGGACAACCAAGTTTTATTAAAATTATTCTGATATTATTCTTGGTAAACATACTTTTGAAAAAGCTAATTAAATTTATATGAAGAAAAAAGAATATTAGATCAATTTATTTTCAAATTGTACTTTGACTATTGATAATTGTTTTTTAATTTCTGCAGATAGGTGCATTTCTCTTCTCATAAAAAGAAAACAAGAATTCCATAAAGCTGTGTTTCCTAGGTGAAATGGTGGGGCAATACCACTGTACAGTGTTTAAAGTTTGACCATGAAGGTTGAGGATTCCTCTTGGTGTGTTTAGAGTTTAAAATATTTGGATTTCAAAATTAGAAGATAATTATATAGAAGCAAGGAATGCTGCATGGAGCTTCGATATTAAATAAGCTATCTTTAGAGACATTTGGGATAATAACCTGGCGCCCATGCACAGAGGACTGACTTGGCCAATAACTGCCATCAAACACTGGGAAAGGATTTACAGGTAAGTCCTCTCCCAGGTGGGGAAACAATAGTGTGAGAGCTGATTGGTATAGCAAAGGGACTCAGGAATTTGCACTGACTTCTAGCAAAGTGACCTCAGTGTTTTGCATCTTCTTGTGTCAATGAAGCAGGAAGCTCTCAGCCAACATTTGTCCTCTTTTCAGTGTCCTCTGGATTGTTCCGCAGCCTCAGCTTTGTTTCCAGCCTCTGCTTCCATTCTTCTCTGAGCCTGAAAATAGAAACCAAACACACAGATGGAGCATTCATTTCCATGGCTCTTGGTTCAGGAGAGCTTTCTTCCTGTCCTCCCAGCCCCTGAAATTGCATGTATGTGTTCAGGTTTTAAAAGGCATGCAGAGGACATGCAAGTTTAAATATATATATATATATATAATTTATTCATATTTATTTATTTATATAAGTAAGAGTAAACAGGCTCTCATTTTTGTTAGAAGTACTTAATCTTAATTCTCTGGATTTTCCTTTGAAAATATATTTGCAGTCAGGGAGAGTAAACCTGTCAGTCTAGACTTCTTTACACAGCAAACCTATCTTTCAACAGCAGAGGTGAAATAAAGATATTTTTAGACGTATGCAAACTGAAAGAAATCACCAGCAGACTGTCACTACATGACATGTTAAAGGAATTCCTTCAAACAGAAGGAAAGTGACACAAGATGGAAATCTGGATGTACACATGGAATGAAAAGCATCTGAAAAGCAACGATGTGGTTATATATTAATACTTTTTAAAACTACTTAAATAGCTTTAAAAATAGCCCACTGTGGTCAGGCACAGTGGCTCACTCCTGTAATCCCAGCACTTTGGGAGGCCAAGGTGGACAGATCACAAGGTCAGGAGTTCGAGACCAGCCTGGCCAATATGGTGAAACCCTGTCTCTACTAAAAGCACAAAAATTAGCTGATCATGGTGGCGGGTGCCTGCAGTTCCAGCTACTCGGAAGGCTGAGGCAGGAGAATTGCTTGAACCTGGGAGGAGGAGGTTGCAGTGAGCCGAAATTGTGCCACTGCACTTCAGCTTGGGTGACGGAGTAAGACTCTGTCTCAAAAAAAAAAAAAAAAAAAAAAAAATAGCCCACCGTTGAAAGTAAAACTATTAATGATGTACTGTGGGGTTATAGCATATGTAGAAGTAAAGTTGTACTTTGTACAATAGCATAAAGGCCAAGAGGGGAGAAATGAGAATATACCATTTTAAGGTTCTTATGCTACACAAAAAGTGATAAAATATCACCTGAAGGCAGGCTGTGATAAGTTAAGGATGTGTATTATATATCCTAAAGCAACCACTAAACACAAAGAACAATAGTTAAATAGCCAACAGAAGAGATAACATGGAATCATAAAAAATACTCACTTGATCCAAAACAAGGCATAAAAAGAGAAAAAGGGAATAAACAACAGATGAGAGAAATAGAGGACACATAGCACGATGGTAGATTTAAAACAAATCATACCAATTAATGTTAATGGTGTAAACAACGCAATAAAAATGCAAAGACTGTCAAATTGGATTTTTAAAAGACAATATCCAAATATATACTGCTTATAAGAAATCCACTTTAAATATGAAGACAAAATAGGTTAAAAGTAAAAGGACGAAGAGATAGTCCATGCTAAACCTAATCAAAGAAGGCTGGTGTGGTTATATTAATATCAAAGTAGATTTCATAGCAAAAAATATTACCAAAGAGAAAGAGGGTCATTTTGCAATAAGAGGGTCAATTCATCAAGATGATATAACAATCTGAAACATTTTTGTACCTAATAACAGAACTTCAAAATACATGAAGCAAAATGTGATAGAACTGCAAGGAGAAGTAGACAAATCTGTATTTATAGCAGAGATTTCAATACCTGTCTTTCAATAATCAGTAAATGATAAGGATATAAAACACTTGAACAACACTATCAACCAACTTGATATAATCAATATTTATAGAATATTCTCCCTAACAACGGCAGAACACACATTCTTTTTCAAACATACATGGAATATTTACGAAGATAGAAAATATTCTGGGCTATAAAACAAGTCTCAATAAATGTAAAAGGGTTCAATATGTTCCCTGTCTGCGATAATTAAATTAGACTTAATAACAGAAAGATATCTGGAAAGTCCCCTAAACATTTTGAAACTAAATAACAAATTCTAAATAACCCATAAATCAAAGAAACAACCATAAATTAAAATTTAAAAAAAGCAATTATAATAATATCAAAAATACAAAATAGAGGTAAATCTGACAAAAGATATATATGACTTATGTGCTGAAAACTGCAAACCATTGCTGAGAGATATTAAAACAGACCTAAATAAAGGGACGTATATATTGTGTTCATATATCAGATACTCTAAATATTATTAGGACGTCATTTCTCCCTAAATTGACCTATAGATTCAATTCCATCCCAATCAAACCAGCAGGCTGTTTTACATAACAGAAACTGACAAGTTGATTCCAAAATTCATATGAAAATGCAGATAACCTAGGATAACTAAAACAATTTTGAAGAAGTTGTAAGACTTACAACACCTGACTTCAAGAATTATTATAAACCTAAGTAATCAAAGCAGTGTGACATTGGGCCAATGGACAAATAGATCAATGGGACAGAAAAGGTCCAAAAACATTCCTACACATAGATGAGTTATTAATTTTCAACAAACGTGCAAAGACAATGTAGTGGAGAAAGGATAGTCTTTTCAGCATATGGTGCTGGAACCACTGGATATGCAAAAAAAGTGAACTGCAGGCTATACCTCACATTATATTAAAAATTAAGTCAAAAGGTATTATTAATCTAAATGTAAAACTTAAATTCATAAGACTTCTAGAAATAAAACAGAAGACAATCTTTGTGACCTTGGGATAGGCAAAGTCTTCTTAGATACAACAAAAGCAAAATCTGTAAAAGAAATTTTTCTCAGCCGGGCGCGGTGGCTCACACCTGTAATCCCAGCACTTTGGGAGGCCGAGGCGGGCAGATCACGAGGTCAGAAGATTGAGACCATCCTGGCTAACACGGTGAAACCCCGTCTCTACTAAAAAATACAAAAAATTAGCTGGGCATGGTGGCGGGCGCCTGTAGTCCCAGTTACTCGGGAGGCTGAGGCAGGAGAATGGCGCGAACCTGGGAGATGGAGCTTGCAGTGGGCCAAGATCGAGCCACTGCACTGGGCGACAGAGTGAGACTCTGTCTCAAAAAAAAAAAAAAAAAAAAAAAAGAAAATTTTCTCGTAAATTAGACTTGATCAAAATTGAGAACATCTCTGCAAAAGAATAAACCCAAAGAAAATGAAAAGAAGACAATGATAAGATGAGAGAAGAAACTAGTAAAATAGTTCTTATCTATTAAGGAGATATGGATATCAATTCAAAGAGTAAGAAAAAAATAGAAAGGAATACAGAAAAGGGAAATCATAAAGCACTCTAAGTAACTAAGATGGTAGAAACAAGCCAGTTACAATAAATGAAAAAGGACTAAACTCACCAATTTATACTAAAATATGTCGGATTAGAAAAACATCCAATCCAACTATGTAGTTTTTTTTTTTTTGAGAAGGCGGGGTCTCTGTTGCCCAGGCTGGATTGCAGTGGCACGATCATGGCTCACTGCAGCCTCGACCTCCCGAGGCTCAAGTGATCCTCCTATTTCAGCCCCACTCCCCCTTTCCCCCGCAGTAGCTGGGACTACAGGCTCGTGGTAGCATGCCTGGCCAATTTTTGTATTTTTTATAGGGACAGAGTTTTGCTATATTGCCCAGCCTGGTCTCAAACTCAAGTGTTCTACCTGCCTTGGCTTCCCAGGGTGCTGGGATTACAGGCATGAGCCACCGTGCTCAGACAACTATGTGCTGTTTAAAAAAGACACATCTAAATTATAAGGACAGAGATAAGTTGAAAATAAGAAAACGGAAAAAAGATATATAAGGCAAATGCTAATAAAAACAAGGTTGGTTTGGCTATATTAACAGACAATATAAAGTCTGTTAATACAGTTATAAAGTCTGTTGATAAAAAGATCTTCAAACAAAAAATCATCAGGGATAAAGTCACTGCCAAATAATAAAAAGGTTCACCTCACTGTGAAGATATTACACTTCTAAATATGCATGCACCTAATAAAGTAGCCTCAAAGTACATACAGAAAAAATTAATGGAACTACTTGGATTGTGAAGAGGTGGTGAGGAAGAAGGGAAAGGGAAATTGCACTCTTTTTTTTCAAGATAACGTTTTTTAGAAAACCTTTGTAGTAGAAGATTTCAAGCATACAAAAAAGTAGAGAAACTAGTAATCTAAGAACTCCCCTATAGCCACTCCCCAGCTTCCTCAGCTTAAGGCTGATCTTGTTTCCCATATCTCCCTTCTCCTGCATGTTAAACAAAATAACTACATTTAGCTATTTTGTCCTTAAATATAATAACTCCTTTAAAAAGAAACTACCTTGCCATTATCACACTTAAAAAATTAACCAGAGGTACTTGATATCATCAAATAAATATTCCATTGGTTCACAATTCTGATTGTCTTTTAATGTTGAACGTTAGGTTGGTTGAATCAGGACCCGAATAAAGCGCACACATTCCTATTTGTTGCTATATCTTTTAGGATTTCTTTAATCTGGAAATTCTCCCTCATCTTTCCCCTTCCCTTGCAGTTTTTGTTTTCTTTTTTTGAAACCAGATTGTTTGTTCTGCCAGAGTATGCACAGTTTGAATTTTGCTGACTGTATTCCTGTGTGACTGTAACCCATTCCTCTGTTTCCTGTATATGCTGTTAATTAGTGGCTAGCACTAGAAGTTTGATTAGATCCGGATTTTTTTTTTTTTTTGACAAAACTACAGTACGGGTGATATAATGGACGGCCATCAAATCTGTCTGGTTATAGATCACCTTTTTTGATGTTAGCAGATATTAATGATCATTAGATCCAATTTACTTTCATTAGGTGTTGCCAAATGTCAATAGCTTCTTTCTACCAATCCCTTTTCACTTGTGTTTGGAGCCTGGAGTCATGGGGGAGGGGCTCTGCAGCAGGAGCTGTAGTCCAGGAGAGATGAAGTCACTGCTAGAAAACAGGACCCAGGGCAGGAAGGGTGTGGGGAAGAAATAGGCAGACTTAGCCTCCAGTCCTCTCATCTCCTGTTGACAGAACCTAGCCAGAAGCTGAAGGACTGGCGATTCAAGGACTAGCATGGGAAGAGGGGTCAGCTGAGGGAGGAGAATTGATGGGGGTGGGGATCAAAGGAGATCAGCCTGGCAAGGAAGCCAGGAATGGGAGTGAGTGCTGGGCCAAAGTAAGTAGGCAGCAAAGACCCATCCAAGAGCCAGTTCCGTGGTTTTCTTGGATCCAGTCAAGCATGCTTTTCTTGAGCACTTCTTATTATATGTTCAGCACTGCAGTAGGGACTTTGGAGAATACACGAGCAATATATAAAAATGGTGGTTTCTCCATTCCACAAATAGGGCAAGCTGTTCCCTTGCCTCGGGGTGTTTGCACATGGCATTTCTTCTGCCTAGAATGCTCTTGTCCATTCTCCTACATTTGCCCAACTCTCTCTTCCCTGAGAGATGAGATTGGAGGGTGCCATGCTAGTTACCTGGAGGGCTGGACCTCAGAGTGCGGGCTGCCAACCAGCATGCCAAGACATCTGCACAGCAGCTCAACAAGCTGCTGGTGCCCAAGGGCCAAGTGAACCAGCTCTGAAGCTGGGACCCCCAGAAGACTGCAGAAAGAAACGCTCAGATCCTGTAGTGGACAGGCGGGAGACGGCAGCATCTGTGTCACCTCCCTGACCAGTTCCAAAATGGGGGAGGTTTGTACACACCCCTGTGTGCATCAGTAGCCCAGGTGCTCCATCTGCTAATGAAAGAAGATCAAGTCTGCACTCCCTCTGCCCACACTCAAAGGGCAGTAACTCTCCAGCATCCCTCTTACTTCTCTTAGTGTCTGTTTCTCTATGATGAAAATAATGATGAGGACACTGAGACCCAGGGAGATTTGGTTGCTCACCCCAGGGACCCAAAAGGGTGAGCCCAGGCAACCAGCTGCAAAGTCTCTGCTGTTCACCACTATTCTGAGCTTGTTCCCACCCTTGCCCACTCTTGCAATTTTGTTTTCATCTTGTTTTTCTCCTCTAAGGAATGTCTTCCTTTGGCGTATTGCTGCTGCCCTATTAGATCCTGGATTGTTAAATGGGAGTGCAGAAGAGGGAGGGGAACTAACATTCCATTTTGTGAAGGGACAACACAGAGTATTAATTAGAGCAGAGCCTCTGGAGCCTGGCTACCCAGAGTCAAATCGGAAGAGGGTGAGGAGAACAAATAAGCTAAAGTCTTCTGCCACCCTATCAACCAGAAAGTTTATCTTCTTGCATTCTTTTATTATATGCATAGATAGATACTGCATATGTGTGTGTGTGTGTGTGTGTGTGTGTGTGTGTGTGTATATATATATATATACATATATATATATCTTTTTTTCTTTTTGAGACAGAGTTTTGCTCTTGTCACCCAGGCTGGAGTGCAATGGCAAGATCTCGGCTCACCACAACCTCTGCCTCCCGGGTTCAAGTGATTCTCCTGCCTCAGCCTCCCGAGTAGCTGGGATTACAGGCATGCACCACCACGCCTAGCTAATTTTGTATTTTTAGTAGAGATGGGGTTTCTCCTTGTTGGTCGGGCTGGTCTCAAACTCTCGACCTCAGGTGATCCGCCCACCTCAGCCTCCCAAAGTGCTGGGATTACAGGCGTGAGTCACCGCACCCGGCCGCATGTATATATTTTTAATGTTTTAACAGCCTGCACAATTTGCTTCAGAGGCTGTTTTGTTCACCCCTTGGCTTGTGCCTCTCTTGGAGCCTTTGGTTTCTGCATCTTCCTTGGGCCAATTTCACTTCACCTGAAGCCTTTTGCCTGCTCCCCAGGGAACCCACACATGGTACAGGACTCTGAGTGGCATAGCCTGGGGGACGAAGATGGCAGGAACTGCAGAAATGACTGGCCACCCAAGTCAGCTTTCTATGCCCTACTTCTGTACTTCAGCAGGTGGGATGGTAGTCGGGAATAAGGCTGAGCAGGTCTCTATAAGTGGGAGGCTGGGTTCCCCTCTAGGGCTCAGGAGAGGCTTTGGGAAGGCAGCAGTAAGTTTACCACCTGTGAATTAAGGCATGCCATCAGTCCAGTGGCCATGGAGTCATGGGCCCTGCTGTCTGGACAGCACACAAGGTCTCATACTCCCTTACCACACATAAGCCATGGCCTCGTCAGACAGCTGGCTGAGCTGTTCCTTTTGAGGGGACAGAGCTCAAAAGGGCGGTCCCTCCCTGCAGCCCATGATGGCTTTCTGCAGTGTGTGTGTGAGGGCAGTGAGCCTGCACTGCTTCCACAGCAAGGTGACCCTCGTTTGCCCACGGGAGTCACTGTACTCCACTGCTCGGCAGACTCACTGGGCCAGAACAGGGATGCACACAAGGGGAGACCCCGCCTTCCCCTCCAGGAACCACGCAGGCCATCTTGTGTTTTCACCTAAATGGGTGCTGAGAACTGGGCACTGCTTCCTTTGCTTGATTGCTTTTCACAGACATAGTGTTTGTACCCCCACCCCTGCCCCATTTAGTGTAACCTCATGTGCTAGAAGGTGACATGGTGACAGAGAGGAGAGAGTTTTCCAGTTCATAAAGATAAGAATTAAAGGAATGTAAGCATGGAAAATTAAAATAATTACCTCCTCTAAGATGCCCATCTGGCATTCTTCTGGGGAAATTAATTTTGCTCTTACAAAACAGACAAGATAATCATGACTTGAAAGTCAGTGAAAGCTCATCGACAGTCACAAAGGTACCACTGGTGCAGATGTTGACAGTGGGGCAATTGCGTGGGGGCTCAGGGAACTCTTAGTACCTTCTGCTCAATTTTGCTGTGAACCTAAAACTGTTCTAAATTATACGATGTATTTTAAAAATTAATTAATTCTAAAAAGTAGACAAACAAGCCACATACTTTCTCAGTGCGCTTCTTCCCAGACGACGTTCCTCTGATTCTCGGTAGTAAGTCTGTTTGCCAATTTCCCTTTCCCAGAAATGCTTGAGATCATGGCAGGTGTTCCGGCAGAAGACCTCCCGACGGGTGTATTGATTGTTCATCCCCTAAAAAGGAAAATAGCCATACAAATAACCAAAAAACATATGAAGAAATGCTCAACATCACTCATCATCAGGGAAATGTAAATTAAAACCACAATGAGATACCTACCATCTTACTCCAATCCACCTTACTCCAATTTGACTGTTTAAAAGTCAAAAACTAATAGGTGTTGGTGCAGATGCAGAGAAAAGAGAACACTTATATGCTGTTGGTAGGAATGTAAATTAGTACAACCTCTTTGGAAAACAGTATGGAGATTTCTCAAAGAACTGAGAGTAGATCTACCATTTGATCCAGCAATTCTGACTACTGGGTACCTACCCAAAGGAAAAGAAGTAATTATATAAAAAAGACACCTGAATGTGTTTGTTTATCACAGCACAATTCACAATTGCAAAGATATGGAGTCAAACTAAGTGCTCATTAACTTATGACTGGATCAAGAAAATGTTTTATGTGTGTGTGTGTGTGTGTGTGTGTGTGTGTGTGTGTGTAATGGAATACTACTCAGCCTAAAAAAGAACAAAATAATGTCTTTTGCAGCAACTCGGATGGAACTGGAAGCCATTATCCTAATGAAGTAACTCTGGAATGGAAAACCAAATACTGCATATTCTCACTTATAAGTGGTAGCTAAGCCACGGGTTTATAAAGGCAAACAGAGTGGTATAATGGGCATTGGAGACTCAGAAGGAAAGAGGTTAGGGATAAAATGTCACTTATTGGGTGCCATGTACACTATTTGGGTGACAAGTGCACTAAAAGCCAAGACTTAAACACTATACAACTTATCCATGTAACCAAAACCCACTTGTACTCCTAAAGCTATTGAAATAAAAAAAAATAGAAGCTGAACCCCCATAAACCATGATCCCTGAGACTCTGCAGGGTATAGGCATCCTGACCCTGCTGTTGACATGAGACAGACCTGGCCAGCCACAGGACCTCTGCAAGTGGGAGGACAATGGTGGCCTCAGTGCTTGCTGCTGGCTGGTTGTCAGGACACAGTGAGATGTGAGTGCAGACCTTCCACAAGCTGGCACCTGGCAAACGCCTCTGCCCTTCCTTCCTCCTCACAGAAGAATCGTTTCTCAACTTCCAGTAGCAGGAACATGCACCAGGAATTTTGTGCACCTAAGTCCATTTCGTTATCACAACATCCACATGAGATGGCCATGACCTTCTTCATCTTTTAGGTGAGATATTTGAGGAGTGACAGGCTTCAGACTTCTGAAAGTTTCCAGGCCCTTTACTAAAGGGGTTTATCAGAGAAAATGGTTCCAGTGCCTGACACCCCAGAGCAAGCTGCTTTGAGGTGTGTGTGTGTGTGTGTGCGTGCACACATGTGGGCTCTTGTGTGTGGAATTATACATATCAGACACTCAAAATGCTCACTTATTACATGCAGAAACTCTGCTTAACTTTCAGACCAGCTGAGTGGATATAGTAGAAAGCTCAAAAGCAGGGGCTGCAGATGTTCCTGTCTGCTGGTGGGAACCCCTGCAGAAGAGTGTGGGGAGATGGGAGCCTGGAGAAGCTGGCCTGGCATGCCCCAGAGAGGATTTGGACCTTATCCCAGGAAGGGCTTTCAGTGGGGAAATGGTGGGTCCAGACAGGCATTTTGCCAGATGTTCTGGGGGCAGAGACTGAAGAGGTGAGAGCGGATGCAGGGGGAGGAGGAACTGGGCTGCTGGAGGAGCCCAGAGCGATGCTGTGACCAGGACGGGAGGGGCAAAGATGATGAAGAGTGGACAGATTCACAGGAAACTCTGTGTGGAAAATGAAGGAGAAGGGGTGTCAGTGGGTACTGCCCTGGCTCTGCCTGTGCACAGATGGGAAATGGAGGAGGAGGGCTATGGGGAGTGGGCTCAGGCTGTGCTGGATGGATGGAGTTTGAGTTTTCTGGGTGCCGACCCCCAGGGGGAAGCACTGGAGGGGTGCCTGACACATGGGTCTGGAACTCAGCATAGAGGTCTGGGCCACAGCTCTCAGAAAGACAGACCGGGACAGTGGGGCAGGGTAGAAGGAGAAAGGGGTTTGAAGCCAGATGTTCACTCCAGACCCGTGTTTCCACTGCCTTGATGCGCCGTCTGTTTGTCACATGGGTTCTCCTGGCGTCAGTTTTCTCATCTTTAAAATTTCTCTGAAGACCGATTTTGACCCTAAGAGTGAAAGTGTTCTGCAATTTATAAAGTTCTGAATAAATATAACTGATGAGCTTGGTCCTGGCCCACTCATTTTTCTGACTGTTGTCTGGCATAGGGATTCATTAGTCTGGCATAGGGACATCATTAGTCTGAGCTAATTAAATGTCATTGACAACTTTGAATAAGTGTGAATCTTTATTTACACACAATATTGAGTGTATGGCTTCTTGGGTATATGACAGATTCATTTATCTCTATCCTTGGTCTGTTGGCCACCATTTAGGAAAGCTTGGATGACAGTAGAAGTTCTTAAGTTGAACCATGTCCTATGTAGGGCCATGCCCAGAGGAGCACTGGGTAAGAGCGTTTGTCCTGTGTTCTTTCACTTCTGATACGTCAGAGATAAGCCTCACCATGCCCACTCACTGGGAGGTGTCCCACATGTGTAAAATGGGAGATACATGTTTTTCTAAGAAATAGCAGAGCTCCCTTTGGGTTGAAGAGTGACATCCATCTCTACCTCCATCCGCATAACGTTATTTTACAAACTAACCAGCTGTGTGTGTATGTTTTGCTGGAAAATGCTGCTGACACAATGGTGAAAACAAGTAAAATCTCTAAGAAAAAATGCATTTCACTTTTAAACAAACTACCTTGTCTTCTTAACTTGTTTTAGTCATTGTCCTCACTATGAGCAGAACTGTAGTGGCTACTATCACCAATTTTGTAGCTTCAAAGAAACACAATTAATGATAACTTTAGAAATACACTTTTAGGAAAAGATAAGGCAGAAAGAGGGGATTAAATATATTTAGGCCGGGTGCAGTGGCTCACACCTGTAATCCCAGCACTTTGGGAGGCTGAGGCTGGAGGATCACTTGATCCCAGTAGTTTGAGACCAGGCTGGGCAACATACAGAGATCCTGTCTCTATAAAAATAAAAAATAAAAAATTAGCTGGGCGTAGTGCTACGTGCCTGTGGTCCCAGCTACTCAGGAGGCTGAGGTAGAAAGATTGCTTGAGCCCAAGAGGTCAAGGCTAAAGTGAGCCATGTTTGTACCACTGCACTCCAGCCTGGGGGACAAAGCGAGACCCTGTCTCAAACAAACAAACAAACAAACAAACAAATATCTAATACCCCATCCTTCTTCACTCTAAACGGCTGACACTGGGATAAGACAGGGCCCCTCCTCAGGGGACTTCAGATAACAGGGAGTGAGGCACTGGCACTTCACGTGATAGGCACTGAAATGGGACACACAAGGAGGGTGCCCTGACCTGGCCGAGGGTTTGGGGCTCCTTCTAGGGGGAGGGACTTGCAGGATGAGCGGGCAGGAGCACCCAGGGTGCAGGAAGTGACCTGTGCAGAGACCTGCAGTGGAAATCTTGCAGAACAAAGAGTTGCAGAAACAGATTGGGGATTGGCTGAGGTCGAGTTGGGGGAGGGGACTGAGGGCAAAGGAGCATGGGGGCACTTTTTAGGGTAATGGAAATGTTCTGTGTCTTGTTTTTTATTTATTTATTTATTTATTTATTTATTTATTTAGAAGGAGTTTCACTCTGTCACCCAGGCTGGATTGCAGTGGCACGATCTCAGCTCACTGCAACCTCCACCTCCTGGGTTCAAGTGATTCTCCTGCTTCAGCCTCCCCAGTATCTGGGATTACAGGTGCCTGCTACCACGCCGGGCTAATTTTTGTATTTTTAGTAGAGACAGGGTTTCGCCATGTTGGCCAGGCTGGTCTCAAACTCCTGACCTCAGGTGATCCACCGGCCTTGGTCTTCAAAAGTGCTGGGATTACAGGTGTGAGCCACTGTGCCCAGCCTGTGTCTTGTTTATAGTGTTGATTATATAGCAGTGTACAATTGCTAAAACTTACCAAACTCTACATTTTATATGAGTGAATTTCACTACACATAAGTTATTCCTCAGTAAACATAGGTAAAAAGCTTCTTCTGTCTTTGGACTAGAAGTTCAAGTTCCCTGGCTCTAACCTACTGGGAGACTGTTAGCATCTTGTCATTAGGGTTTAGCCCATTCCTTCACAGGTAACGTGTTTCCGTGAGTATTTGTGTTTCGGTTTCCTGGTGTCTACAATGAGGACAACTGCTCCTCCTAGTAGAAGTGTGATGAGGAGACTGTCCATAGTTGGAAAGCTCTTGATAAGTAAATAGCTCTATTCCTCTGTATCCCCTCTGCCCAAAACGCCATCTAATCTTGTACTTGAGAGAATTCGTGCTGCTGCGTCCAGTGAATCAGCACCAACTTGGACAAACCATAACCTCCATAACCATTAGGAATTTTACTTCACAAAATCAACAAATTAATTAACACTTACAGAGAACAACCGCATGAAGGGATGTGAAGACATCGATTCAGTCGAACCAAATGTGTCGCACTTGACCGCCTGTGAGGCATCTGTGCTGCCCCAGGAGCCAATTCACGTTCAGCAAATCAACAAGAACAAAGGAACATTTGTCCCTCGCAAGCCTTAACGCTGTGCCAGCAATTTGATTTCCCAAGTCTCAGTTACCCAGAGTATTAAACTCAAATTGAGAAATCTGAGAGTTGCTTTTTTAAAAGAGGCTTTTGGCTTACACTGAGCGTGCTTGTGGCTCTTGGCTAGGGAGGTTCAATGCACACCAGCTGACTGTGCACACTGCTCATGTACTTCTTGCCTATTCAACACCTCCTGAGAGCAAGTATTTCATGATTATGTTTCACATATCCAAAAGTATGTTTAACCGCCTTTTACATTTTTCTTTATGATTGGGGCTTGAAATAGAACAGAAGGGTTCCAGTTCCAAGTAAGATGGAGGAAGCATACCCTAACCTGTCCCTCCAAAGAATGCAGCCTGGACAGAATGTGTGGCGCAGCTGTTTCAGGACTCTGAAAAGTAAACAGCAGCAGGTAGATTAGAGGAAAAACCCCAGAATTCCAATTACCATTGAACAGTGCTAAATTTTCTATTTTTACTGTGGTATCCCCAGTTTAGACTCAAGGCAACCCAGAAGTGGGGACAAGGGTAGAAAGAGCTCTGAGAAGCCCTCTGGTTCCAGGGAGAAAGGGAATTGGAACTCTCACACATTGCTGGCAGGACTGCAGAATGGTACAGGTATTATTGTGAAAAACAGTTTGGCAGCAGTTTCTTTTCTTTTTTATTTAATTAATTAATTTATTTATTTTGAGAGGAAGTTTCCCTCTTGTTGCCCAGGCTGGAGTGCAATGGTGCAATCTCGGCTCACTGCAACATCCACCTCCCAGGTTCAAGCGATTCTCCTGCCTCAGCCTCCCAAGTAGCTGGGATTACAGGCACCCACCACCACACCTGGCTAATTTTTTATATTTTTAGTAGAGACGGGGTTTCACCATATTGGCCAGGTTGATCTCGAACTCCTGACCTTCGGGTGATCCACCCACCTAGGCCTCCCAAAGTGCTGGGATTACAAGCGTGAGCCACTACGCCCAACCGGCTGTAGTTTCTTATAAAGTTAAACTATACTCACCATATGACACAGCAATTCTACTTCTAGGTATTTAGACTAGAGAAATGTAAACTTGTATTCAAGCAAAAACTTGCACACCTGTACACAGCTCTATTCGTGATTGCCAAAAAGAAACAACCTGATAGTTCTTCAATGGATGAATGGATAAAAATCTGTCAGACATTCATACAATGGAATATTGTGCAGCAATAAGAGGGAACAAACTTCAACACATGCAATAACTTGGATGGATCTCAAAGGCATTATGCTCGGTAGAACAAGGCAATCTCAAAATGGTATATATTTTCTTTCTTACTTTTCTTTTCTTTCCTTTTTTTTTTTTAAACTGAGACAGAGTCTCACTCTGCTGCACAGTCTGGAGTGCAGGGGCACGATCACGGCTAACTGCAGCTTTGACCTCCTCCAGCTCCAGGTGATCCTCCCATCTCAGCCTCCAGAGTGGCTGGGACTACAGGTGTGCACTACCACACCTGGGTAATTTTGGTATTTTTTGTAGAGACGGGGTCTTGCCATGTTGCCCGGGCTGGTTGGTATATGTTTTCTGTGACCTCATTTATATGGTATTCTTGAAAAGACAAAACTATCATGACTGCCTGGGATTAGAGGTTGGGGAGGGTATGACTGCAGAGGCAAAGCATGAAGGAACTGTGGAGAACCTGATGGAATTGTTCTGCATTCTTCATGGCGGTGGTTACGTGAAGCTGTATGTATGTTAAAATTCATAGAACTGAGTACACACAAAAGAATCATTTTTTACTGTGTGTTAATTTAAAAATAAAAACTTTAAAAACAGAACAGAAAATGCTTTTGGTAAAATGCATTTTGACTCTGCTGATTTGATAAGATTCAGGCATGGAAAAGTCTCAAAGATTATATACTGTCACTAAGACCCCAGTGAGCCCTGCCACCCGATTGTCCCGTGAACCAGCAGCACTGGCATCACCACGGAGTTGGTACAAGTGCAGAATTTATCAAGGCCCAGATAGGAATCAAACCCTGCATTTTCATCTCATCCCCAGATGACTCCTGTGCATGACTCCTGTGCAGTTTAAGCAGCTCTGCTTTAGAATTACAAAGGCCGAAGCTAAGGTACAGCCTCCTCAGTGCTAGTCTCCCGAGAAGCCCACTGTGGTCGAGCATCTCTACTTGAACATTCCTTGAGGGTGTTCATTTCTTTGGGGTATTGGCATCTCACTATCCATATGTACTATTTTTCTCAGAGCCTGGTTAAGCGGACACTGGCACTGATTTCTGGCTTTCTCACAGTTTAACTTGTTTTGATTGCATCATCTAATTATATAAATTAGATATGGAAAAGCCCCATTAGGATTTGTGAGTCATTCCCAAGCAGATGCAAGCAAGGGGGTTCCGGGGGAAAGCTGAATCCCAGCCGCTGAGAAAGACAGGTTTACAGGCTTACAAGGGGCCCATCCACCTCCCTCCCTGCCGAAGAGTGAGATGAACCTCCGCCAGGTTCCCATCCACATCAAGTTCAACATCCTTTACCTTTGAGATGAATCTGCTGCTGCCTTGATGTGTTGTAACGGAAGGCAAGTATTGTAACTCCTGTTTCCTCAGCTCTGGGGCTCTCAGAGGCCACGACCTGGTCCTGAAACCTCAGGGTCTTAATCTTTTATATGCAGAGCGGAGGAGTTACAGAAATGCCTTCGCCTGACAAGGTTACACACACGAAATTAGCACTAGATTCACAGAGATCTTATTCCAGGGACAAAGTGTTAAACAGTCCCCATCCCCTGCTCCCTCTGCCCACCCCGGGGGCAGGTAAGCTTCTGCTCTGGCACGTTCCACAGAGGCCATGACTTGGCTGGAAGTAAAGTTAATGTTTAGAACATGCCCTGGATCATCTGTGAGCATGAATCCTTGGTGCATCAGGCCAGGCTGCCCTCCACGGCTCAGGCGGTAAAGAAGGCGGGATGGTGTGACAAGTCACACTTCGGGGTCACCTTACAGGATGACTTAGAGAGGCATGTTTTTCTTTGGAGCCGCTAATCCAAGGATAGAGCTGGGTGAGGACATTTCACAATATGCTCAGTCCTCCCCCAGTGGGGGCAGGAACAGTGACCATTTTCCAGTAAAATGCATCAAACCAAAAAGTGAACCAAACTTTCACTTCTCAGTTGAAAATGCCCTTTAGGCATTTCAGGGAGCATGGTATGTTCTTGCATGAAACTTCTGGGGTGGTGCCTTGTCTGGAAACAGACCCAGTTCAGGTCATGATCACACCCTGCTTTGCCACTAATAAGCCTGCTTCTGACTTAGGTCACAGGAGTCACAGTGTTGATACTAAGGGCAACACTGATATCACTGGAATATAATTAAAGGCAACACAAATACCCACTTTGCTTTTTGATTTTTTCTGCTGATAAATGTTATACACAAGCAGACAGAAGAGGATAAACATGTTTAAATATTTCTATTGTAAGTTTAAATTCCCATTTCCTCCTTAAAAAATTAACAGTGAAACTGAATATTTAATAGGTAGAAGATCACCTTGAAGGATTGGGTTGTTTTGTTTTTGTTTATTCAATGACATGCTAAATGCTGAGAAAGTCTTTTTCATTACATTAGATTCCTTAAACTTTATTGAAGCCATTAGCAAGTCCTCCAGGAAAAAAGCTTATAAAATTAAGCTTAAGTGTTGCTACTCCTCTTGGGCTCACAAATGATCAAAAAAACAAAAAAACAAAAAACAAAGAAACAAAAAAAACCCCTAATCCACTAGCAGGAATTTCATAGCCTTCATAATTTGTTTACTTCAAAGCACAAACATTTACAATTTTCCCAGTTCAGCTGAATTTTGAATCAACAACTTTCTGAATTTCCAAATTTTCATTCTGTTTATAATTTATTTAATGGACAGAGACTCCTACAAGGGTCTTCTCATTCAGACTGAAGCCAAGTATCTTATTTAGAGTTAGAGTATGTCTTTAATCCATGTTACCCACAGACTTTCTCTGAGAAGTTTAAGAAGACTCCAGAGACAGAAGAAAATTTCTCTGTGGCGGTGGGAGTGGGCTGTGGCTGATTCTGTGTCTCCATAGCCAAAGTCGTTCCCTTGGACCTGTTCCTGAGGTGCTCTCTCACATTTCAGGGTTTACAGTCATATAGGGATGGAGGGAGAGATGTTTAGCGCCAGGTCCTTCCTGCTCTGACACTAGCGTTGTTCACATTATAGGCTAGGAAGCATTTAAAATTGTACTTAAAGATCTCACAGCTTGGGAGGGGCCTGGGTGATAATAGGGCATGACCATTTCCCAATTTAGCAAGCTCCCATCTAGCTTTGCGTGTGTGTGTGTGTTTTTTAATTTTTGCAAAGTTTTGTATTTGCCACTTCATGGCTTGATTTCAAATAGTTCTGGTTAGCTCAAGCTATTTACCCCACTGGAAACCAAGCTCCTACCTAATGAGAGGCATCCCACTAGAGGAGGGAGCTGTGATAAACAAAGTGGACAGGCCCTTTTCTTCCCCAGCTAGTCCTGGCAGTGTCAAGGTTCCTTCCCTGATGCCCAGACCCATGTGGAACAGGAGCCCCTTCCTGGCACGCTTCCTGGACAGGGGATGTGGTTGCCTTTGCTAGTACTCACGGACATTTCTGGCTCCCCTCCCTCTTCTGGACACAAAGAGGATTGCTTTACCCGAATTACGTACAGAGCCATGGGACTGGTTCTAGCAAAGGCCTGGAAAGGAGGCAACTTGTCCCCTGGTGTGAGATTTTCCATGCTTGCTCCTCCTACTGCTGTGAACCCCAAAGCCTCAGGTTGCTGGAAGATTGCATAAGCCTGGGACTGAGTAAGACCTTGGATGGCCCTGAAACGTTGACTGCAAGTTTCGGGAACAAAAAATAAACTGCCACAGTTGTATGTTTCAGAAAACTTGGTGTTGCCTATTATGGCATCATAAACCAGCCTTTCTGACCGATACACACATATATCAAATATAATTGTCAAAAACTAAGTATGCTCTGGCTGAACCTTTGTAAGATTTGTGTTGTTGCCATGGCAAAACTCCATCTCTACTAAAATACAAAAATTAGCTGGGCGTGGTGGTGGGTCCCTATAATCTCGGCTACTCAGGAGGCTGAGGCAGGAGAATCGCTTGAACCTGGGAGGCGGAGGTTGCAGTGAGCTGAGATTGCGCCACTGCACTCCAGCCTGGGCGACAGAGTGAGACTCTGTCTCAATAAATAAATAAATAAATAAATAAATAAATAAATAAATAAATAAAATAGATTTGTATTGTTGCTTAGTTTTAAAATTGACTACTATTTTGCCTGTTGATAAGGGAGTGTCAAAGGAGAAGGGTGCTTTTCATGGTGGGAGGAGGATACTGGTTACTACCCAAGAGCCACTGTCCACTTCTTTCCTGTGACTCAACCTCAGTTTTGCTTGGGTAACCCACCCTTCTCCACACAGCCAGATGCTTCACTGAGCCAGTCATGACAGTCCATGGGCTGGTGACACAACTCAAACTAAGGCGCTGGCTAAGATTTCCCTTTCTTAAAAAACACATGTTGGGAGTAGTCTTCCTTCTCCTTTGGATTTTGTTGTGTGGAAATAGTGCAGTCACGCTGGGACCACAGTGGGAGCTAAACCATCGCTAAAACTGGCAGAGCAGAGAGACAGAAAAACCCATGTTAGTGATGACATTGCTGAGCCACTGAATTCACCAGCCCCCGAGGCTCCCAAACTTGGACGTTCATGGTAAGTATGAAAATTAACTTACTTTATAGTTTAAGTCACTTGAGATGTTTTTTTACAGTGTGCCCTTGAACAACTTGGGTTTGAACTGTGCAGGTTCACTTACACATAGATTTTCTTCCGTCTCTGCCACCCCTTAGACAGCAAAACCAACCATTTCTTCCTCTTTCTCCTCCTCCTTAGCCTACTCATTATGAAGGCAGTGAGGATGAAGACATTCATGATGATCCATTTCCACTTAATAAATAGCAAATATATATATTTTATTGTATTTCATTAATTTAACTTTTAAAAATTTATTGTTTTTTATGAAGACATTTTATTTTATAAAGATTTAAAAAAAATTCTCATTCTATTGCCCGGGCTGGAGTGCAGTGGCATGAACATGGCTGACTGCAGCCTTGAACTCCTGGGTTCAAACAATCCTCCTGTCTCAGCTTCTTGACTAGCTGGGACAACAGGCATGTGCCATTATGCCCAGCTAATTTTTGTATTCTTTGTAGAGATGGGGTCTTGCTATGTTGGTCAGGCTGGTTTTGAACTCCTGGCCTCATGTGATCTTCCTATCTTGGCCTTCTATAGTGTTGGGATTATAAGCATGAGCCATCATGCCTTGCCAATAAATTTTATCTTATTTATGATTTTCTTAATAACATTTTTTCTCTATTTTATTGTAATAATGTAGTATATAATACACATAACACACAAAATATGTGCTAATATACTGTTTATGTTACCAGTAAGGCTTTGGGCCAATGGTACACTTGTAGTAGTTGAGTTTTGGGGGAGTCAAATGTTATAGGCAGATTTCGACTGCATGGGCCATCAGCACCCCAACTCCTGTGTTGTTGAATGTCAACTGTACAATCTTTCTTCCTGAGATAGAATTTATTCCTTTTTTTTTTTTTTTTTTTTTGAGACGGAGCCTCGCTCTGTTGCCCAGGCTGGAGTGCGGTGGCACGATCTTGGCTCACTGCAAGCTCCGCCTCCCAGGTTCAAGCAATTCTCTGCCTCAGCCTCCTGAGTAACTGGGATTACAAGCGCCCACTACGACGCCCAGCTAATTTTTGTATTTTTAGTAGAGACGGGGTTTCACCATCTTGGCCAGGCTGGTCCTGAACTCCTGACCTCATGATCCACCCGCCTCGGCCTCCCAAAGTGCTGGGATTATAGGAGTGAGCCACAGCACCCAGCCTAGAATTTATTCTTTGTCCTTTTCTCTGCTTTCTGGATTTTTTTTTCTTCTTTTGCTAGTAAGGTATCCATAGAGACTTAATCAAATAGGCATATTGAAAAGGGCATGAACTATGTTCAAATAGGCATATTGAAAAGGGCATGAACATGTGACTAGCGGGCCCATGCTAGTTAATTAGTTTTGCCAAGACCCAGCTTCTTCATTGTAAAATAGGAATGTTAAAACTTGTAGAGAGATATAATAATATTAAGCAGTTGTTTTTATGAGTATTATAAATAACAACTAATACTCTTTTTAGGTGTCTGGTACTGTTCTAAGCTACATATACATGCACACCTCACACACACAGAATAATCCTATGATATGGGTACTATTATCATCCTCATTTCATAGATAAGAAAACTGAAACACAAATGGGTAAGCACTGTATCTAAGATTTTGTGAATGGTGACAGATTGGCCTTTGAATCCAGTAGCCTGACTTCAAAGTCGTAATCCAATGTGAGCTCCAGCATTTAGAGTTGTTCCTGTGCTTAAAGGCTACACCCAGACTCTTGTGTGTCTCTGCCCTTGTACTTCCACCATCTGTTCCTACTGCTAAGATACATGAAGAAGGGGGATGAGATCCCATACAAAGTTTTGAGAGTTGCTATAATTTGGATGATTGTCCCCCGAAAACCTCATGTTGAAATTTGATCCTCAGTGTTGGAGGTGGGGCCTAATGGGAGGTGTTTGTGTATTAGAGACAGATCCCTCATGAATAGATTAATGCCCTCTCTCCAAGGTGAGTGAGTTCTCACTCTATGTTTCCACAAGAGCTGGTTGTTAAAAAGGGCCTGATTACCTCTTGCCCCGCCTCTTGCTTTCTCTTTTGCTGTGTGATCTCTACACACACCAGCTCCCTTCCACCATGAGAAGCAGCCAGAGGCCCTCACCCAATGCGGATGCTGGCACCATGCTTCTTGTACAACCTGCAAAACCATGAGCCAAATAAACCTCTCTTCTTTATAAATGAACCAATCTCAGATATTCCTTTATAGCAACACACAATGGACTAAGACAGGGGTTATGAGACAAGACAAGACAAGATGACAGTCTGAAGGATAGACTCCCCACAGGACATCTCTTGGGAGCAGAGTCACCAGTGGTATAGCAGGGGAGTACAGACAGGCTTTGTCTTAGACTTGCTTTTTTTGTTTGTTTGTTTTCAACTTTGTGTTTTGGAATAGTTATAGATTTACAGGAAGTTGCAAAGAAATGTACAGGGAGGTCCTGTGCACCCTTCCTCTAGTGTTAGCTTCTTGCATAACCATAGCACAGTATCAAGAGCAGGAAATGGACATTTGTACTATCCATAGGGCTTCTTCGGGTTTCTCACATGCACTTGTTTGTGTGTGTTTGTGTGCCTGTATAGCTCTATTCAACTTGGTCATATTGTAACCAACCGGTGGGTTCATTTTGCCTGCTGCCTAGATAGAGCTGATTTATCAAGACAGGGGAATTGCAATAGAGTTTAATTGCAAGAGTTTTATACACATAGAGCTGGCTAAGTGGGAGACTGGAATTTTATTATTACTCAAATCAGCCTCCCCCAAAATTTGGAGGCTAGGGATTTTCAAGGATTTTCAAGGATATTTTTGTGGGCAGGGGGATAAGAAAAGAGGAATACTGGTTGGTAGGGAATGCAATTAAAGAGGTGTGGAAAATGGTCCTGGTGTGCTGAGTTTGCTTTTGGGTGGGGCCACAGAGGAGTTGCCAGTCCAGGAGGAGCCATCCAGTCACTGGAATGCAAAAGCCTGAAAAGATATCTCAAAGGCCAATGTTAGGTTCGACAATAGTGATGTTAATTACAGGAGTATTTGGAGAAGCTGCAAATCTTGTGACCTCCAGAATAATGGCTTGTAATTATTTAACTATCTTAGAAGAATTCAGGCTCCTCTTGTAATGTGGTAGCCTTTCATGAGTTTTACAAAAGAGGTTTAGTTTTGGGAAGGGGTATTATCATTTAAACTGTAAACTAAATTTCTCCCAGAGTTAGCTTGGCCCATGTCCAGGAATGAACAAGGGCAGTTTGAAGGACAAAGGCAAGATGGAATTGGTTAGGCCAGATCTCTTTCACTGTCATAATTTTCTCACTGTTATGAGATTTGCAAATGCAGTTGCAGTATGTGTAGATTTGTGTATCTATTGCAGTCAAGATACAGGCCCATTCCATCACAAAGGTCCCTCTGATTGCCCTTTTAGACTCCTATCCTCTTCCCTCCCTTCCTTTCTCCACATCCTCTAATAGTAGTTTCAGAGCACAAAAACTACAAATCTGTGCTCTGTAACATTTTGAGAACGTTATATAAATAGAATACTACTGTGTGTGACCTTTTTTGAGCTTGGCTTTTTGTACTCAGCATAATTTCCTTGAGATTCATCCAAACCGTTGCATATACGAATAACTTGTTCCTTTTTATTGCTAAGTAGTATTCCACGGTGCGAATACACCAGTTTGTTTAACCAGTCACCTGTCGAAGGATGTTTTGGTTGTTTCAAGTTTTTGAGTATTACCAATAAAGCTGCTAGGGACATTCACGTACAGGTTTTTAGCGGACATAAGTTTTCCTTTCTTTGGGATAAACACCCAAGAGCTCAATTGCTGGGTCATATGATAAGCACATGTTTAGTGTTTTAGGAAACTGCCAAACTATTTTCCAGAGTGTCTGTACCATTTTATATTCCCACCCTGCATATATCCTACTTAATATCTTCCTTTTCACTTGTCATGTTTTGCTTTGCTTTTTAATAAACTTGCTACTTTAAAATAATTTCACATTTAATAGCAAAGTTTCAAGAATAGTACATGGAATATCCTTCACCAAGATTAACCAAATGTCATTTTGCCACCGTTGCTGTAGCATTTCCTGACTCTTTCTCTGTCTCTTGCTATACCCACCACCTATCTATCCATCTAGTTCTGTTTTTGAGTCGTTTGAAGGTAAGTTGCAAACAACATGCCTTTTTACCACGAAATTCTTCATTGTGTATTTCTTAAGAACCTCTAGAATAATGGCTTGTAATTATTTAACTATCTTAGAAGAATTCAGGCTCCTCTTGTAATCTGGTAGCCTTTCATGAGTTTTATAAAAGAGGTTTAGTTTTGGGAAGGGGTATTATCATTTAAACTGTAAAATAAATTTCTCCCAGAAATTTAGGCCAGATCTCTTTCACTGTCATAACTTATATAACTACCATATGGTGATCAAAATTAGGAATTTTAACAAATGTTATCTAATATACAAATACTTTTCAGATTTGATGCAACTTATAGCAATTCTTTTTCCTAGGATTCAATCCCAGATCACACACAACATTCACTCGTCATGTCTCTTTAGCCACTTTTAGCTTAGCACACTTCCTCAGCACCCTTTTTTTCTTTTCTTTTTCTTTTTTTTTTTCAGATGGAGTTTCGCTCTTATTGCCCAGGCTGGAGTGCAATGGCACGATCTCAGCTCACCACAACCTCCGCCTGCCGGGTTCAAGCAATGCTCCTGCCTCAGCCTCCCAAGTAGCTGAGAGTACAGGCGCACACCACCATGCCCGGCTAATTTTTGTATTTTTAGTAGAGATGGGGTTTCACCATGTTGGTTAGGCTGGTCTCGAACTCCTGACCTCGTGATCCACCCGCCTCAGCCTCCCAAAGTGCTGGGATTACAGGCATGAGCCACCATGCCCGGCCTTTTTTTTCTTTTGTGACACTGACATTTTTAAAGATCACAGGCCAGCACTTTGTAGGATGCCTCTTAATTTGGTTTTGGTTGATGTTTCATCATTACTAGACTCAGCCTGTGGATTTTGGGTGTGAGTGCCACTGAAGTGATGATGTTTCCCATTGGGGCATCCTCACAGGAGGCGTAAGATAGCCATTTGTTCCTATATTGGTGTCAACATTGATCACTTGATCAAGGTGGAATCTACCAGTTTTCTCACTGTAAAGTGACTATTTCTCCCTTCACAATGAATAAGCATCTTGTGGGGAGATGCTGTGAGACTCAGCAAACATCTTGTTGCCCGTCAAACTTTCAGACTCTAGTTTTAGCATCCACTGATGATTCTTGCCACTACCAATTTTTATTATGATGGTTACAAATGTAACTTTCCTTTATTTTATTTTATTTTTTTTTTGAGACAGAGTCTCGCTCTGTCACCTGGGCTGGAGTGCAGTGGCTCGATCTTGGCTCACTGCAAGCTCCGCTTCCCAGATTCACGCCATTCTCCTGCCTCAGCCTCCCCAGTAGCTGGGACTACAGGCGCCCGCCACCATGCCCGGCTAATTATTTATATTTTTTAGTAGAGACGGGGTTTCACTGTGTTAGCCAGGATGGTCTCAATCTCCTGACCTCGTGATCCACCTGCCTCAGTCTCCCAAAATGCTGGGATTACAGGCGTGAGCCACCACACCTGGCAACTTTCCTTTATTTTTAACTTATTATTTTTTAGAGATGAGATCTTACTCTGTCACCTAGGCTGGAGTGCAGTGGCACTATCATAGCTCACTGCAGCCTTGAACTCCTGGGCTCAAGGGATCCTCCTGCCTCAGTCTTCGGAGTAGTTGGGACTACATGTGTGCACCACCACACCCTGCTAATTTTTGTATTTTTTTTTTTTCTTGTAGAGATAAGATCCTGCTATGTTGCCCAGGATGGGCTCAAACTCCTTGCCTCAAGTGATCCTCCTGCCTCAGCCTGCCAAAGTGTTGGGATTGCAGGCATGAGCCACTGTACCTGTCCACACATGTAATTTTCTAACTCAATCTTTCCCTCTTCATTTATTAGTTGACATCCTACAGTAGAGAAGTTTCCTCTTCTCAACCATCAGCCTATTGGTCTCTTTACCTAGATATCAATTTACTATCAGTATGAACTTATAAATTATTATTTCATTTAATAGCTTGTAAGTCATTATCACTTTTTTTTTTTTTTGAGACAAAGCTCACTCTGTCACCCAGGCTGGAGTGCAGTGGTGCGATCTCGGCTCACTGAAACCTCCGTCTTCTGGGCTCAAGCCATCCTCCCATCTCAGCCTCCCGAGTAGCTGGGACTATAGGTACAAGCCACAATGTGCGGCTAATTTTTGTATTTTTTGTGGAGATGGGTTTTTGCCATGTTGTCTAGGCTGGTCTTGAACTCCTGGACTTGAGTGATCCTCCCATGTTGGCCTCCCAAAATGCTGGGATTACAGGAGTGAGCCTCCGCTCCCAGCCATATCGCTTTTAATTTTGATGCTCAAGTTGTCTCACATTTGGCCAGTGGGAGTCACTTCAAGCTGGTTTCTGTGTCCCTTTGAGGTGTCCCCATCATTCTTTGTGCACATCTTTACTTTTGGCACAAGATGCTTTAGTGTTATCTTGTATTTTCCCTGTCCCAGCCCTGGAATCAGCCATTTCTCCAAGGAGCTCTGGCACCTTTTAGAGGAGAGAGGAATTTATAAACAAGACCCGACACTGGGTGTGCCTGTGCCATGGAGGGGTCCTAGCTTCCAAGTCCTTTCAGTGCTTGGGTCTCGGGCTTTCTGAAGTGAGTCATGGGGACACTGTAGATCCTGGTGCTGTGGTTGCTTTCTAGTCACATTTACTACTGGGGCAGCCCAATACAACGGGCATGGGACATTTTCTGGGTTGAGGGTTTCATTGACTCCTATCGTGGGCTCTGTTAGGCCAGTGGCAGCTGCAAGAGCTGTGTGGCTGAAGCAGTCCTTGGAGGACAGGGGAGAAGCAGGGGCCATAGCCGAGGGTCTCTTGTAAAATGCCCACAGGCAGAACATTTGGAAAATAAAGCTCCTGTCCCCGGGAGGCCCTGATAGATGGAGATTTTGCTTCTATTACCATTACTATTGTCATTGCACAGAGCCTTTCTTCTTTCTCTTCTCTTGGAAATGAGAGATTTATGCTGCTTAAATGTTTGACCATGGCTGTCCCCAAACAATGGAAGAAAATTCCAGGGTTTGCCAAGGCCCAGGTGGATTTTGAAGCATTGCGTTCAGCACGGCATATACTCTTGGCTCTCAGAGCTGACTGATTAGATGTGGTAGTGGGAGCGGGCAGGGGGAGAATGGAATAAATGGAATGAAAAGATGCCTGTCCTGTGGAAGATAAGAACCCAGGTTGTAAAAACCCTCCACCAAATCACCTAACTAAAACCCAGCCTGCAAACCAGGAATCCTAACCATCGAGAGTTGATTCAGCTGCAAGAGAGTAGGAAGCTGGTCCACCTGGCAGATTCACAAATGAAACTTTGCAAGTCATCCCATTCATATGGCAGGGGGCGACTGGACTGAGTATAGGGACTGAGTGGGAGCAGAAGAAGTTAGAAGTCGTTGGTCAGAAAGGGCTGGCAGGAAACATGCTTGCCATCTAGTCTGTGGACATTGAAACAGCCCCAGGAAGGGCCATCTCTATCCTTTGTGATGGGGGCTCTGAGAAATCCCTCATCAGAGGAAGAGGCCTTTGTTCACTGCTGAGATGCCA
The DNA here is from genome assembly GCF_000001405.40 of Homo sapiens. Classification (NCBI taxonomy): domain Eukaryota; kingdom Metazoa; phylum Chordata; class Mammalia; order Primates; family Hominidae; genus Homo; species Homo sapiens. The sequence continues at coordinate 46,599,106 of NC_000003.12, read as the reverse complement.
GGACAGCTCCTCAACAGTGCTTAGACCTTTCATAGGCAAGTTCAAGGTCAATATGCCAGAAGCTAGGGGGTGCGAGGAGCCAACTCACTTCTTCAGCTGATTCCCACCTCTTAGTAGTGTTGGTTTTGTGACACTGGAAGTATCTATACGAGCCACACGGTGTTTCCAGCCTTCACTTGGCTGCTTTTCTGGCATAGGCTGACCAGACCAGGAAAGGCCTCCCCAGGGTTGGTAGCATGGACCTTACTATTAACCTAACAATGGTCTTTCTTCCTAAGGCTCCATAGGGTGAGCTCTGTTCCCTGCAGGACCCTATGATGACGTGACATTTACACATGACATATTAGTTACCCCATCACATCATAGTTGGAAGGAGAGTAAAAATGGTAAAAAGAATGTTTAAATTTAAGCATAGGAGATAAATTTTCTATGAAAGGGAGAAAGAGGAAGATGAAACTAATGTTTATGTACATTGTATTGTGAAGCATTGTATGTTATATTGTAGTCTTCTCTGAAAGTCTTTACACGAGGTTATCTTCTTCTTCTTTTTTTTTTTTTTTTTGAGACAGAGTCTTGCTCTGTTGCCCAGGCTGAAGTGCAGTGGCACAATCTCAGCTCACTGCAACCTCCAGCTCCCAGGTTCAAGCAATTCTCTGCCTCAGCCTCCCAAGTAGCTGGGATTACAGGCACCTGCCACCGCGCCGGCTAATTTTTGTATTTTTAGTAGAGATAGGGTTTCACCATCTTGGCCAGGCTGGTCTTGAACTCCTAACCTTGTGATCCACCCACCTCAGCCTCCCAAAGTGCTGGGATTACAGGCATGAGCCACCGTGCCTGGCCTATCTTCCCTGTTTTAAAAGCATGAAAACTGAGACTGAGAAAGACTGAATCACATGCCTGTAACTGAATCACATGCCTGTAACTGAATCACATGCCACAGCTTAAATGGCAGAGCTGGTACTCAAATCTGTCTGATCTCAAAGCATGCAAGTGCTCTTGAAGCTGTTATGCTTGTATCTTGTTGAAATTGATCCGTATGCTAAACACACTAAATATCAATGGTAAATATCCACATAAAACCTTATTAACATTGTGTAATTTGAACCAGACTTGACAAAAACATGTTGTCATTTCTAGTCATCATTTAACAGGGAGGAGGTAGGAAATTCAAAGTTAAATCTTTGATACTTAAATAGAAAATAACTATTAGCCAATGTGGTCAATTAAAAACAGATGACCAAATAAATGGCCAACTAAAATGGGATGGCTGAGCTTTGCTCAACAGAAAGTGAAGGAGTCTACAACTTGGAGTCTGCAAGTGTAGGTTCTGGAATCCAATTTACTCCATGCAACTCTTGACAGCTCAACATCACTAGCTGTGAAATGCACAGCAAGGGCTTCATCTCTGTTACGATGTGGCCTGGGATTGACTGGAAAGCAAGAAACCCTCATGAATGTACAGCCCAAAAGACCACATCACCAAATATAGACAATTAGAAGATGCACATAACCAAGATGACAAAGGTATGGTCACCATTCCACCCAGCACTTTGAGGACAGACTTAACTACAGATATTCCAACTTCTTATCCCTGAAGGATGCTACTACTTGAAGATCATGGTATCTTTTTTTCTTGGTTTCTAAAAGATGGTCACCATAAATAAAGAAATCTCTGGGCTGGGCAAGGTGGCTCACACCTGTAATCCCAGCACTTTGGGAGACCGAGGTGGGTGGATCACCTGAGGTCGGGTATTCAAGACCAGCCTGGCCAACATGGTGAAACCCACTCTACTAAAAATATAAAAATTAGCCTGGCGCAGTGGCTCATGCCTGTAATCCCAGCACTTTGGGAGGTCGAGGGGGCGGATCATGAGATCAGGAGTTCGAGACCAGCCTGGCCAATATGGTGAAACTCTGTCTCTACTAAAAATACAAAAATTAGCCAGACGTGGTGGTGCACACCTGTAGTCTTAGCTACTTGGAAGCCTGAGGCAGAAGAATCGCTTGAACCCGGGAGGCAGAGGTTGCAGTGAACCGAGATCGTGCCACTGTACTCCAGGCTGGGTGACACAGTGAGACTCCGTCTCAAAAAAAAAAAAAAAAAATTAGCTGGGTGGGGTGGCAGGCGTCTGTAATCCCAGCTACCTGGGAGTCTGAGGCAGGAGAGTCATTTGAACCCAGGAGGCGGAGGCTGCAGTGAGCTGAGATCGCGCCACTGCACTCCAGCCTGGGACACACAGTGAGACTCCATTTAAAAAAAAAAAATCTCTGGATGGCTAGGCCAGATCCAAGGGAAGTCAGGAAATAACATCAGTGACTGACCAAGGGGCTGTGTCCCTTACTCTGCCATATCTGGGTGGCTTTCACCTTGGGCCATCTTGGGCCCCTTTCACCAAGACCATGGTGGACTGTTAAATAGGAAGCAGCTGAGCATCTGTTGTCTCCCTCCATCCCTCAGCAAGCCCCTTACCAGGCTGGGCTCCTAATGGACAGGTCAAGAGTCCTGAGTCGTGATTGTGAGTCTGCAACGATAAAAATTTAATACAGACTTTGTAGAACACTTTTTAGTTTACAAAGTGCTTTCAATTACATTATCTAATTTAATCAGTTATCAATGAGGATTTTGAAAAAGTGTTAAGAAATGCAACAAATATAATAAAAGACATAGACAGGCAGGGGAAGGCCCCCAAATGATGCTGCTCCTGTTTCAGAGGGGGTGATGAGAGAAGAGGAGGAGGCCTGCAGGGGAGCAGGCCCATGTGTGCTGGGCCACCTGGGCAGGGCACTGGACTTGACAGAGGGATTGGGCAGAGTCGCCGACCTGCATACCCCACTCCCCCTGCCCGCCACAGACCCCAACTGATACAGTGCCAGGAACTGGAGCTCCTCTGAGAAGCATCCTCTGCAACTCTGACAGAAGCCTCCCTCTGAGGCTTTAAGTGTCTTTGAGTGTTCTGGGAAGACTGTACCACTTTGTGATGCAGAAATCTGTGAGTAATTGGAAGTCTGTGCCACTGGCGATTTATCTTCAAGGACCTCATTTAAAATTGTGCATGGCAATGGATACGAATTGCGAAATTGACATGGCCTGGGCTTGTGTCTCACTTGGCCTGACATTTTCCAACCCCTTTATAAATCGGATCCGTATTCCATTACTTTCAGATAAGCAGTTCCTGCTTGGCTGTTGAGGTGGATACTAGTTAGTAAGCCACCCTGGATTACACTAGCATTTTCACTGGAGTGTTCCATGTCATTCTCTGAAGAAAACATGAGATCAGGGGAAGATTCTCCAGCAGTACTGTTGGGTAGATTATTTTGAGCAAGAGACTCTTTGGGGTCTTTCCAGACACTGAGAATGAGGCTACTGAGTCCAGTCAGGTCTGCCTGGGCACGTCCTTAGGTTTCAAAGTATACAGCTTGGAAAGGGTGGAGGTGGATCACAGAGCAGCTCTCTTGTCAGCCTCAAGGCGGGCTTCATGGAGAAGGGATCAGGCTGCAGTGACCACGGAATGGAACCCGCTCCACTCTGCAGCCCAGGGGTGGGTGAACAAACGTGTTCAGGTCACGGCGCGAGCTGACATCCTGGGTCTGGGGTGCAGCCTGTGATTTGTGAGTGACCATGGCACCAGCCAGGGCGCTGCTGGACAATGGGGGGTGCCAGCAGTTGGACTTGAGGGCTTTGAGGACTTCCACCATTAATGCAGGATCGGTTCTTTCCAGGCTCCTCCCAGCTGTTCTACTAGGGTCTAATTACTCTTCTGTCAGTTAAGGCCTTTTATGTTATCTCCTGATGAACAAAGTGTCATCAGGGGACAGCCTAGGGGACTGGGAGAGTCCAGGGGCCGAGTTAAGACATGCTTTGGTGGAGTTGTGGCCTTGGAAACGCTTATCATTCTCAACCCTCCTATCATTCTAGATTCATCTGTGAAATGAGGGGATTTCAGGTCATCTCCACACATTTAACACACAGTGATTTCTGAGAGGGTTCCTAAGCCGAGGTCCATGGACCATGGATGGGTTTCAAGGGACCCATGAACCCTCTGAGCCTACATGTGCTCATCTCTGTGTGCTCATATCTGCACAGGGCTCGGTGACAATGATACTGGCAGAGCATTCTAGGGAGATACCATTCTCATTCTTCAAATGAATGAACTCACATCCAGTCCTCACCTCAGCCTTCAGGGGCACAGAGAGGGTAAGTGATTTTTCCGAGGTCACACAGCGGGCATTTGGGCTCTGTAGCCCAAGCTTTTGTCCACTTTACTACCTGTGGGTAAGCAATGGTCTTTCTTTTTTTTTTCTTGTATCTGATAAAAACCTTCTCTTTTCACCTGAGGAGATGCTATAAAGACTAACAAGGTGTTTTAAGGTTAAATTCCTCTTCCGATTTAAATCACCAGTGCTGACTTAATCACTAATAATTAAACCATCAATACTGATTAAAATCATCGGTAATAAGTTAATTGTAATGCATCAGTTGCAATAAATCAATGATTTACATCATTAATAATGAAACTTTATTAAGAGCTATGGGAAAATTGGTACATGAAAAGCAGTATATATGCATGACTTTCACACAATTCTTTTTTCACAGTAGGTGACTGATGTCAGATAATCACTATTTTTACAGATTCCTGTAATTTTCAATTAATGTCCTATGGAAACCAGTCTATTGTATTCTTCACAAAGATGGTTAAAGATATTCCCAGGTCTTGCACTGGCAGATTAGTTTTTCTGTAGTAAAAATATATTAGCCTGTGGTCTGCTGTTACCCAAGAATGTATCTATAACAAAAATAAGCAAATAAAAAAAAGGAGACATAAAAGATTACTCATTACTCATAAAATGTTTTTCTGTAAACACCCAACATGGGACAATTATTTCATTATAGTCAAGCCTGACAGCCTCTCTTAGCTTTATGTTTTTGTGTGTTTATTCTGGAGGCAGTTTGACTTCCTCTTTACTAATTTGGATGCCCTTTCTTTCTTTCTTTTGTCTGATTGCTCTGGCTAGGACCTCCAGTACTATGTTGAATAGAAATGGTGAGAGTGGACATCCTTGTCTTGTTCTGGTTCTCAGGGGGAAGGAATGCTTTCAACCAAAAGCCAATTTTGACTTTTTTGAAGATGAAATGCTACAATAGCAATGTCAATTGTTCTGATTAATATAATGTAATGATTTATCTAACCCTTAGTTCTTCCTTTTTTTTTTCCAATTGAAAATAAATCTGAATGGGGACTTTATAATTTCCCATTTGCCTTTGATTCCTAGCATTGGCGTCTGCCATGGAGAGCTCACTATATGGAACTGGGACAAATCTGAGAACTACTGGTTTACACCACACAATCAGCATCAGAAATACCTGTGCAGGTCAGAAGTGCTGTATCACCAAGGAGAAGAATGTGAGCTCCCTCTTCTGTTTTCATTTCGCTCTCTCCCTTCTTTTTCCTTTTAGACCAGTATTGACCCCGGGGATGCGGCTGGCCAGGTCTGCAGGGAAGCGCAGAGACTCCTAGCGGGTGACCAGACCTGACGGGGCCTGCTTCTCCTCTGAAGGAGCTCAGCCTCTGCACTGCCTTGTTCTTTCTTTACCATCTTCCCCGTGTTGGGGGATGTAGGAGACAGTCTAAGAAGTGCTAATTATTACGTAAGAGGGTCTTGTCACTGTTAATGAGGAAGACCCTCTTCTTGCCCATCTCCCCTCTTCCGCCTTCCCTCTCTCCCTCTCTTCCTTTTATCTTTCCTTCCGCCACTTATCAAGCTTCTATGAAATGGCCCTAGGATTCTCACAGCCAGCACACAGGTACCGAGGATGCGTACAGACCAGTCGGGCTGACAGACTTGAAAACATGTCAGTGTGATGGAGCATAATGGAACCTACAAGAGACTAAAGGTACATGAGGGGATTCAGTGGGGGCTCACAGAGTGGACCTTCTCCTATGGCAAGGGCAGGGGTCCGGGAGGTAGGAAAAGTAGGAGGGGCATGTGGGAGCCCCAGACTGTGTTTCTCCCTCCCAGATGAGGATGCTTGTATTATACTCGTGCCAAGGTAGGCATTAGATTTTTTAAAAAAAATTTCCATAGGTTATTGGGGTACAGGTGGTATTTGGTTATATGAGTAAGTTCTTTAGTGGTGATTTGTGAGATTATGGTGCACCCATCACCTGAGCGGTATATCTTGCACCCTACTCATAGTCTTTTATCCCTCTTCTCACCCTTCTCTCCAAGTCCCCAAAGTCCACTGTATCATTCTTACGCCTTAGTGTCCTCATAGCTTAGCTCCCACTTATCAGTGAGAACATACGATGTTTGTTTTTCCATTCCTGAGTTACTTCGCTTAAAATAATAGTCTCCAATCTCATCCAGGTCACTGCAAATGCTGTTAATTCATTCCTTTTTATGTCTGAGTAGTATTCCATCTACTGTTTTTTGATTTTTTGATTATGGCCATTCTTGCAGGAGTAAGGTGGTATCACATTGTGGTTTTGATTTGCATTTTCCTGATCATTAGTGATGTTGAGCATTTTTTTCACATTTGTTGGCCATTTGTGTATCTTCTTTTGAGAATTGTCTATTCATGTCCTTACCCACTTTTTGATGGGATTTTTTTTTTTTCTTACTGATTTGTTTGAATTCGTTGTAGATTCTGGATATTAGTCCTTTGTTAGATGTACAGATTGTGAAGATTTTCTCCCACTCTGGGTTGTCTGTTTACTCTGCTGACTGTTCCTTTTGTCGTGCAAAAGTTCTTTAGTTTAATTAAGTCCCAGCTATTTATCTTTATTTTTATTGCATTTGCTTTTGGGTTCTTGGTCATGAAATCCTTGCCTAAGCCAATGTCTAGAAGGGTTTTTTCAATGTTATCTTCTAGAATTTTTACAGTTTCAGGTCTTAGATTTAAATCTTTGATCCATCTTTAGTTGATTTTTGTATAAGGTGAGAGACGAGGATCCAGTTTCATTCTCCTGCATGTGGCTTGCCAATTATCCCAGTGCCATTTGTTGAATAGGGTGTCCTTTCCCCACTTCATGTTTTTGTTTGCTTTGTCGAAGATCAGTTGGCTGTCAGTATTTGGGTTTATTTCTGGGTTCTCTATTCTAGTCCATTGGTCTATGTGCCTATTTTTATACCAGTACCATGCTGTTTTGGTGAGTATGGCCTTGTAGTATAGTTTGAAATCAGGTAGTGTGATGCCTCCAGATTTGTTCTTTTTGCTTAGTCTTGCTTTGGCTATGGGGGCTCTTTTTTGGTTCCATATGAATTTTTCTAATTCTGTGAAGAATGATGGTGGTATTTTGATGGGGATTGCGTTGAATTTGTAGATTGCTTTTGGCAGTGTGGTCATTTTTACAATATTGATTCTACTCATCCATGAGCGTGGGATGTGTTTGCATTTGTTTGTGTCATCTATGATTTCTTTCAGCAGTGTTTTGTAGTTTTCCTTGTAGAGATTTTTGACTCCTTTGTTAGGTATATTCCTAGGTATTTTATATATTTTTTGCAGCTATTGTAAAAGGGGTTGAGTTCTTGATTTGTTTCTTTGCTTGGTCGCTGTTGTTGTATAGAAGAGCTACTGATTTTATATACATTAATCTTGTATCCAGAAACTTTGCTGAATTCTTTTATCAGTTCTAGGAGCTTTCCAGAGGAGTCTTTAGGGTTTTTGAGGTAAATGATCATATTGTCAGCAAACAGTGACAGTTTGACTTCTTCTTTGCCGATTTGGATGCCCTTTATTTCTTTCCCTTGTCATATTGCTCTGGCTAGGCTGCCAGTACTATGTTGAAGAGGAGTAGTGAGAGTGGGCATCCTTGTCTTGTTCCAGTTCTCAGAACGAATGCTTTCAACTTTTCCCCATTCAGTATTATGTTGGCTGTGGGTTTGTCATAGATGGCTTTTATTACACTGAGGTGTGTCCCTTGTAGGCCAATTTTGCTGAGAGTTTTTTTTTTTTTTTTTTTTGAGATGGAGTTTCACTCTTGTTGCCCAGGCTGGAGTGCAATGGCGCGATCTTGGCTGACCGCAACATCCGCCTCCCAGGTTCAAGCAATTCTCCTGCCTCAGCCTCCTGAGTAGCTGGGATTACAAGTATGCACCACCATGCCCGGATAATTTTGTATTTCTAGTAGAGACAGGGTTTCTCCATGTTGAGGCTGGTTTCGAACTCCTGACCTCAGGTGATCCACCCGCCTCGGCCTCCCAAAGTGCTGGGATTATAGGCATAAGCCACCGCGCCCAGCTGAGAGTTTTAATTATAAAGAGATGCTGGGTTTTGTCTAATACTTTTTCTGCATATATTGAGGTGATCATTGATTTTTAAAAATTCTGTTTATGTTGTGTATCACATTTGTTGACTTGCATATGTTAAACCACCCCTGCATCCCTGGTATGAAACCCACTTCATCATGGTGGATTATCTTTTTGACATGTTGTTGGATTCAGTTAGCTAGTATTTTGTTAAGGATGTTAGCATCTATGTTCATCAGGGATATCGGCCTGTAGTTTTCTTTTTTGATTACGTCCTTTCCTGGTTTTGGGATTAGGGTGATGATGGCTTCATAGAATAAACTAGGGAGGGCTCCTTCTTTCTCTATCTTGTGGAATAGTATCAAAAGGATTAGTACCAATTCTTCTTTAAGTGTCTGGTAGAATTCTGCTGTGAATCCATCTGGTCCTGGACTTTTTATTGTTGTAATTTTTAAATTACCATTTCAATCTCGCTGCTTGTTATTGGTCTGTTCAGGATATCTAATGCTTCATGATTTAAGCCAGGAGGGTTGTATTTTTCCAGGAATTTATCCATCTCTCTGAGGTTTTATAATTTATGTGTGTAAAGGTGTTCATAGTAGCCTTGAATGATCTTCTGTATTTCAGTGGTGTCAGTTGTAGTATCTCCCTTTTCATTTCTTAATGAGGTTATTTGAATTCTCTCTCTTCTTTTTTTGGTTAATCTTGCTAACAATTTATCAATTTTATTTATCTTTTCAAAAAACCAGCTTTTTGTTTCATTTATCTTTTGTATTTTTTTGTTGTTGTTGTTTCAATTTCATTTAGTTCTGCTCTGATCTTGGTTATTTCGTTTCTTCTGCTGGGTTTGGGTTTGGTTTGTTCTTATTTCTCTAGTTCCTTGAGGTGTGACCTTAGATGTCAGTTTGTGGTCTTTCAGTCTTTTTGATACTGGCATTTAGGGCTGTGAACTTTCCTCTTAGCATGGCCTTTGCTGTATCCCAGAGGTTTTGATAGGTAGTGTCATTATTGTTGTTCAGTTTAAAGAATTTTTTTTTTTTTTTTGAGATGGAGTTTTGCTCTGTTGCCCAGGCTGGAGTGCAGTGGTGTCATCTCGGCTCACTGGAAGCTCCACCTCCCGGGTTCACGCCATTCTCCTGCCTCAGCCTTCCGACTAGCTGGGACTACAGGCACCTGCCACCAAGCCCGGCTAGTAGAGACGGGGTTGGTGAGATGGGGTTTCACTGTGTTAGCCAGGATGGTCTTGATCTCCTGACCTCGTGATCCACCCGCCTTGGCCTCCCAAAGTGCTGGGATTACAGGCATGAGCCACTGCGCCCGGCCCAGTTCGAAGAATTTTTAAATTTCCATCTTGCTTTCCTTTTTGACCCAATGATCATTCAGGAGCAGATTATTTAATTTCCATGTATTTCCATCGTTTTGAAGTTTCCTTTTGGAGTTATTTCCTGTTTTATTCCACTGTGGTCTGAGAGGGTACTTGATATAATTTCAATTTTCTTAAATGTATTGAGACTCATTTTGTGGCCTATCGTATGGTCTATCTTGGAGAAAGTTCCATGCGCTGTTGAATAGAATGTATATTCTGCAGTTGTTGGATGAAATGTTCTGTATATATCTGCTAAGTCCATTTGTTCCAAAGTATAGTTTAAATCCATTGTTTCTTTGTTGAGTTTCTGTCTTGATGACCTGTCTAGTGCTGTCAGTGGAGTACTGAAGTCCCCTGCTATTATTGTGTTGCTGTCTATCTCATTTCCTAGGTCTTTTAGTAATTGTTTTATAAATTGGGGACCTCCAGTGTTAGGTGCATATATGTTTAGGATTGTGATATTTTCCTGTTGGACAAGGCCTTTTACCATTATATAATGACTCTCTTTGTTTTAACTGCTGTTGCTTTAAAGTTTGTTTTGTCTGATAGAAGAATAGCTACCCCTGCTCGCTTTCGGCGTCCATTTGCATGAAATGCCTTTTTCCATCCCTTTAAGTTTATGTGAGTCCTTATGTGCTAGGTGAGTCTCCTGAAGGCAGCAGTTAGTTGGTGGGTGATTTTTTTATCCATTCTCCAGTTCTGTATCTTTTAAGAGGAGCATTTAGGCCAATTACATTCAATGTTAGTATTGAGATGTGAGGTACCATTTCGTTCATTGTGCTATTTGTTGCCTGTGTGCCTTGTTTTTTTTGTTTTTTGTTTTTGCTTTATAAATTGTATATTTGTTTTATAGGTCCTGTGTGATTTATGCTTTATAGCGGTTTTGTTTTGATGTGTTTCCAGGATTTGTTTCAACATTTAGAGCTCTTTTTCAGCAGTTCTTGTAGTGGTGACTTGGTAGTGGCAAATTCTCTCAGCGTTTGTTTGTCTGAAAAAGACTGTATCTTTCCTTCATATATGACGCTTAGTTTTGCTGGATCAAAATGCTTGGCTGATAATTGTTTTGTTTGAAGAGGCTGAAGAAAGGGCCCCAATCTTTTCTAGCTTGCAGGGTTTCTCCTGAGAAATCTGCTGTTAATCTGATAGGTTTTCCTTTATAGGTTACCTGGTGCTTCTGTCTGACAGCTCTTAAGGTTCTTTCCTTCATCTTAACTTTGGATAACCTAATGACAATGTGCCTAGGCGAGGAGCTTTTTGTGATGAATTTCCCAGGTGTTCTTTGTGCTTCTTGTATTTGGATGTCCAAGTCTCTAGCAAGGCCGGGAAGTTTCCTCGATCATTCCCCCCAAATATGTTTTCCAAACTTTTAGATTTCTCTTCTTCCTCAGGAACACCGATTATTCTTAGGTTTGGTCATTTAACATAATCTCAGACTTCTTGGAGGCTTTGTTCATATTTTCTTATTTTTTTTTCTTTGGTTGTGTTGGATTGGGTTAATTTGAAGACCTTGTCTTTGAGCTCTGAATTTCTTTCTTCTACTTGTTCAATTCTATTGCTGAGACTTTCTTGAGCATTTTGCATTTCTATATCTAATGTTTCCTGAAGTTTTGATTGTTTTTTCTTTATGCTATCTATTTCCTTGAATATTTCTCCCTTTACTTCTTGTATCCTTTTTGGATTTTCTTGCATTGGGCTTCACCTTTTTCTGGTGCCTCCCTGATTAGTTTGATAACAAACATCCTGAATTCTTTTTCAGGTAAATAAGGGATTTCTTTTTGGTTTGGATCCATTGCTGGTGAACCAGTGTGATTTTTTAGGGTTGTTAAAGAGCCTGTTTTGTCATATTACCAGAGTTGGTTTACTGGTTCCCTCTCATTTGGATAGGCTCTGTCAGAGGGAAGGTCTAGGGCTGAAGGCTGTTGTTCAGATCCTTTTGTCCCATGGGGTGTTCCCTTGATGTAGTACTCTCCCCCTTTTCCTACGGATGTGGCTTTCTGAGAGCCAAGCTGCAGTGATTGTTATCTCTCTTCTGGATCTAGCCACCCAGCAAGTCTACCAGGCTCTGGCTGATACTGGGGGTTGTCTGCACAGAGTCCTGTGATATGAACCATCTATGGGTCTCTCAGCCATGGATACCAGCACAGTATTTGGGGTGTCTCCCAGGTCCTGCAGGAGCAGTCCACTTCCTTGAGAGGGTCTGTGGGTCCTCTCGGGATTGCCGGTTTGTTTTTGCACTCGTTCTGGAGCTAAAATTCACCATGTGAGCCTCCGCATGCTACTCTGTCCATCCGAGTTGGAGCTGCAATCTCAGCACTACATTTTAAGGCTCATAACCACTTCGTAAGGCCTATTGACATCCATGCCAGCTTTTAAAATGTGGGCTGTCTTTGCTGTGCTCCTTGAACAGCCTGTGAGGTTGTCAGCCCTGGGGTGCCAGTGGCAGCCCAGGATGCTTTCCCATTGTGTGTTGTGGGCTGCCTCTGATTAAATGGGGGTTCAAATCCTTTAGCTCCTGACTTCTCAGCCACACTCGCCAGGTCGGTAAAGCTTCCTCCACCTTCAAGTCTTCTCACGGGTTGTTCCTCCTTCCTCTATCTGGTCCTCAGGTGCTCAGCAGGGCTGACCCTCAGCTCTTTCCTTAGCAAACAGTCATAGAGGGCTCATCCCTGAGCTGCCAAGCCCTGCCCTTGGCTCTAGTGCTGCCTTCCCCAGGGCCTCCCCTCCATTCCTCCTGTTGGCTCCTTTGATGAAATTTGGTAGTCTCTTTTTATTCTTTTTAATTAACGAGTGCATGTGCAATAGCTGACAAAATCTGTACAGCTGACTACTCTCCAATGTTGGTAGAATCAATGTAGGGCCAACTGGTTTTGTCAGCTGTAGAAATGTTTAAAGGTGAAGCTTTTACAAAATGATAGCTCCAAGACAAAACAGTGAGCTCACAGGTAACTGCATTCTTCCTGTTTGCTCATAGAAGGCACCTGGAGACTCCCCACTGGCTGGTAGAATTTGGAGTGACTGTGTCCCTGCTCCCGCATTTATAGAGGGGACAGACATGGACTGTCACCCATGCTCTGGGGGCGCTACAGATGGGAGATGTTCTTGCAGAAAAGTATGAAGAGTCAGACTCCCTGGGTTCTCCCCACGCAACCTTTTTTTCTTGTTTTGTTTTTTTGGTTAAGACTTTGCTGAGGCCAGAGAGGAGCCCTACCAGAGAATGTTGACAAATGGGAGTAGTGCATGGCTCCTGATTAATGTCTAAGCTAAGAAAGAAGCAGTTAAACATTAACTGTTGCATGATTATTGCAACAGCTAAGTCCTGAGGTGACCTGTGAAATGGCACATATAGTTTCATAAAATAATACACAGTTGACCCTTGAGCAACATATGTTTGAATGGCATGAATCCACTTATACACGAATTTTCTTTCATCTCCACAACCCCTGAGACAGCAAGGCCAACCCCTCCTCTTCCTTCTCCTCCTTGGCCTACTCAACATGGAGATGATGAGGATGAAGACCTTTATGATGACCCACTTCCACTGTATGAATAGTAAATATATTTTCTCTTCCTTATGATTTTCTTAATCATCTTTTCTTTTCTTTAGTTTCAAGAATACAACACTTTATTTCAAGAATACAACATATAATACACATGACATACAAAATACGTGTTAATTGACTGTCAATTAGGCTTCTGGTCAACAGTAGGCTATTAGTAGTTAAGTTTTGGGGGAATCCAAAGTTATACATGGACTTTCAACTAAGCGAGGGGTCAGTTCCCCTAACCCCTGTGTTGCTCAGGAGTTAGCTGTGAGGTAGAAGGATAATTGTGGAGCACAGAAGTTGTGATCAGAGAAGCTAAATGTTCAGTTATTGAAGCAGCACGGGCCAGGCAGTATACATGTGAGAAGGTCATGGGGGCACTCCTTGGGGGTGGATTAGAGCATGTTGGCTGCTCCTGGCTTAGTGTCTGTCTGGGACTCACCCTTGACTGACAGGAACTGCTGAGGCCAAGGAGGTGCTTCCTCCCAGGGAAGACTCTAATGCTGTGGGGGTACAAAGTTTCAGCTCAGGTGATCCACAGGGGTATATTTTGGTACTCCCTGCCCAATTTGAGCTTGAGAAGGGCATGGGAATCAGGGATTTAGACCCCCTAGGGATGAAGGTTTGGTCACCCCCACCAGGTAAGCCACATACAAGAGCAGAGGTGCTAGCTCAGGGCAAGGGGAGGCAGAATGGGTACAGGAGGGACATGTACCTCAGTTTTCTGTTGTGCTCTGAGATCAGCTGCAGGAGAGGGGACTGTAGTCTGCCCCACCAATCCTACTCTGTTGAAGTTCACCCAGGAAAACTGATCATTCAGAATCCTGGAGGAAATGGAACCAGCAGCATGAGCGGTGGACTGTGATGAGACCCACCTTCTCCCAGAGGCTGGGGGTGTTAGGTATGAACTGTCCTTAACTCAAAGGAGTCCACTTACCCAAGGCCATGCGCCCTCCCGGGGGCAGCTTGTGCTCCATTACCATTGATGTGGGGGGGGTAGAAAGACCTGGTTTCTTGCTTCAGCTGGGGACAACTCTGAAGGGCCACCCCAGTTCCAGAACTCCCCATGGCTCCAGAGCTCCCCATCACACACAGCAATGCAGGTGAGGTGTCTGCTGACTGCAGCATCAGTGTTCCCTCTCCCTGGCTGGCAAGGGCTGCACCCAGGGCACTCCTCAAGAAACCCCTCTGGGATGAGTCTCTTCGGGAACCTCATCTCAGACACGTTCTAAAGCAACTGCTTCTACCAGTGTTGCGTTTCCTCTAATTTTCTTTTTTTTTTTTTGAGATGAAGTCTCACTCTGTCGCCCAGGCTGGAGTACAGGGGTGGGATCTTGGCTCACTGCAACCTCTGCCTCCCAGGTTCAAGCAATTCTCCTGCCTCAGCCTCCCCAGTAGCTGGGATTATAGGCACACACCACCACACTCAGCTAATTTTTGTATTTTTTTTTAGTGGAGATGGGGTTTCATCATGTTGGCCAGGCTGGTCTCAAAACTCCTGACCTCAAGTGATCCATCCACCTCGGCCTTTTCCCAAAGTGCTGGGATTACAGGCGTGAGCCACCATGCCTGGCCTCTAATTTTCTTTTATTTAACATGCTATTGTTGTTTAAAAAATTTTTTGTTAAATTACCCATAATTATCCTATTCAGAACTGACCGCTTTAATGTTTTTATGTTTCTTACCTTTTAAGAATTCTAGTTGAGACCATACTGTCTTCTCCCTTTAACACCTGACATAGTATCTTAAGTATTTCTCCAGAGCATTAAAAATCCTTTCTAAAGATGATTTTTTAAAGGTGATGTAATATTCCATGGTGGAGGCTGAGCTCTGATAAGTAAACCATTCTCTGATGTCAGGCCTTTAAAACAGCACCCATTGGCTGGGCATGGTGGCTCACGCCTGTAATCCCAGCACTTTGGGAGGCCGAGGTGGGCGGATCACAAGGTCAGGAGATCGAGACCATCCTAGCCAACACGGTGAAATCCCGTCTCTACTAAAACAACAACAGCAACAACAACAAAACCCCAAAAAGTTAGCCGGGCATGGTGGCGGGCGCCTGTAGTCCCAGCTACTTGGGAGGCTGAGGCAGGAGAATGGCGTGAACCCGGGAGGCGGAGCTTGCAGTGAGCAGAGATGGCGCCACTGCACTCCAGCCTGGGCGACAGAGCGAGACCCTGTCTCAAAAAAAAAAAAAAAAAAGTTTGACACATGCTACAACATGGATGAACCTTGAAGACACGATGTGACACAAAAAGACAAATAGCGTATAACTCCCCCTACTGGAGGTATCCAGAACAGTCAAATTCAGAGACAAAGTAAGTGTGGTTACCGAGGGCCTGGGGAAGGGCAAAGGGGTAGTTAATGTTTAATAGGTAGAGTTTCAGCTTGGGATGATGAAAAAGTTTTGGAAATAGATGGTGGTGACTGTTGCACAACAATGCAAATGTACTTAAATGCTACTGAACTTACAAATGATTAAAATGGTAAATGTTATGTATATTTTACCACCATAAAAATAAGTTGATATAAAGAAAAGCATAAGCACAGATGACGTGGCTTAAATCAAGAACCCATCTCTGTAAAAAATAAGCAAAATTAGCTGGGTGTGGTGGTGTGCTCCTGTGGTCCCAGCTACTTGGGAGACTGAGGTGGCAGGAGTGCTTGAGCTCAGGCAGTCAAGGCTGCAGTCAAGACTGCTCTGAATGCACCACTGCAGTCCAGCCTGGCGGAAGCATGAAACCCTGTCTCAGAAAAAAATAAATTCTATTTCTGGCCCCAAAAATGTTTTTAAACCCTCTGCGGTAAATATGCAGGTAAAAAGAGAAGAAAATGTGACATTTATTGAGAATCTATTTTGTATAAATGTTTTAACTATTTAACTATTTTATGTCACTTAGTTCTAATACTGTGATGTAGGCACTAATCCAGATTCAGATTAGGAAGCTGGGTCCCACTGTCAGTAAGTGGCCAGACCACCTTCCAAATTCAGCCTGTCTACCTCCTGATTTTGTGCTTTCTGGTACACCTCACTGCTTCCTGCTTATTCCATTTTACTTTCTTTCCATTGGGCATTGTAAAAAATGTCACCTATTTGGCAGTTTGCATCTGCAGGGAATTAATTTGGAAAAACACAAATTATGGTACCTAAATAATAGAAGCAAATTTTGTCCTTCACAGAAGAACACACACGTCAAAGCTAGAAACAGAACTGAGCACTCACCTGGGACTTGGCTCTTCTGGTTTCCTTTGTTTTGAGCCAGATGTAGTTGCCATATTCCATATGAAATCAGTACAAATCAATAAGGTGAAAGGGTTCTGTGACCAGTCATGGTAGGGTATGGGGAGGGAGTTGCCAGGGACTTTTAGGACCCTGGAAAAGATATAACACATCCTCACCATGGTACTTTGGAAAATGCAAAAAGGGCATCAAGAGCAAAAACCCACCACCATAAAGCACCTCACCACCTAGAAATAACCAGTTCACATTTAGGTCAATATAGTTTCCATTTTTACTGTGCATACACATATATACAATGTATTTTAAAAATGGGCTTTACAATATGTAGTTTGATCACTTGGTTTACAACTAAATATATTGTGAACATTTTGTCTTCTACAACAGTTAAAAGAATTGAATAGCTTGGAGGAAACACAATTTATTAAGCAATCTTGTTGGGGACATTGAGGTATAATTTTTTTTCTAAGGAGGCTTCATTCTTTTTATAATGCCTTTGGGAAAAAAAGGGGAGTTCTTGTCTTATATAGCTTTCTATAGATGATGGAAACTTGCCCTTCCATTTAGCCTTTTTACTTGCTTCTCTACCACCACCTAATCACCAATCAAGTAACCCATTTTGTTTTTCAACCTCTCTCTTCTATTTGCTTCCTCTTTCCTACCCAGTCTCCCTGCACACACGCAGATGGACTTCCATTCCTTCAGCACTCTGGTTCCTCCCCTTAAAGATGTTTTCTTTCCTTTTAAAGAGACTATTTTAATTGATTTTGATCAACTCTACTCAAAACTGTATTCTAAGGTCCACATTAGAATTAGTCTCCAATAATCTGAACATATAATTCAATCATTTAAAAGAACATATTAAGAAGACCTTGGTAGAATTACATGTATCAAGAAACACCAGGCCTTGCACAGTTGCTCACGTGTGTAATCTCAGCACTTCGAGAGGCTGAGGCGAGTGGATCACAAGGTCAGGAGTTCGAGACCAGACTGGCCAATATGGTGAAACCCCCATCTCTACTAAAAATACAAAAAAATTAGCTGGGCATGGTGACACATGCCTGTAATCCCAGTTACTTGGGAGGCTGAGGCAGGAGAATGGCTTGAACCCCGGATGCGGAGGTTGCAGTGAACCAAGATCGCGTCATTGCAGTCCAGCCTGGGTGACAGAGTGAGACTCCGTCTCAAAAAAAAAAAAAAAAAGAAACACTGGACTTAGGCACAATGGAGATATGGCTGACTTTCTTTTGAAAAAAGAAGTAGTTTTTTGGGAGAGGGCAGGGCAAAGAAGTAAGAAGTAGTTCTGTAAGGAAATGTTAGAGACCATTTTGGAAATGTATTCATTATTTTAAGGCAACTACAAATGATCATCTTTCAGTTAGGACATTGTAGCAGCAGCCTTTACTGGTCATGAAATTTGCATGATATCTAAAATTGTATTTCTGGAAATAGGTCAATGTCGATTAATAGTAGCTTTGTATAGAAAGGCAGATGCCAACTAGCATAAAAGTGGTAGTACGTGCAGACGGTGGTAGTTCTGGAGTCCTGGAAGCCACGAGGTGCTCATCCATCACAAGGCCATCTGGAAGGTAGGGATGCTTGGTCATTAAAGCAAACCTCTCTGGCAGTTCATCCTGCTGCCCACAAATGTGGCATATCTATACGCTACTGTGAACCTGCTCTTCTCAGGACACTCACACCTGGAACCTAGCCCAGTGGTGATGCCTTCACTTGCAGGAATGAGCACAACCTGGTTAGATTCTGATTGGGCCCCATGTTCCAGGAAGAGAACATGTTCCCTACACATCCAATCACCCAACCCACACTTATCAAACACCTATCCTGAGCCTGACACCCAGGATGCAAATGGCAAAGACACAATCCCTGTCTGGATTGGGGAATTCCTTCCTGTTCTCAGTGAAATGTTTGCTTTCATTTACTTCCTGGACTTGAATATTTTCCATTTCTAACATCTCCAAGGCCCAGAACTATAATAGGTCTCTGAATTTGGGGGGCCCTAGAAACCTGGCTCAGGCTAGGGTGGAGAGAGGACTGTCGCCTCTTTTCCTCTCCAGGTGCTGCCCTTCTTTTCATTGTATTCCTCAAATCAGTAAAAATCAAGAAGGTGAAAGGGTTCTGTGACCAGTCATGGTAAGGGTTCTGTGACCAGTCATGGTAAGGTATGGGGAGGGGGTTACCAGGGACTTTTAGGACTCTGGAAGTTTCTAAAGGACTAGCAAGGGGCCAAGCCTCTGATAGAATTTGTCGTCAGGGTGGGCTCTAAATGAGCTGCCCATCCTGGTTTGGGTCCCCCTACCCAAAGGAAAGGAACACCAGAGAACATCTCTTGGTTTAACAAGAGACCGAGACTTGTTTATTTTCCTCAATAGAAGTTCAGACCATAAAATGTCAAATAGACTTGAAATACATCTCTATCTGAAAGGCAGCAGGACTAGCCAGGTTCCCGAGGAAATAAATATCAAAGAGGCCAAGGCAACTATCTCATCAGGAGTCTGCGATGCTTTTATAAGCAGAACTTTGGCTGCCAGGCTCTAGCAAGACAAGAGGTACAAGGAGAGCCTGCTAACTAAGCACCCCCCAAGGCAACTACGTAACTTCAAAGGGCAAAAGAAAGAGGAGAACCTCCGCTTACCACAGCCGGGTAGAAATGCCTGAGGAAAGCAGCGGAGCTGACCGTGCCAGCATTTACACAGGGAACACTTCTTGGGCAGCCAGGTGTCATGGGGCACAGACCCACAGTTCCTGAGAATGAACAGGTAAGGCGATAGCCTTGGGTCTGAAATTTCCACTTCCCTTTCTCTCTCCTCTCCACGGCTCCCCGCCCCTCTGAATTGCTTACTCTTTGCGCACATCGTGCTCACAGTTCCGTCCGTAGAAGGAGGGAGGGCAGGCACAAAAGGACCCCAGCATGCAGGTTCCCCCATTCAGGCAGCAGGTTCTGTTTAGCTCCTTACCTGAAAGGTAAGAACAGATGACTGAGGGTGTAGGGATGGAAAAGTGCAAGGGCAATTCCTGTAAGCGAAGGTTAATACAACACCAATGTGTTGTATCAGAGTAAGTCTCTGTGCCTTTGAGCAGAGAAGTCATTTTCATGCATAGGCCAGTGGTGGTTCTGGGTTCCCCAGTGTGAAGTGGACTCAGGGGAGGAAAACTGCACTCTAGGGAAGTAAAATACACAATCCTTGTCTCACTTCCAAAACCAAAAGCAGTCCAGCACCTGCACAGTTCCAGAACCAGGTGCCCTTTTAGGTGAAAGAGTGTTGGAAAGATACTCAGGAGACACATGAAGGGCCAGGGCAGAAGCATCGAAGTCAGGCAGTTCTTACTGTGCTGTATCCCCATGGGCGGCACACGCTGGGAAGACCGAGGCCGAATTGCAGGCTCCTCCTGGGGCCAAATGCTGTCATCTCTGAAGGCCAGGTATCCCCGAGATGGACGAGCAAATTCCTGATGGCCCAGCCCTTAACGACAAAATCAATTCATGGAGTCTGTATTTTAGGCCACATAAAAATTGAGAGTGATCAAAAGAACAAAAGGTCTCTCACCGGCAACTAATCCCAGTTCAAAGACTTTAGAAATGGCCATGATCCAAATCACACTAGGAAGAGGAAGTCAGACATGAGTTAGCCAAACAAAGGAAATAAAACCTTACAAGTTAACACCCAGGTCCTCTCATCACAAGGACAAGACCACAGATCACTGAAAAGAAATTGTAGAGCACCATCTTTCTTTTTTTAATGGCTAATTCATGTAACAAAGAAAAATGTTGAAAAAAAGTCACCAATATCCAAGTCTTTTTAATATATATTATTATTTCTTAGGCCCTGTCCTCACATAAGTACCTAATTTTAAGTAGGTATATGTCTTTTATCTTCTATTTCACATGTTTTCCCCTGCATACAATTTTCATATAAGGATTAAAAAATAGCTGCATCCCATGTTACCGATGAATCATTTTACAAACTACTGTATTTATTTATTTATTTTTGAGAGGGAGTTTCGGTTTTTCACCCAGGCTGGAGTGCAATGGTGCGATCTCGGCTCACTGCCTCCCCTCCCCAGTTCAAGCAATTCTCCTGCCTCAGCCTCCAGAGTAGCTGGGATTACAGGTGCCCGCCACCATGCTTGGCTAATTTTTGTATTTTTAATAGAGACGGGGTTTTGCCATGTTGGCCAGGCTGGTCTCCTGACCTCAGGTGATCCACCCGCCTCTGCCTCCCAAAGTGCTAGGATTACAGGCGTGAGCCACCGCACCCGGCCAAACTATTTTAACCAATCACTTAAAAGGTTTTTAGGTAAAAAATGTGGGTTTTTTTTTTTTTTTTTGCTATTATCTTAATAGTTTTGCCAAGTATTGAATCTGCTTATACCTTTAATCTTTTCGGAAGATTTTAAATTTGGTTGTAGTACTGACCTTTATTTGTACAAGAATAAAGAAACACTATTTCATAGGCAGAGTCATTAACATAAAATGAAAATTAACATTAACACGAAAATGTTAAAAGCCAATGGCAAAGTTAGAAGTAACCATGTGAAATTCCAGGTCTTTCAGGAAAAACAGCAGTGCGGTTGGCAGCTCTTTTAAGGCTTGAGCAAGAGAAAAATCAAATGACAGGTGTAGAACATTACTTCCTAAGCTGGCAATCTCTAGCAATCAAAAAAAGTTCACATTCAAGATTAGCTCATACCTGTAAGAGAAGCGGGCCATCTTCCTGCAGTCCATAGCTTTTAACAATTAGGGGGAAAAGAGGCGTTAGCATCGCTTTAATTCAGAGTCATTGCCAAAACAGCCAAAGGAAAACATTCATCTCCTAAAGCGAAAATGGCAATTTAAGAAGAAAATGAGAAATTCGTTTTCCCCAGAAGGTCGTAGCAGAAGCAGGAGCAAGGCGTCCAGGGGAAACTGGAGGGCTTTCGGCCTTGGACGTTTTGACCTTGAGCTGGAGACTCAGCCTTTCCGGGGATTCTCCTTCTTCAACAACAAACCCCAGTCGGGGCGGGGAGACCTTTCAGGTGGGCGGGACGCCCACCAGCATGACAATGGCCCACACGCGGGAAGAGGAGTCTTGTAAAACTGTGGTTAACTAGCCCTAATATCTCTATCATTAGTTGCAGGCTAAAATGATCAGAGGTACTCTTTTGGGAAAAAAAAAGAAAAAAGAAAAATCAGTTTCTCTAATCAAGTTGGTGATTCCAGGTTGGAGGGGTGGTGGAAAGTAATTGCTTTAATTAGGAAAACCTGAAAATGTATGGGTCTCAAGGCATTCGATATTTTATTTTATTTCAGGAAGTTTTACTTCCTGAAATTTGCTTCCACCTTTGTTTTTCCAGAAGGGTGTTTTGAGCCCCGTACTCCCCCTGGGGGATACCCGGGTGGCCAAGAAAGGGGTGCTCTCCGCCTGAGGAGCTAGGTGTGTGTGTGTGGGGAAGACTAGGAAGCTTGAAACTGAGATAGAAGTTCAGGGTCAGGAGGGGTTCCTTGGGGGCTCCAGACTTGAAGTGCAAATTCCAGGCGGACGTGAATTCCTGAAAGGACGCGGGAGCCGGCGCCAGGTGCCCGGGAGAGGGGAGGGGCGGCCAGAGGCGCAGCAGCTGGGACTCTCCAGTGGGAGTGCCGGCCTGTTCCAGGAAAAAGTTCTAGAACCACGGCAGTCCGGCATGGGAGGCCATTTCAGCCCCCAATCACGGGAATTTATCTCAGCCTCCCAGCTCCCACAGGGCGGCCTCTTCCAGCCCCTCGCCGTCCTGGCCCCACGACACCGAGAATTACCCCCGGACTCTGATGTGCCGCTTGCAGGGGTAAACGTGTTTATTGAGTGGTTCCACTAAGTGCCAGACGCCCCAGATGGAGAGGCGCGTCTATGAGCCGGAGTCGCCTCACCTAACATTTCAATCCTCCGGGTTATTTCATGTGTTATTAAATACGCCCAAAGTCGTTAATAGTTTCTAAATCGCATTTAATTCCAATTTCTAAAGGAAAGCCTGACGGTTACTTAATGTTGCCAGGCACACAAATGCGAAACTTTTATTAGATAGTTGTTTCCATCCATCTCTGTTTATTGGATTTAGGCCTCGGCAGAAAGAATTGGTAGCATCTGAGGCCATTTCAGCGTCAGTGCCTACCTGTGTGAATGCCATGGATCCACAGGTGCTGGGAAGAGGTGTTATTTACTTCTACACATGATTTTTTTTTTTTTTTTTTTTTTTTTTTTGCGACAGAGTCTCCCTCTGTTACCCGGGCTGGAGTGCAATGGCACGATCTTGGCTCACTGCAACCTCCACCTCCTGGGTTCAAGTGATTCTCCTGCCTCATTCTCCTGCCTCAACCTCCTGAGTAGCTGGGATTACAGGCGCCCGCCACAACGCCCGGCTAATTTTTGTATTTTCAGTAGAGACAGGGTTTCACCATGTTGGTCAGTCTGGTCTCAAATTCCTGACCTCATGATCCACCCGCCTCGGCCTCCCAAAGTGCTGGGATTACAGGCATGAGCTACCGCGCCCGGCCTTACACATGATCTTGGGAGAAGCAAACGTAAAATAATTTGTATTGGGGGAGTGAGGCCCCATCCAGTCAATGGTGGGATGCAGCAACATTTCCAACTCCACAGCAGTTGACTATTTCATTCCTGCTGCGCTTCGCCTCCTCCCTGTGTGGCCTTTTCAGGTGAAATGCTTCAGGTAGCATGCTGAGATTCACAGGGGACAGGGGAACATGGCCTGAAGCTCTAGGAGGCCGGAGGTGGGGGAGGGCTCCGCAAAGGAGAAGGCTAGCCCTGGAGCTGCAAGGAGGTTTAAAGATGTTACTCAGTGTGGTACATTTGTAAGGTAGCTTGTGCACCACAGTCCTCACCAGTCCAAGGTGCTAAGTAGATAAGTAGCGCCCACAATATTAGTCTCACTTTATGGACAAGACAACTAGTTCTATTGGGGGATTTGGATGTCTTGTCTTTAGAGACTGGGCAGGCCTGTGGCAGAACTGGCAAAAGAACACACCCCTGCGTTGCTATTTCCTTATCTAAAGCTCTTGTGGAATTTTTAGAGCTTAAATAGGACCCCTGGAAATCACTGCATTTTCAGAGGAAGTAACTGAGGTCTCCAGTCTGGCGATGTTGTCATTGACGGGACCAGAACCCCAGGATGCCAGCTTTTCAGCCACACAAAATCCCTTCTCTAAGGACCAGAACCCCCTGAAGAGATTCCCATTCCCCATAGGTACTGACTGCAGAGGAAGCCAAGTGGATCCAGGGTATTCAGAGCCTGGGCCAGGTTTTGGGATGGGGGGTGGGGAGAAGGGGAAGGGAAGGGCTGTGGTGTTTAAGAGAGGTTAGATATTTGCCGTTGGGCTGGAGATGTAAGGGCTATTTAACAGGTATTTGATGTCTACTACTGGGCGGCCTGTAGACTGGAGTTTGGCGCTGGAGAAACAGTTGTGAGAAGTAACCCCACTGTGAGGCTGGAGAGAAAGAACAGTAATTGTTGATTCTAATTGTACTAACTGCAAAAAGTTGTTGCTGCCTCCAGGTGGGGGAATTGAATGGCTACCCTAGGATGGCCACTGGTCACCTCTGCTTGGTCACTGTTGAAACTGGGCTGCTGGCCAGCCTCCAGGCCAATGAGTGCTTTGTGTCAAAAGGTCAGGCCTAGGATTGGGAAGTGCTGTGCAACGGGGGTTCCCCAATCACAGGCAGCCCATCTCATCCCTTACAAAAGGCACTGAGAGCAGAAAATGAAAAACAATGCTCTTGGTGTTGGCCATTTCTTGGTACTGCCCTTGAGACATTGTGTATTAAAAACTGGGGCAGAATTGTGTTTAAAAATCACACAAATAAGCATTTGACTTAAAACCATCCAAACAAGAATGGTGGAATGAAATACATCATAATCAAAGGACAGACTTCCTGTGTCTGCCTAAAATTCAAGGAAGAAAATAAACTTGGAGAATGGGATCAATTTTAGCTATCAAAAGCCAATTCGACCTTGTTTAAATAGTTGAGAACACGTAGAACTAAATTCCAACCAAAGAGTTAACAAAAGAATGCCATGTCTGCACTACAATGACAGTATTTCAAGGTAAAAGCCTTCTTTTATCATAGGGCACTTAGGTCTTACCTCTGTCATTGTTCCCTTGAACATCCAGGCAGGCCAGAAGATAAGAGAGAGCAGAGGGGGCGGGGGAGTTCTGTATATGTATGTACCCTCCAGCTGAGGAATGCTGGGGCCTCTAATTTCATCAAGCTTAGCTTCTGTTAACACCTGAGCTACACTCCTGCGGAAGCATTATCCACCCAATGTGTCCTGGCCACACTTCATTAACAAGTTAATGGCTTTCTGTTTTCACTGGCAAACTTACAAATTGCAACTGGAAACTTACTCTGTATTTGCCAAAGGTCTCTGTGTGGGACATAAAAGGACAGATTCCTGCATTCAAAAATCTGCAATTTCAGTGGGGAAGACATGCTCAAGCAAGTCATTTTAGAGCCATATTGTTACATAAATGGCGTAAGAGGAATGGAGAAGGGCTTAAGAGAGGACTTCATTTTTTTTCCGTGCGCCATGGGGGCCGTATCATATTTCTTCCTATGTAGACATAGTATACATTATTTTATCAATGAATAGACATGACATGTTTCCACGTTTTGTGGTGAACTTCCTTGTACATATATCTTGGTGAACGCTTGAGAGCATATTCCTCTTGTAAATTTCTAGCACTGGAATTGCTTGGTTAAAGGGTGGATGCTTCCAAATTATTTTCGAAGAAGCCTGCACCAATCTCCTCTCCGCCCCTCCTCCCTCCCCCTTGAGTTGGTATTGAGAGCTTATCTCCCAAGTACTTACCAGGTCTGGCTGCAGCAAGCATCTTAAATTTTGTTAATACAGTATGTGAAAAGTAGTATTTCATTGTTGCTTGGTTATTGGGTGTTTGTATTTCATTTTCTATGACCTGGCTGGTCCTTCTTACAGAGCACTTGGACTGGCTTCTTTGAGACTCAGCCCAAATTTCATTTGCTCTGGGAAGTCCTTGCTGAGACCATCCTCCCTACTCCAGCTTCCAGCTGTTCTGAGAGCCCTGTCCTGGCAACCACCGTCCCCAGATTTTATCTTGTCTTCACTGCATATATATATATATATATATATATATATATATTTTTTTTTTTTTTTTTTTTTTAGATGGAGTTTCACTCTTTCTGCCCAGGCTGGAGTGCAATGGCGCGATCTCAGCTCACCGCAACCTCCACCTCCCAGGTTCAAGCGATTCTCCTGCCTCAGTCCCCTGAGTAGCTGGGATTACAGGCATGAGCCACCACACCTGGCTAATTTTGTGTTTTTAGTAGAGACGGGGTTTTACCATGTTGGCCAGGCTGGTTTCAAACTCCCAACCTCAGGCAATCTGCCTGCCTCAGCCTCCCAAAGTGCTGGGATTACAGGCATGAGTCACCTTGCTCGGTCTCACTGTATTGTAAACTGCTTTGTGTGTGTGTGTGTGTGTGTGTGTGTGTGTGTGTGTTTGTCTTTCACCAACTCTTCCCCCTATCCTTTATTCCCTTGGACTAAGAGGTCCAGAAATCTGGTCTTCCAGAAACCTTAGCTTCTCCAACCTCTAGTGCAGTGTTTACCTGTGCTGATTTTCTTTTGGCTTAGTCTTTCTCCACCAGCCACATCTGTGACAGACACATATTAAATCTCAGCCCTATTTTCTAAAATGGGGTTGGGGCGAGGGCAAGGTCCTTGAGAAGTGCCACAGGAAAACAACTTGTTTCCTCAAGCCTCATCCTAGAAATAAAACAAAGAATACCCTCTTCCCCCAGCAAAGAAGGGAAAAAAGACAAATTTGAAATACGTAACCCAAACCACCACTGATATTCTGGGCTGAATTCTGGGCAACTTGTTAAGAGTATTTACCATATACGGCCGGGCGCGGTGGCTCACGCCTGGAATCCCAGCACTTTAGGAGGCCGAGGCGGGCAGATCACGAGGTCAGGAGATCGAGACCATCCTGGCTAACACAGTGAAGCCCCGTCTCTACTAAAAATACAAAAAATTAGCCGGGTGTGGTGGTGGGCGCCTGTAGTCCCAGCTACTCAGGAGGCTGAGGCAGGAGAATGGCGTGAACCCGGGAGGCAGAGCTTGCAGTGAGCCGAGATCGCGCCACTGCACTCCAGCCTGGGTGACAGAGTGAGACTCCGTCTCAAAAAAAAAAAAAAAGAGCATTTAACACATATAAGACAAGATAATTTTGATGTACTTACTGGGAACCATGTTAGACTATGGAAAATCTGATTTAACCTTTTTTTTTTTGAGATGGAGTTTCACTCTTGATGCTCAGGCTGGAGTGCAATGGCACGATCTTGGCTCACCGCAACCTCTGCTTCCCAGGTTCAAGCGATTCCCCTGCCTCAGCCTCCTAGATAGCTGGGATTACAGGTGTGCGCCACCATGCCTGGCTAATTTTGTATTTTTAGTACAGAAGAGGTTTCACCATGTTGGCCAGGCTGGTCTCGAACTCCTGACCTCAGGCAATCTGCCTGCCTTGGCCTCTCAAAGTGCTGGGATTACAGGCATGAGCCACCGTGCCGAGCCCTGATTTAGACTTTTAGACATAGCTATAATTTAGAATTCTTTTACACTAAAATCTTAATTTTTTTCAATTAAATTCAACAAATATTTACTGATCAGCTATCTGTGCTTAGCACGATGGGGTAGACAGAGATTTCCAAGGTAGGGCTCCTGCTCCCATCTCCCCTCCCCCGAGATAAGACAAGCCCAGTAATCTAAATGAAGTGCCATTTTAGTGTGATCAGTAAGCTGCTGATGGTGAGGAGGCAGTCACTTCCTAATTTCCTACCAACCAAGTCAAGGCCATTTGGCCCCAGCAGACAGATAGATGGGCAGACAGACTCCCAGGAGTTAGACTTGGGAGGCAAGCTGGGGTCTCACTTGGTTTTCATGACCTGGACAATCTAATTTAAAAGTGCTTCTTAAGCCGGTGGGGTGGCTCATGCCTGTAATCCCAGCGCTTTCGGAGGCCAAGGCAGGTGGATCACCTGAGGTCAGGAGTTTGAGACCAGCCTAACCAACATTCAGAAACCCTGTCTCTGCTGAAAATACAAAATTAGCCAGGCGTGGTGGCGGGTGCCTGTAATCCGAGCTACTCAGGAGGCTGAGGCAGGAGAATTGCTTGAACCCGGGGGGCAGAGGTTGTGGTGAGCTGAGATCAGGCCATTGCACTCCAGCCTGGGCAACAAGAGTGAAACTCCATCTCAAAAAAAAAAAACAAAAAAAAAAAAAACAAAAAAACAAACAACAACAATAAAAAAACAAGTGCTTCTTACGTGGTGGATTTTGTATTTGATCACATACAGCTCTTAATGGCTATTTTATTTTTTTGAGATGGAGTCTTGCTATGTTGCCCAGGCTGTAGTGCAGTGGTGCCATCTTGGCTTACTGCAGCCTCTACCTGCTGCTGGGTTCAAGTGATTTTCATGCCTCAGCTTCCCGAGTAGCTGGGACTACGGGCACGTGCCACCACACCTGGCTAATTTCTTTTCTTTTCTTTTTTTTTTTTTTTGAGACGGAGTCTCACTCTTGTCTCCCAGGCTGGAGGGCTGTGACACAGTCTCAGCTCACTGCAACCTCCACCTCCAGGGTTCAGATGATTCTCCTGCCTCAGCCTCCTGAGTTGCTGGGATTACAGGTGCCTGCCACTATGCCTGGCTAATTTTTTGTATTTTTAGTAGAGACAGGGTTTCACTATGTTGGACAGGCTGGTCTCGAACTCCGGACCTCAGGTGATCCACCTGACTCGGCCTTCCAAAGTGCTGGGATTACAGGCACGAACCACCACACCCAGCGCTACTTTGATTTTTAGATCCCACAAAGAAGTGAGAACATGGGATGTTTGTCTTTCAGTGCCTGGCTTATTTCACTTAACATAATCATCTCCAGTTCCATTCATGTCATTGCAAATGACTGGATCTCATTCTTTTTTATGGCTGAATAGTATTCCATTGTGTATATGTACCACATTTTCTTTATCCATTCATCTGCTGATGGACACTTAGGTTGCTTCCAAATCTTGGTTATTGTAAACAGTGCTGCAACAAACAGGAATGCAGATATCTCTTTGATATACTGATTTCCTTTCTTTTGTGTGTATACCCAGCAGTAGAATTCTGGCTCATATGGTAGCTCAATTTTTAGTTTTTTGAGGAATCTCCAAACTGTTCTCCATAGTGGTTGTACTAATTTACATTCCCTCTAACAGTGTACAAGGGTTCCCTTTCTCCACATCCTCACCAGCATTTGTTATTGCCTGTCTTTTGGATATAAGCCATTTTAACTGAGTTGAGATGATATCTTATTGTAGTTTTGATCTGCATTTCTCTGATGATCAGTGATGTTGAGCATCCTTTCATATGCCTGTGTGCCATTTGTATATCTTCTTTTGAGAAATCTATTCAAATCTTTTGCCCAGTTTTTTTGATCAGATTGTTAGATTTTTTTCCTATAGCGTTGAGCTCCTTATATATTCTCATTATTAATCTCTTATCAAATGGGTAGTTTGAAAATATTTTCTCCCTTTCTGTGGGTTGTCTCTTCACTTTGTTGATTTTATCCTTTGCTATGCAGAAGCTTTTTAACTTGATGTAATCCTATTTGTCCATTTTTGCTTTGGTTGCCTGTGTTTGTGGGGTATTTGTGTGGTTGTGGCCTGTGGTTATGGCATTGACCAGACCAAGGTCTTGGGGATTTTGCCCAATGTTTTCTTGTAGTAGTTTCATAGTTTGAAGTCTTAGATTTAAGTCTTTAATCCATTTTGATTTGATTTTTGTATGTGGTGAGAGATAGGGGTCTAGTTTCATTCTTTTGCATATGGATATCCTGTTTTCCCAGCACCTTTTATTGAAGAGACTGTTCTTTTCCCTAGCATATGTTCTTGGTTCCTTTGTCAAAAATGAGTTCACTGTAGGTGTGTGGATTTGTTTCTGGGTTCTCTATTCTGTTCCATGGTCTATGTGTCTGTTTTTATGCCAGTACCATGCTGTTTTGGTTACTATAGCTCTGTGGTATAATTTGAAGTCAGGTAATGTGATTTCTCCAGTTTTGTTATTTTGCTTAGGGTAGCTTTGGCTATTCTGGGTCTTCTGTGGTTTCATATAAATTTTAGAATTGTTTTTTCTATTTCTGTGAAAAATGTCCAGTATTTTGATAGGGACTGCGTTGAATCTGTAGATTGCTTAGGGTAGTGTGGACATTTTAGCAACATTGATTCTTCCAACACATGAACATGGAATGTTTTTCCATTTTTTGGTATTTTCTTCAATTTCCTTCATCAGCGTTTTATAGTTTTTATTATAGAGATCTTTCACTTCTTTGGTTAAGTTAATTCCTAGGTATTTAATTTTATGTGTGGTTATTGTACATGGGATTACTTTTTAAATTTCATTTTCATATTGTTCACTGTTGGCCTATAGAAATGCTACTGACTTTTTTTTTTTTTTTTTTTTTTTTTTAAGACAGGGTCTCTGTTTCCCAGGCTGGAGTGCAATGGCACAATCTCGGTTCACTGCAACTTCTGACTCCTGGGCTCAGATTATCCTCCTACCTCAGCCTCCCAAGTAGCTGGGACTACAGGTATATACCACCATGCCTGGTTAATTTTTGTATTTTTTTTTTTTTTGTAGAGATGGGGTTTTGCCATGTTGCTCAAGCTGGTCTCAAACTCCTAGGGTCCAGCAATCCACCTGCCATGGCCTCCCAAAGTGCTGGGATTACAGGTGTGAGCCACTGTGCCCAGCCTGCTACTGGTTTTTGTATGTTGATTTTGTTTCTTGCAACTTTACTGAATTTGTTTAGTTTATCAGTTCTAATAGTTTTCTTGTGGAATCTTTAGGTTTTTCCAAATATAAGACCATATCATTAGCAAACAGATAATTTAACTTCTTCCTTTCCAATTTGGATGCCCTTTATATCTTTCTCTTGTCTG
This sequence comes from Homo sapiens, assembly GCF_000001405.40. Lineage (NCBI taxonomy): Eukaryota > Metazoa > Chordata > Mammalia > Primates > Hominidae > Homo > Homo sapiens. The sequence continues at coordinate 46,568,708 of NC_000003.12, read as the reverse complement.
ATTGCTCTAGCTAGGACTTCCAGTTCTATGTTGAATAACAGTGGTGACAGTGGGCATCCTTGCTGTGTTCCAGATATTAGAAGAAGGGCTTTCAGTTTTTCCCCATTCAGTAAGGATACTAGCTGTGGATCTGTCATATATGGCTTTTATTATGTTGAGGTATGTTCCTTCAAAACTCAGTTTTTTTGAGGGTTTTTATCATAAAGGAATGTTGAATTTTATCCAGTGCTTTTTCAGCATCAGTTAAAATGATCATATGATTTTTATCCTTTATTCTGTTAATCTGATGTATTGTGTCAATTGATTTGTGTATGTTGAACTATCCTTGTATCCCAGGCATAAATTCCACTTGGTCATGGTGAATGATCTTTCTAATGTAGTGCTGAATTCGGCTTGCCAGTATTTTTGTTGAAGATTTTTGCATCAATATTCATCAGAGATGAATTTTGACCTGTAGTTTTCTTTTTTTTTGATGTGTCTTTCTCTGGTTTTGGTATCAGGGTAATACTGGCCTATAAAATGAGTTTGCAAGTATCCCTTCCTCCTCTATTTTCTGGAATAGTTTGGGTAGGATTGGTATTAGCTCTTCTTTAAATGTTTGGTAGAATTCAGCAGTGAAGCCATCAGGTTCTGGGCATTTTTTTACTGGGAGACTTTTTATTACAGCCTTGATCTTGTTACTTGTTATTGGTCTGTTCAGGTTTTGAATTTCTTCCTGATTCAATCTTTGTAGGTTGTATGTACCTAGAAGTTTGTTCATTTCTTCTAGACTTTCCAATTTATTGGCATACAGTTGCTCAATGAGTGGATTTTTAAAAGTAAAAGAAGGAGACAGAGAGGGATTGATATAAAGTTATTTGTTATGAATTTTCATTGGTTTACAGAAATAACATTGATAAGTGATTGGCTATATATCCTTTAGCTATAGGGTGTGGTTATAGTGTCTGGCGTGTTGCTATTAGGCTAATTTACAGCTACTTGTGACAATAGCAAGTAATTTCAAGAGATGAAGACATATAGCTCAAAGAGGGGAGTAGGGCATGAGTGCAGTTTCATTTTAATGTCTCCTTGGGCCTGATAATGAAAAAAACTTGCATTTCTCAGATAAAAGTCCTTTTTTTTTTGAGACAGAATTTCGCTCTTGTTGCTCAGGCTGGAGTGCAATGGTGCGATCTCGGCTCACTGCAACCTCGGCCTCCCGGGTTCAAGCAATTCTCCTGCCTCAGCCTCCCCAGTAGCTGGGATTGCAGGCGCCTGCCACTACGCCCAGCTAATTTTATATTTTTAGTAGAGACGGGGTTTCTCCCTGTTGGCCAGGCTGGTCTCAAACTCCCGACCTCAGGTGATCCACCTGCCTCGGCCTCCCAAAGTGCTGGGATTACAGGCGTGAGCCACCGTGCCCCACCAAAAAGCATTATTTTCAAAAGGCCAGGCACGGTGGCTCATGCCTGTAATTCCAGCACTTTGGGAGGCCGAGGTGGGCGGGTCACCTGAGGTCAGGAATTCTAGACCAGCCTGGCCAACATGGTGAAACCCCATCTCTACAAAAATACAAAAATTAGCCGCGCGTGGTGGCAGGCGCCTGTAATCCCAGCTACTGGGGAGGCTGAGGCAGGAGGATCGCTTGAACCCGGGAGGCGCAGGTTGCAGTGAGCCGAGATCACACCACTGCACTCCAGCGTGGGCGACAGTGAGACTCCTCTCAAAAAAAAAAAAAAAAAAAGAAAAGAAAAGAAAATAATGATTTTTAAGGAAATGAATTTTAGAAGTATGACACATATATCACACAAAAGGTATTTTTCAGTTTAGGCTAAGGGATATGAGGAGCCATTGCCATTAAGGATCAGGACGTGTTCACATGGACTCCTGGGAGCAGCCAGGGAGTTGATTACTGATTATTAACTTGTCATATTTTCACGATGTCGGCTATCAGCAAAACATATTTGGCCAATTAGTAAAGTATCTAAAGAGAACCTAAACTCACATACATTTTAGGATATTAAAAAGATAAAATGTAACGGTGAAATTGAGACCTTCGATGTCTGCTGCTTCCAACATCGAAAACACTTTTACATTCCCTTGGTCATATGGCTTTCAAAGCCTGCGTCTGGCTGGGTTCCCAGCTTAGCGTGCTGAGCACTCGGAACCAGCTCCCTTCCATTCCACACCCTCCGGGATCTCCAGTGTGAAAATGTCTGGCCCTGGGTAGGAGGCTGCAGATAGTCCCTGGGCCGGGGCTCGCGCTGGCCGGCTGCAGCGCGCAGGGTGCCAAGCCCTCCCCTACGAAGTCTGTTTTGTCTCAGGCTGGGCTGAGTCACATAGAATAGATAGATAGTTGATTTAGCACATGTCCTCCAGATCATATTATCCGCCTACAAATATAGCCTGTTAGCGCACAGGCACGGGAGGCTTCTTCCGGCTCGGCCGTGCTGCTCAGCGGGTGTAAACAGCCTCTGCGGTGTAAACAGCCTCTGCGGTGTAAACAGCCGCGGCGGGCAGGCCAGGACTGTCAGTGCCCGCCCCTCGGGGCAGGTAAGCGCTGGGCGTCCGAGGTGGCCGGGGGGCGGGAGCGGGGGCCTTGCGCTCCCCGTGGGAGGACGCGGGCGGATGGCCGGTGCCCCGGGCGCTCAGTTGTTTAATCCTTCCTCTGTGCCTTGGTGACCTGCAATCTGCCGGAGCGACAGGGGTAAACGTCCCTAACCGGACAGCGGCTGGGGCTTAGGCATCCACCGTTATCTGAGGTCCAGGACTATGGTGGGAAGGCGAGAAAGGAGAGAGCGTGGGGAGGCAGGGGTCCCCGCGAGTGAATCTTGCTCCGGCTTAGCAGTTCCCCTGCGCGTACTGCTCCGGCGCCCAAGGCTGAGCCCAAAGCTTTCTGGTCCAAAGCGCTGTCCAGGGGAGATAAATCAACTTTGTTTGTGTCCTGAATGGTATGATTGACACATGGCCCTGGCGGGGAAGTCTTTTCTTCCAGCGTCTCACGCCCCCTGGCTTGGGGTGGGGACAGGCCTGAGGCAAGGGCGGAAAGTGACTGGAGACCCAGAGGAGGAGGAATTGTCTGGCTTGTTAGCGGCTCTGCCCTGTTGCTAGCTCTTCTGCTGGACCAAACCCTCTCCCAGAACTCAGGGACTGGGGGGTTCACCCATTATTCACCCAAAGAACCTCTGCTAATCATGCCAGGTGGAGGAAAAACCCTCGGATGCTCACATACCTCTTGTTTTTGTCTTACATTTAATTGGTGACAGGGATTCTTAGTTTCCTTTCTTTTTTCTTTAAATGATTGAACTTTTTTTTGATCTTGCTAGGTGCCAGGTACTGTCTTAAGCTCTTGACACAATGATCCTATGTGATGTTCTCGCCAACCTGTGAGCTCAGTGCTGTTTGCTCCATCACGTCCACATGAGAACATCAGGCTCAGAGAGGTTAGGCTGTGTTCTCAGGGACATGTGGCCAGAGAGTGGGTAGGCAGGGCTCCCGCCCAGGCAGCTTGGCCTTGGAATTGCCCTCTTAATCCCGTCTGGACCCTCTGCCTCCCCTGGCTGGATTTTCTAGCTAAACAAATTACAATAAAATTAATCAGAAGTCCCCAGGGAAACTCTGATCATGTGGCATAAATGTCATTTAATTCAGAATTTGGCTGACTATACTGACCTTACTTGACTATTTAGCTCCTATTTACCCCCGTTTCTATCAGAAAACTCACTGCGTTCATTCCAACGCTGGTGTCCAGGCAGTGGCCTTATGTGAGGATAGAATGGAATTTGTGAGTCACCAAAGCTCCTTGGTTGTCATATTATTGCCCATTGTATCTTGGTGCCCCCAGAAATTCCCATGGGTTACAGTGGTTCTCTTGGATACAGCAAGGCTGATGATAGAGGTTTTCCTTACATTGATGACACGCCTGGAAGGGTGCTGTGGAGGGCTTGGAGCTGGGCAGCCTGGGGTGGAGGGGTCCTGGGAGTTCTGAGGGGCAGGTGTGGAGGAGAGAGCCTCTCTCTGCATGGCTGGTTAAGGTGACCTCTGGCATCAGCTCCGTCCTCCTCTCCTGCTCCATCCCTTGCTCCTGTCCCCCTCCCAGCCTCCCAGTGGGAGTGCCAAGAATGGCTTGGCACCTGCATGATGAGGTGAGTCTCCTCCCAGACTTTGTTGAGTCTCCTCCCAAACTCCCCCAGATCCTTCTTAGGATGCTCTGAGAGGTTAACCCTGCACCCACTCCACACCTCCTACCTAGCAACCCAGTGTAATTTGACAAGAAGGGAGAGGACTAGGTGACCGGAAAACCCCCCCTCCCCCTGGCATATGACTTCTGAGTGGAGACTAGTGCCCTGGTGCCAGGGGACATGTTTTTCCAGTCATGCCCTCTGGCTCTGTAAAGTGGATGGCTCTGTAAAGTGGATGGCTCTGTAAAGTGGTTCTGATATAACTGGGTTGGGGAGGAGGGTGTGGAAAGTTATTCAGCCAAACCTGCCCTGTCAGCCCTTTCCCCTTCCTCAAGGTCCCTGCAGGACTCTCCCAACCCCTCCCCCACCCTTTCTCTTTTGGCTTCTACAGGGGTTGGTTCAGCCTCTGTTGTCTAATGAACGTGCTGTGCTCAAATATATCCTTTGATGCTCTCCCCTCTAGATTGGGAACTTGGAGTCATGGACAAGGCTTCTGTCTTTCTGCATTTAATGAATGTCCATAAATGTCACTTAGGGTTCCTAGGCATTGAAAAACAGAAATACAAACTAAGTACACTGGCTCAGTACACACGGTTTCTGTGTTGAGGTTCAGAAGCAGGAGACTGGCATCTGTAGCCCTTGGACTACTCAAAACCCCCTCATTTGATGGCCATAGCACACCTCTGTCTGCAGGGGCTTGGACAAGGTGATGGAGAGGCCCCACCAGTTCCCATCGTATGCTACAGTATGACCTGCTCAGCTGAACTCATGGGGGCCGGTGTGTGAACCCAAGTCTGGGGACTCCCAAGTGGCTGCTCCTGTCAGTAAACTGTGGCTCGTCTATGGCTTGGTCCATGGACAGACAAAATATAATGAATCAAATACTTTAACTTGCATGAAGTATTGTGATGCAAATAAACAGTAGACTGAGAAATAAAATAACAGGCGGGTTTACTTTAGATGAGGAGGCTGGGAAGGCCAGACAGGAGAAAACATTTAAGGTGGGTTCCAGGGGTGTGGGGAGGAAGCCATGTGACTTGGGGAGGAATGCTCTAGGCTGAGGGAGCAGTGTGTGCTGAGCTCTGAGGGGGAAGAGGCGTGGGGTGGATAAGCACAGAGGAGGGGAGCAGGAGGGGTGAGGTGGGATGGGCAGGCCGAGGGCAGACCATGCCAGGGGCTCACTGCCTCTGTGGAAAGCTGGGATCTCATTCTCATTTCAAAGGCAGGCCTTGGGGAGATTTGTGCCAGGTGGTGGCATGATCTAGTTCTCATTGGAAAGTGACTCTCACTATTGAGTAGAAGATGGGGTTGAGTGGGAAGCCAGGAGACCAATTAGGGGGCCTTTCCCCAACTGAGGCAAGGCGTGACACTAGTTGGTGGTGAGAAATGCATGCCCTCTAAGATGTAGGTGATAACTGGAGGTGTGGATGAATGTGTGTGTGTGTGCATGCATGTGTGTGTGTGCATACTATCTGCATAGTGGGTGGGCAGAGTGAGGAAACGAAGCAAAAGAAGTGACTTCTGGCCGAGTACAGTGGCTCATACCTGTAATCTCAGCACTTTGGGATGCCGAGGCGGGCAGATCACCTGAGGTCAGGAGTTTGAGACTAGCCTGGTCAACATGGTGAAACCCTATCTCTACTAAAAATACAAAAATTAGCCGGATATGGTGGCTTTTGCCTGTAATCCCAGCTACTCAGGAGGCTGAGGAAGAATTGCTTGAACCCAGGAAGTGAAGTTTGCAGTGAGCTGAGATTGTGCCACTGCACTCCAGCCTGGGTGACAGAGTGAGACTTCATCTCAAAAAAAAAAAAAAAGAAGTAACTTCTAGATCTTCTAGATTATGATGGAGTCATTCCTGAGGTGTGGAATTAAAGGAGGCCTAGGATGGACAAACTCTAAAGGAGCAAGTTTGGAGAACATCATGTTTCTTTGAGATATGTGTGAGACATCCAAGTGCATATTCAAGGAGGCAGCTGAACATGCACACCAGATGGCACCAGAAGTTAAGACTGATTTTTAAAGTGTCTTTTATAAAAATCCACTGTCTTGGTTATTTATTGCTGCATAACAGTTTATTCTAGACTGTTAGTTTAGAATAACACACATTTATTATCTCACAGTTTCTGAGAGTCAGAAATCCAGGGCAGTTTAGCTGAGTGTTTCTGGCTTAGGGTCTCATGAAGTTGTGGTCAAGATGTCCACAGGGGCTGCCGTCATCTGAAGGCTTGACTGGGGATGGAGGATCTGCTTTTAAGACAGCCCCCTCTCATGGCTGTTGACAGGAGGCCTCAGTTCCTCTCCTTGTGAAGCTTTTCCACAAGGCTGCTTGAGCATCATCATGACATGGCAGCTGACTTCCTAGAGTGAGTGATCTGACAGAGAGTGAAGACCTAGTCTCAGAAGCCACACACCATTACTTTCACCACATTCTAGTCATTAGAAGTGAGTCACTAAGTCTAGCCCATGCTCAAGGGGGGAGGAATTAAGTTCTACCTTTTTAAAGGGAAGAATGTGAAAGACTTTGTGGATATAGTTTAAAACCATCACATCCACCAAAGCAAAATATTTTACATTTTATTGTCCACTAAAGCTAGGATCAGTAAACTATAACCTGCAGGCCTGGCACCTGTTTACATATGGAATGTGGGCACTGCTGGAGCATCTGGGGACCAAGCTGGGGTATTTTCTTCTGTTTCTACTCCCCCACTGCTCTCAGCTCCTGTCCACCTGGCCAGCTGTACCTTGCTGCAGTCCAGGGCCCACCCTGGTTGCCATCTACACATTGGAGACTCTATTGTTAGCAACCAAGCAATGGAATCTCAGTTCAGGAGCTGGTGACTGAGTAGGTCACCTTGCTTCCAGCCAGCTATCCAACTTGTGATGACGGGAGGAGAGAAGGACACACAGGCACCTGTCTGGGTGATACTGGGGCAGAGAAAGAAATGGACTGCAGCAGGCTCACTCCCCGGCCCCTTCCCCTGCCAACCTCTCCCCTCTCTTTTTGTTTTTTTGAGACCCAGGCTGGAGTGCACTGATGCAATCTCAGCTCACTGCAACATCTGCCTCCCAGGCCCAAGTGATCCTCTCACATCAACCTCCTTAGTAGCTGGGACCACAGATGCATGCCACCACCCAGCTATTTTATTTATTCATTTTATTTTTTATTTTTGGTAAAGACAGGGTTTTGCCATGTTGCCCAGGCTGCTCTCAAACTCCTGAGCTTAAGCAATCCACCCACCTCAGCCTCCCAAAGTGCTGTGATTACAGGTGGGAGCCACTGCACCCAGCCACCCTGCCCCTTTTTCACCATACCTACTAGCCCTTTCCCTCTTGGGCTAGTCCCTCTTGTTCTGAGAATGTTTTTGGCAAGCAGCAGCTGGACATGAAACATGCTAACTACTCCGGATGGTTCTCTGGGGGCAAGCAGGGAGAGGCTCGCCAGAGGGTTCTCCTTTGTTATGTAAACGCCTACATATATCTTCAATTTTGCTTATTGGCCTGGGAAACCTCTATTATTTACCATCAAGTTTTCTCAGCCCTGTACTAAAACAAAAGATTTTCCAGGCATTATTTTCCTTAATCTAACCTTTGAGAGTGTGCTGATGGTTAACATTTTCACTCAGGAGCTGGAACACTAAGTGTCTGGGAGTCCTTGGACTGGAGAGGAACATGGCTGATGACACTTTGTGGCCCCAGTGTTCTTTCCTTTACAGTGAGAGATGCCACCGTTCTCCTTCTGTCTCATCATTGCAGGTGTTTTCTTCTCTGGAAGATGCTCTGTGACTGTGGACAGTGTAGCCCAAATTGAGGGAGGCTTGTTCTCATAATTCTGCTACAACCACACAAAACCAGACCCACAGCAGGGAACCGGAATCAGATGCTGTCTTGGAACCATGACACTTTGCTGTCAAATTCAACGAGGGTCCAGGCTGAAGCTTTACACTTAGGCTGCTTTGTAGAATCTACTTCGTTGTAAAGTTTCCTATAAGAGGATATTGCTTTGTTTGTATTGAGGGTCTCTTGACTGGATCCCGTAGAGGTTAATTTTTCCCTTTTCTGTGTTGGGGTAGCATATGATGATGATGACATTTCTATAGTCCTAAAGAAAGTTAATGCTTAGGACATTGCATTCTATGTCTTTGCCTGAAAGATTGTGTTGACTAGAGTTTATTTTACAAAGAAGAGATTAGCTTTGTAAATTTGTGAGGAGATCTCTCCCCTGAGCTGCTGAGGGACTGGCACCTGTGTCTGTCCCTGACAACTGTGTCCTATGGGCTCCCCAGTGTGGTTTCTCCCCTGGATGGAGGGTCTCCTCCTTACCCTGGACTGACACATGGACTCTCATTTGAACTACTTTCTCAGTCTCAGAACCCACCCATGAACTACTACCTTCTAGGTTAAGGTAAAATTTGTCCAGTTGTCTAGAGAGGTCTGGACTTATCTCTGTCCTACATGGGATGCCAAGGGCTGGGCTGGACCTGGCACTTAGGATCTTGTATGTCATAGCTTCCCAGCACCTCTGGACATCACATGTAAATCTCTAGCAAATGTGGTCATCACCTACTGTTCTTAGTCTCCAGTTTTCATTATACATGTTGCAAACAAAACTTCGCAAGATGCTGATTTACATCCTGGCACATTCAACGCCCCCTTAATTGTATAAGAGAACTTCTTTTCCTGCTTTTTAAAAACACAGGGAAAATGGTGAACATGGTTAGATGACAGACAGAATATGCTCTTTCCCACCAAAATACTGAGAGTAGTAATGACTTATAACTACTTAAAAATATGTCAGGGCCTTTGGTAATTAAATTTCATAATTCCAGGAATTTATCAAAGATGATTAAGCCATTTTTTGTTGACATGATCAAATATTTAGAACACAAAGACATTAAGAAGAGACCATTCCTCTAAGATGGGAACTAGAATTACATTTCTCTAAGTTAATACATAGAAATTCATAAGCAATGATTTTAAAAATGTAGGGGCAGTTAATGTACAGCTCTGGCTACTAGCCAAGGGCTAACTGGCCTGAGGAAATGAAAGAACCTCAACAACAGAGTCTGTGATGTGTCTGGTTGATCTAGAGAACACGAGCCCTGTGTGTAGGGAGTAATTCTTCCAGCTTCAGTTACTGTGGCTGGCTGGGCTGCCCACACTGCTCAAATACAGTTAACTTTACTTTGGCTTTTTGGTTTATGTGTAGACTTGGGATCTGTGCACAGATTTCCTCAAAAAAACTAGGCTGACTGATTCTCTTATTAATGTTTCTTCACCACTGGCTGTGGACTTTGATCTTTATTTTCAGGATGATGCGTAGCGTTCCTTTATGGAGACTTTTAAGTCGAAAGCCAAAGCCTTAATTAAGATCTTTGCAGGTTAGATACTCCTGAGCTGAAGATAACAGAGTAAGAAAAGTGGTAAAAGAAAAATTAAATGCACTTCTTTTACCTATCATTTTTATGGTAGACATTTGAAATTTACCCTTTCAGTGATTTTGAAATATGCAATACTTTATTATTGACTATAGTCGCCCTGCTATGCAATAGATTTCAAAACATTCCTCCTACCTATCTGAAACTTTGTACCCTTTGACCAGTAACTGCCCATTCCCTTCCTCCCCGGCCCCAATCTCTTTCTACACTCTACTTCTACGAGTTCAACTTTGTTAGATTTCACATAAAGTGGGACATGCAGAGAACCTTCCTTTTCTGATTGGAGGAGCTATAGCCCAAAAGAGTGGAGCAAACCGTCACGCTTTCTTACTTTCTTAAATCTTCGCTGCTTGGCCGCGACTGTGGGTGCAGTTGTAGGAAGTGCACGGCAGAGCAGGGTAACTACAACACCAAGTTTTTGGCCAGAGGCCCGAAAAAGGGAGCCCAGCGATCAGGAAAGGACCAGGGAGATCACAGAGAGGGAGGAATTTGGAGGAAACAGCTCCGTAAGTTTGTTCCTGGGCTCCTCCCCTAGCTGCGCATGCGTGGATCTGACCCTAACCAGCACTCCAAAGAAGTTAGACCTGGACACTGGAATAGACCTTCAGCCACGCCGTAGACGGGCCACTGGGTGGTGCACACGGAACATAGCTGAATAGCACCACGAAGACTGAAAACAGACCTGACATGGGGATCACACCCCACAGAAGGCAGGTTGGAATTTGAGGTCAGAACTCAACCAAATTGGTTACCCACGGTGTCAGTTATCAACTTACTGCTTCTCAGCTTTGAATGCGCCACTCAATAAATATACCCTGTGTTATACAATGGCATTCCTTTAAATATTGGCCCTTTAAAGTGAGCGCAGTGCTGTGCTTTCTCAGTAGAAGGCACTGGAGGGGCAAGGTAGTAGGAAGAGGCTTCCTGCCTTTTTTTTGGCGTGGGCTGGGGATCAGCAGTGTGCATGTGAGAATATCCATCGGAATCTGCCCCAAGCATGGGCTCAGAACAGTCCCTTTGCGACTTTGCATCCTTGGCCTTGCAGTCACCTTTCTACAGCTCTCTTGAGCCAGAACACAGAGCCCTTGTGCAGCCCACGTGCTCTGAAGAACTCCTGCCTGTGCTTGTATTTCGACTTTCTTCACAAGCCTGCATATTACCTGCACACAGCTGCCTGTGCCCCTGAGGGTCACATGCCAACCTGCGATGCCTTCTGCAAGTGCCTGTGTGGTCCACACACTCTGAAGGCCATCTGGACTTCCATCACATGCCCATGCCACCAGTTGCTGATTGGCCATCCCTACCTGCACTTGAGGGGTTCTCCTATTAGTTACCCAGCAACTCCAGACTAGCCTGCCCAAACCAGAGGACTTACCTGCTATCTGATGGGCTGAACCCCTTCCAAGTTGGCCCTTCCTTGGATGTGCTCCCTCAGCCCTGGGGTATGAATGGAAAGATAGAAAAATATCAACAAAGAAACAGAAGATATAAAGAACTAATTGGAAATTTTAGAAATAAAAAGACAATAATTGAAATAAAATACTGGATAGGCTCACAAACGTAATGGAGATGGCATAGGGAAGAGCTAGGAAACTTGAAGTAGATTACTGGGTTTCATGCGCATCTGTGTGAAGAGACCACCAAACAGGCTTTGTGTGAGCAATAAAGCTTTTAATCACCTGGGTGTAGGCAGGCTGAGTCCGAAAACAGTCAGCGAAGGGAGATAGGGATGAGGCCGTTTTATAAGATTTGGGTAGGTAAAGGAAAATTACAGTCAAAGGGGGTTTGTTCTCTGGCAGGCAGGAGTGGGGGTCGCAAGGTGCTCAGTGGGGGAGTTTTTGAGCCAGGATGAGCCAGGAAAAGGGACTTCCACAAGGTAATGTCATCACTTAAGGCAAGGACCGGCCATTTACACTTCTTTTGTGGTGGAATGTCATCAGTTAAGGCGGGGCAGGGCATTTTCACTTCTTTTGTGATTCTTCAGTTACTTCAGGCCATCTTGGCATATACGTGCAAGTCACAGGGGATTCGATGGCTTGGCTTGGGCTCAGAGGCCTGACACTGGGCATTACCAATCTGAAACAAAAAATAGAAGAGAAGATTTATCTGAAATGAACAAGCCCTCAAGAATCTATGGAACAATACTGAAAAGTCTAATATTTGTGTCATCAGAATTCCAGAAGGAGAGGAGGAAGAGTGTAATGCAGAAAAAATGTTCAAGAACTAATGGCTGGGGCTGGGCGCGATGGCTCACGCCTGTAATCCTAGCACTTTGGGAGGCTGAGGCGGGTGAATCACAAGGTCAGAAATTCGAGACCAACCTGATCAACATGGTGAAACCCTGTCTCTACTAAAAATACAAAAATTAGCCGGGCGTGGTGGCACGTGCCTGTAATTCCAGCTACTCGGGAGGCTGAGGCAGGAGAATTGCTTGAACCCGGGAGGCTGAGGTTGCAGTTATTGGAGATCACGCCGCTGCACTCCAGCTTGGGCGACAGAGCGAGACTCTGTCTCAAAAAAAAAAAAAAAAAAAAGAAATAATGACTGAAAAATCCCCAAATTTGTCAAAAGATATAAACCAAGTGATTAAAAAAGCTAAACAAATCTAAATCAGGATAATCCCACCCAAAATCCATGCCCAGATATAATAATTAACCTGAAGAAACCCAAAGACGAAAAAATTTTTCCAGGTGCGGTGGCTCATGCCTGTCATCCCAGCATTTTGGGAGGTTGAGGTGGGAGAATCACTTGTGCCCAGGAGTTTGAGACCAGCCTGGGCAACATAGTGAGACCTTATCGCTGCAAAAATATTTTTTTAAAAAAATTAGCCAGATATGGTGGTGCATCCCTGTGTTTCCAGCTACTTGAGAGGCTGAGATGGGAGGATTGTTTGAGCCTAGGAGGTTGAGGCTGCAGTGAGTTGTGATGGCATCACTGCACTCCAGCCTGGGTGACAGAGTGAGATCTTGTCTTTGGAAGGGGGAAAGAAAAAAAAAAAAGAAAGTAGCAAGAGAAAAATGATGCATCTCCTATAGGAAAGTGTGATTCAAATTATTTCAGATTTCTAATCAGAAACTATGGATGCCAAAAGAAAGTGGCACAACATTCTAAGGGTGCTGATTAATAAAAAAGAAAAGATTGCTTTCAAATTCTATATCCAGCAAAAATAGTATTTATGAATGGAGGTAAGAAAAAGACATCCTCAGTTGAAGGAAACCAGAATATGTCAGTATATTTTCTCTAAAATAATTGTTAAGGCAAGTTTTTAGATAGAAGGGAAATGATAACAGATGTAAACTTGAACAGCAGGAAGGAAGGAACAGGAACATATAAATATCAAGATAAATATAATGGACCAGTTTTCTCCTCAGGAGTTCTTTAAATTTGATGATTGGAAGCCAAAAATATAACATTGATTGACATAATACATAAGACAACTGCAACATAAAGGTGGGAATGTAGGAGGACCTATATGGTGGTAAGATTTTTACATCTCACTTGAAGTGGTAACATACTGTTTCTAAGTGGACTATGAAAAAGTAAGTATGTATAATAATTCTTAGGGCAACCATAAAACAAGAGAAAAAAACTACCCAAAGAGACATAGTAAAATATATAATAGAGAAACTAAAATGGAATTCTAAAAAATGTTCAGAGAAAAGAAGGCAGGAAAGTGTAAAATAGGAAAACAAAAGAGGGATCAAATAGAAAAAAAGTAATAAAATTACAGATTTAAATCCAAATATACAAGTAAGTGTATTAAATATAAATGGCATACATACATCAATTAAAAGATAGAGATAGTCAGAATTGGTTAAATAAATGATCCAGCAATAGTCTGTCTACAAAATCTCACATCAACTATAAGCATATAGTTAGGATAATATAAAATGATGGAATCAAGAAAGTGAAAAGCAACTCACAAAATGGAAGAAATTTTTTGCAAATTATATACCTGGTAAAGGACCTGTATCTAGAATATATAAAGTACTATTGCAACTTAACGATAAATAAAAAGACCAATTAACCCAATTAAAAAAGGGGAAAGGATCTGAATAGACATTTCTCCAAAGAAGATCTATAAATGCCTAACAAGCATATGAAAATATGCTCAACATCATTAGTCATCAGGAAAATGCAAATCAAAACAACAAGATACCTCTTCACACCTACTAGGATGGCTATAATAAAAAAGACAGTTAATAACAAGTGTTGGTGAGGATGTGGAGAGACAGGAATCTTCATACACTGCTGGTGGGAATGTAAAATGATGTAGCTGCTTTGGAAAACAGTCTGACAGTTCACAGAAAGGTTAACTATAGAGTTATCATATAATCTAACAATTCTCCTTTATATTTACCAAGGATAAGACAACAAATGTACACACAAAAACTTGTGCATCATTTTAACTTTTGTCAAAAATCTCCTTTAGGTAAAACAATTCTTCTTCTTCTTTTTTTTTTTTTTTTAAGACAGAGTCTTGCTCTGTCTCCCAGACTGGAGTGCGCTGGTACGATCTCGGCTCACTGCAACCTCCGCCTCCCAGGTTCAAGCAATTCTGCCTCAGCCTCCCGAGTAGCTGGGACTACAGGTGTGCACCACCATGCCCGGCTAATTTTTGTAATTTTTAGTAGAGATGGGGTTTCACCATATTGGCCAGGGTGGTCTGGAATTCCTGACCTCATGATCTGCCCACCTCTGCCTCCCAAAGTACTGGGATTACAGGCATGAGCCACTGCACCTGGCCTCCTTTAGGTAAAACAATTCTAAAGGAGGCAAAGGCAGTCTCAGGCTGGGCAGACTGTCTCATGCCGATAATCCCAGCACTTTGGGAGGCCTAGGTGGGTGGATTGCTTGAGCCCAGGAGTTTGAGACCAGTCTGGGCAACATAGTGGGACCACCATCTCTACAAAAAATACAAAAATTATCTGGGCATAGTGGCGCATGTCTGTAGTCCCAGCTACTTGGGAGGTGGAGGTAGGAGGAATGCTTGAGCCTGGGAGGTTGAGGCTGCAGTGAACCATGATGGTGTCACTGCATTCTAGCCTGGGCAACAGAGTGAGACCCTGTCTCAGGAAAAAAAACAACAAAAAAACAACAACAACAACCAATGAAACAACAACAACAACAACAAACAAAGGCAGTCTCAGACATCAGAAATCAAAGGAAAGAAGGGAATAAATTAGGTCAGCATTGTCAGCTCTTTAGAGTAAAATTATATACGTTCATATTTTCAGCTGCACAAACATAAGCCAGTTCTCCCATTCTTATTGGCAAGCCATTTATAGGGAGCACATTCTTGAGTCAGAAGATTAAATATTTTGGCCAGGCATGATGGCTTGTGCCTGTGATCCCAGCACTATGGGAGACTGAGGCAGGAGGATCACCTGAGCCCCGGAGTTCAAGACCAGCCTGGGTAACATAGCGAGGCCCCGCTTCCACAAAAAATTAAAAAATTCACCAAGTGTGGTGACGCACGACTGTGGTCCCAGCTACATGGGAGGCTGAGATGGGAGGATCCCCTGAGCCCAGGAGGTTGAGGGACTACAGACATGCGCCACTATGCCCAGATCCAGGTGCAATGAGCAGTGATTGCACCTGGATCACTGCCCTCCAGCCTAGGGAACAGGTAATACCCTGTCTGAAAGAAAAAGAAAAAGAAGATTAAATATTTGGCTTCATATCCGTGACTGCTATATAGAAGTGTCTGAAATTGGAGGAGAAAGTATTCACCAGCCCTACTATTTAGCAACTGACAATCTGTGTTTGTGCAAATCAGGGCATGGATTTAGCAAGACTTTGCTGCTGCACTTAGGGAATTTCAAAACAATATCTAGAAAGTTACTTTACTTAGATAAGGGACATAAGTATAACTTAGTGGAATGTACACTGAAAGGTACTTTTCTGTCCTGACAATTTTTTTTTTTTGCAATGATCAAATAATTACTTAAAACAAAAAGTAAATGTAAAGTAGAAAAATAAAAAAGAAGAGAGCTCATTTAGTGTCCTGAGAGTGAAGCAATATCTTTTATTTACTCATTCATTCATTCACTCACTCATGCATTCCACAAATATTTATGGAGGGCCTACCATGTGCAAGGCACTATACTAGGTGCCAGGGATATAGACATAAAGTTTTGGTGGGCCTCTCATGTTTCATTTGGTGACACTGAAAATAGAGACTAAATTATCTCTAAATTCCCACTGAGATGTGATGGCCAAAATGTACCCAAGTTTGACTTTCCTTGCTCTTTGAAAACCAGGTAAACAGAGATCAATGGTTTGTGAAGGTTCAATCTGCAGGGAAACCTCAGAGGACATGTCTCCAGGCTGTGTGGTCAGTCTTAAGTGGCAGAGTGCTCAGTGGGGCTCAGTGCCATTTTTTTTTTAACTTAATGGTGGCTGGCCTGTGGCCTCAGATGATGAGGGCTGGGGATATTGGGGAGGAGAGGCAGAGACTGGTGGTGGCAGAGACTACCCTGGAGAACAGAAATGAGTTAGGTCAGCCGGACTGAGGAAAGAAGGCAGGAGGAGGATGGAAAAGGCAATCCCAGAGGGGAAGAATTGAGGTGATGGGTTACGGAAGAAAGTCGCTGTTACGTGCCTCATGTCCTATACTTAAAGGAAGGAAAGAACACTCAAATATCTTTAGAATAAATTTCTACCAACAAAAGGGGACTTTTAGAAAAGCAATTATAACACCGCCTATGTGAGCTTTTTTTTTTTTTTAGATTTAAATACAACTAAGAAGTTATATTCCGTTCTACTTGAGAGAGGAGAGAGGATGTGTGTGCGTGCCTGCCTGCGTGTGTGTGTGTGCATGCCCGTGCCCTGTGATTAATTCATCTAACTTATCCTTGATTATGTAACAACCTACTGGGAATATTAGGTACATATACTAGTGAATTTAATACAATGTGGAACCGTGAAGTTTGAGGAATCCCCAGGGGGCTTTGGGAGCCCAGAGTCTATCTGAGGGTTAAGGAGACAAGTGTGACCATCTAGAGAAGGTGACCCTAGGGTGAGTGTTGAACTATGACTTACTTACACAAAGTACTACCAAACCTTAAGAACATTAGGAAACTGTCATCCTCCCAGCCTCGGCAATAGAGTGAGACCCTGTCTCCACAAAAAATTAAAAAATTAGTTGGGTGTGATGGTGTGATCCTGTAGTCCCAGCTGCTTGGGAGGCTGAAGCAGGAAGATTGCCTGAGCCCAGGAGGTTGAGGCTGCAGTTGGAGCTATGATCGTGCCACTGCATTCCAGCCTGGGCAACAGAGTGAGACTCTGTCTCAATAAAAACAAGACAAACAAAACCCAACCAGCCAAACAAGCTAAAAAAAAAAAAAAAAAAAAAAAGCAAACTGTCATCCTTGAAGTAGTAAGGCATATCATCATTCCTTAAGCCAAGTGATTCATTCATATTTCATTTTAAAGTTTATGTTAAAACTGTTTTCTGTTTGTGTATCAAGCTGACATATCTATATATTTTTTAAATAGGTAATTTCATGCTCCCAAAATGGGACATAAAGTGGTTGTCTTCGACATTTCTGTCATCAGAGCCTTGTGGGAAACTCGTGTCAAGAAGCACAAAGCTTGGCAGAAGAAGGAGGTGGAAAGGCTTGAGAAGAGCGCCTTGGAGAAGTACGTGTTTTCTCAACCTAGTCTTGTAGCTTGTTTGGTGAATAAGGATTTGGACAGGCAACAGTTGCGTTGTGGAGGAGGATGCTTTTCTTCTGGGATTTCTCACTGTTGGTAAAATTTTCCTCATTAAACTTCAGAGCCTTACACTGTTGCTCAGTACAAATACGCAGTTCCTATGATAGCAACACCCATGGTTATAAGGACCTACCCACCACCCTTGTGGTAGGCACGAGGAAGACCGAGATGACACGATAAATCCCCCCACAGTAAATGCTGTAGCAGGCTGCCTAGCTAGAGTTCACTGAGCTAACTCACTAGGCTGTCTGGCGCTCTGGACACCATCTGACTGCCATCTGGGGCAGCTTGGGGCTACTCTGTTGTGCACTTCAGCCCTCCCCCATTGAGCTGAATTCTAGGTAAGATTCATTGTGTTGGTGTCGTTTTTACTTGGATGAAATGGTGTCATTTGCCTATCATATACGGCCGTGAAATATGAGTAAAAGAAAGTTATGTATATGAACACCAAGTTGAGTGCTTTGGAAAATCTACAAGGTAGAAAGGTTGAAGATGGCTTTGCATATGTCTGCAATTTTTATTCCCTGTGGAGAAACCAGAACTGGAACTCATGGATGATGCATTAGGGGTGCTGTTTATATAAGATTGACACAATGGGATTCTCATTGGCAGACCCATTCTCAAAGAAAGTCCCAACCCTACATCAAGTTGGCCAATGATGGTATATTTGCACACTTTAAATTAAAAGCAAGATGTGTAGGGGCTGGGCGCAGTGGCTCACGCCTGTAATCCCAGCACTCTAGGAGACCGAGGCAGGCGGATCACAAGGTCAGGAGATCGAGACCATCCTGGCTAACACGGTGAAACCCCGTCTCTGCTAAAAATACAAAAAATTAGCCGGGCGTGGTGGCGGGCGCCTGTAGTCCCAGCTACTTGGGAGGCTGAGGCAGGAAGGCAGGAGAATGGCGTGAACCCGGGAGGCAGAGCTTGCAGTGAGCTGAGATCAAGCCACTGCATTCCAGCCTGGGCGACAGAGCGAGACTCTGTCTCAAAAAAAAAAAAAAAAAAAAAAAAGATGTGTAAGGTGTGAATGTGTCTACATTCTTGGTTCTCCACCTTCATTAGCTTTTTGGATTAAACAAATACCTATTCTGATCATGCTTGATAATTAAGCTGCTACTGTATTCATCACAGTGGTTTCAGGTGGTTACCACCATCCCTAATTTGCAGATGAGGAAGTTGGGACTTAGGTAAGTTGCTCAAGTTCACACAGATGGTAAGTGGAAGATGTGGCCAAGCCCTTGCCTCTGTATAATGCTGTAATCACAGGTAGTTAGAACGTCTTTTCTCTTGCCACTAATCTGAGATTGTCCAATATGACATAAAGGATTGCTTGAGGAGTTTGAGACTAGCCTGGGCAACATAGTGAGACTCTGTCTTTACAAAAAAACAACAAAAAAGAATTACAACCCTTAAACCAGAAAGCCCACATGGCAACGCATCCAAGAGACCTACACTCACATAAATCATACAAGGTCCCAGAGCCCAAAGTAGCTCTCAGCCCTGCTTTGATTTCCTCCGCACACCTAGCATCTGGGGTTACTCTACAGCAGAACAAGCTTGCTGCATGGAGGCCCACGCCCTTGGCAGTGGGGAGGGGAGTTAGGGAAGCACCTGTAGCTGATGCAACTTCCTGAGGTTCTTGGAAGAGGAGCCATTTGCAGACACCTGGGGTCTGCAGACTGTGCTCTCTCATCTGCTTTGGAGTGGGATCTGCCCCTTCAACGCTGTCTTTCTTTGAGGTGTTAAACAGCTTCACGCATCTCATGTACATAGGATTGAGCTTGACTTGGGCTCAGTGTCATTGAGCTTGTGCACTGTCTCATCTTAACCTAAGACAGAAAACTTCTTGGATATTTGTTTGGCTTTTCTAGCCCAAGATAAGGAAAACAGCCACCAAGTTGGCTGGGCAGATAAGGAGGAATGTGAGGTAGGGCTGGGGAAGAATGTGCATGTTTAAGAAAGGAACTTAGTTTCTCAGCCTCTTCAGAAATGGGGGTAGTAAATTTGCCTTCTTTACAGGTGTTTTTGAGCTTCCATAATATAATTCATACTGTGATCATTAGTACTATTTGAGGGTTAACTTTTAGTTTCTCAGGATCTGTTTACTGTTCAAAGGAGTAATTAATATGTTGAAAAATTAATGCCTGCCTGATTATAAAAGGCAACTATTTGGTTAATTTAAATTTACTGAAACAAATAAAACCTCCTAGCTTGTTCTGTTACCTCACTTTAGGGTATCTCATCCTGTAATGCTGTAGTTGTTATGAAGTATATACCGATACTTAAACATTATAAGTAGAGATAAAATATGAAATATCACTCTCTCCGAATGAAACTTGATCATTTGGAGCGGAGGTTCCCAAGCCCTGGGCTGGCCTTTTAGGAACTGGGCCACACAGCAGGAGGTGTGCAGGGGGCAAGCGGGCATTACCACCTGAGCTCCACCTCCTGTCAGATCAGCGGCAGCATTAGATTCTCATAGGAGCACAAACCCTTTTGTGAATTGTGCATACAAGGGATCTAGGTTGCCCACTGCTTATGAGAATCTAATGCCTGATGATCTGAGGTGGAACAGTTTTATCCCGAAACCATCCCCCCAACCCCTCATCCATGGAAAAATTGTCTTCCATGAAACTGGTCCCTGGTGCCAAAAAGGTTGAGGACTGCTGATTTAGAGGGAGAAATAAAAGAGCTATTGTTAGGCTGTAAGTGAAGAATTTCTTCTCCATTGAGGCTGTTTGCCATCTGGGCTGGGATTGTGGTTTCCTTTCCTAAGGAAAAGGTATTTTATTTACACATTTATTGATTTAATTAGAAGAACTCTAATGGCATTTTTTTTGTATGTTTATTGCATATTTGGCATTCAGCTAAAACTGAGTTGAGAGGAAGATTTCACATTGAATTATATGGGTGATAGAGTGAAAAGACAACGAATTTTATTTATTTTAATTACTTTCAAGGAAGAGAATGGAATTAAAAAAATAGTTTATATTTCCTTCTTCACTTTCCTTTCATCAGGTTTCAGAGGGAATCAGACATAAAATATTTAAGAAGGAAAATAAGACATAAAGAAAATAAGACAACAAATATTTAAGAAATAATACAAAATAGATTTGGTATATAATTATTTTTAATGGGGTACATCTAATTTTCTTTTTTCTCCATTTTATATTGGCTGTACCAAAATATGTGAAATATTTATAACAATTTGTAATATGTGCTATAGGAATGATATATTACATAGGGATGAGCCGGTATCATCTCATTATATTGCTAGGATCTGCCTTCAGGTTCAGTCTAAGAAATGAGGAAAGAAAAGTTAGAGACATTAATCTGAAAAGTGCCCAGTGAATACAAGAACTTGCAGTGGCTGTGCTGTTGGTTTTAAAAATTTTGGAGGTATTGCTTCTAACAGAAGTTCTAGCAGCATGTCTTTGACCTAGAGTCTGCCCCTTGTCCTGACTGCTACAGTAAGATCTAAATCTACAGGTAGATATTTAAAATTCATTTTTATCATATGGTTATAAAACTAAATCACACAGAAAAGCTAATAAGGAAAAGCAACAATTCCAAGCCACTACAACTTCTCCCAGAGGAGCCCACTTCTCTTTCAGCACTTTCTTCTGCTTTTAAATTCATATCCCTTCATGTGCTGACACACACACACACACACACACACACATACACACACACATATGTTATATATATATTTTTTTTTTTCTTGTAATTTTTTTGGGACAAGTCTCTTTCTGTTGCCCAGGCTGGAGTGCAGTGGTGTGATCATAGCTCACTGCAGCCTCGACTTCCAGGGCTTAAACAGTTTTCCTAGCTCAGCCTCCTGAGTAGCTGGGACTACAAGCATGTGCCACCAGCCCCGCTTTCTTTTTTTTTTCTTGTATTTTTTGTAGAGACAGGGGTCTCACTTTGTTTCCCAGGCTGGTCTCAAACTCTTGGCCTCAAGTGTTCCTCCTGCCTGAACCACTGCACCTGGCAATATTTTTAAATTTATCACTTTTGTTATATTACTTATAGACTTCATATGTAGATCCTGAAGCCCTGACTCATGGATTGCTGGGTGGTTTTCCCCAGCGCAGCTCACTGGGACTGAGACCTATAGAGCTGTGCCAGCCAGTGCTGTCAGCAAAATGTTTTTCTTCAAATGTTCCAGCTTCCCTCAGTTGAATGGCAAGCATGAAACTCCAGCAATATCTGAAATGGTTTCTTAAAAGCAAAACATCTGATTAAGAAGGTGACATTTGCATGTAGACCTGGGGAGCCAGCCCTGCAGAAATCTAAGAACAAGGGTTGCAGGCAGGCATAACAGCAAATGCAAATGCCACTGACACCAAGAGAGGGGCAAGGGAGTTAAGGATGGATGCCAGGAGGTGATTACAATGGGATCCATGAATATGTTTTCCTTTCAAAGCCAGACCAGTGTGCAAGGTTATGAGTTTTCCTTCATCTCATTTACTGTGTGGGGGCAGGTGTAGAGCAGGGAGATAATGGGATATAAACTGTGGCAGGCATCTGTAATCCCAGCTACTGGGGAGGCTGAGGCAGGAGAATCGCTTGAACGTGGGAGGTGGAGGTTGCAGTGAGCTGAGACTGTGCCATTGCACTCCAGCCTGGGTGACAGAGCAAAACTCTGTCTCAAAAAAAAAAAAAAAAAAAAAGGAGCAAATTGGTGTTTCTGGGGGTGGGAGAGGGTTGTCCCTCCACTGGATAGAATTTCTGTGTGTTTATGGATAAGAATTATTTGTATGGCTTTCCGTTTTCTACAAGTTAACTTTACTCTCTACAGAGTTATAAAATAGCTTAGTCAAAGTCAAAGGTACATACCTATAGAATCAGAGAATCCCCTGGAGGCTCCGGCATTCCGGGAAAAGGCTATCCATCTGTGTTTTGCTTCTTTCAAAATCTGAAATTTCTCCTTACACTTGACAGTGCCTGGTGGTCCAGACTGGGACTTCCCGCATGCCCAGTCCTAGAAGCTGGTCTTGTCCCAGGTGCAGTAAACCTTCAGACCCCTCCTAACCACTCCAATGGCAGGCTTGCCTGTGCCCCACAGTGCCACCCTACAGCCTAACTGAGACTCTGAACCACCCTTCCTTCAGATAACAGCAGAGAGTTTCCATACTAGGATTGTTCCTTGACCATGGGGCTTATCTCACACTTATTTAGTGTATATACTGCCTTGGGCCACGTGAAGACCAAGTCTGCACCTGCAGCTGGTTTCTAAAGTAGCCCCCAGAAGACCTGAATCCTGACTGCCGCCAGGTTCCCAGTTGGGCTGAGTAGGGTGTGGAATGCTTTTCTGAGTGTGGAATGCATCTAAGCCCCTATCAAAGGTGGGCTACCTTATTTTGAGTCAGACAACATCTGTGTTTGATGGTTTTGAAGGAAAACCACAAAACATCTTGTTTTGCATCACATAGAATATGTTAAAGGCCTCAAACAGAAAACAAATTCCTAAATGAAGAAAGGCCCACCAGGTGCAGAGCCCTGTTCTGACAGCTGTGTGGGCATCTGAAGGGCTGTGAGACACACTAGCTGTCATCATGGAGCTTAGCATCAAGCTGGGGGATAAGCTATGGATGTGGAAAGCTCTAAAAGATAGGTCAGAAAATTAGCGACACGTGGGGTGGTGAGGTTTGGTGGGGATGCTGAGTCCTCAGCCAGCTCCAGTGTCTGAGTGGACCTCAGGTCCATCTACAGGAATAAAATTCCCCAAGGTGGCTGATGGTGACATTCCAAAGTCAGGTGTTTTATACACTGAAGCTCCTCTGTATTTCTATTCAAATACCCTTGAAAGATCAGTGAATCCCTGTGGCCCTGCACTTTTTTAAAACTTAGGTTGGCATGATATAATTTCAAAGGAAATTATAATTAAACGCATAGCCAGAAATTCCATCTAACCCATCTTCTCTACTTTTAAAGTTGAAGTTACTAATAATTCACAAAAGGGTTTAGGGTTTCCCCTGCACCCCCACAGCAGGGAGGAAAGAGGAAGGGAGTGCTTACGTAGGCCTGGGAATGACAAGGAGAGCACCTATGCCCAGGTGGCTGACTCACTTCTCTAGGCAGGTGATGGCCAGTCCCCAGGAGAGTAACTGTGACCCCTGCTGCCTGTTTTAGGATAAAGGAGGAGTGGAACTTTGTGGCCGAATGCAGGAGGAAGGGCATCCCCCAGGCTGTATACTGCAAGAATGGCTTCATAGACACCAGCGTGCGGCTTCTGGACAAGATTGAAAGGAACACTCTCACAAGGCAGAGTTCACTTCCCAAGGACAGAGGCAAACGGAGCAGTGCGTTTGTGTTTGAACTTTCTGGGGAGCACTGGACGGTGAGTCGAGGCAGTTCTCGCCCAATGCAGTGCTGTGGTCGATGACTGCTGCTCGCCTGAGCCCAAGGATGAATGAATGAATGCTTTTGCCTTTAGAGGAGGTTCTTCTGTCCCTTCCTCAGTGAAACGCAGCGCAGTCCTGGAAGCAGTGATGGGACCCACTTGGATACCTCTGTGGCTGAGCAGCTGGGATGCACGTGCCCTCTCCTGGGCAGCACAGTCTTTCAGGATGCGTTCCTCTCCTGTTCCCCGCCCTAGACCCTTAACATAATTCTTTGTCTTTAAAAAACATCAATTTAAGTGACGGCGCCTTTCATTCAACTAACGCCCTGGCAGTGGGCAATTACTTACTTGCCGAAGTGCCGAAGGGCAGCAAAGGAATTTCTGCAGATCCTTTATCTGGTTTTCCTGTCCTGAGATTCTGAGGCCAGGGCAAAGACAATTCCATCTTTCTTTCCTCAGGTCCCATAATAACTTGGGCTATTGCCCATTTCATCGGGACAGGGTTCCCTGGGACCCTCCGTCCATCTCTTTGTATCTTGCCATTTTGTGTCTTTTTTGTTTTGTTTTGTTTTGTTCAAGAGTCTTGCTCTGTCACCCAGGCTGGAGTGCAGTGGCGAGATCTCAGTTTCCCGAGGAGCTGGGACTACAGGTGTGTGCCACCATGCCTGGCTAATTTTTGTATTTTTAGTAGAGACGGGGTTTCACCATGTTGGCCAGGTTGGTCTCGAACTCCTGACCTCAGGTGATCTGCCCGCCTTTGCCTCCCAAAGTGCTGGGATTACAGGCAAGAGCCACCACGCCCGGGCTTTGTATTTTTTTCCTAGAGGCGGGGTTTTGCCAGGTTGCCCAGGCTGGTCTCGAATTCCTGAGCTTGAGCCTATTACCCTGCCATTTTGTGACTAAAAGGACTCGGTGGAGAGACTAAATATTTTGCGTGACCTGGGGCTGTCTTTTATTAGCCATGTGATCCGAGGTGGTTTTTATCATTTGATAAAAATGCATATCACTTTTATGGGTTTTTATCATTCTTATCAGTAAAATGCTGCTAATGCTTGCCCTGACCCTATCTGAGTGCTATTGAGAGGATGAAGTGCATGAATATTCTGTAAAGTATACAGTTCTCCAAAAATGCAAGAGGTTATTACTGTAAACCTCTTTACTGTTCTTTCCCTTGCATCCCCATCATTGAGATCAGTAGGTAACGGGCTGCCTATTCTAGGGCACGAAGGGAGGCATGTCTGGATTGTTAATTAAATACCATTGGCCAGTAAACACGATCCTGGGTGTGGCACTTACCCTGTAAGGGTGTCCAGTTCACCTGGAGAACCTGTCACGAGCCCTCATGTTTCACAATCTACCTTTTGAAAATCATTGTAAAGGGTATTTATTATTTATTATTATTATTATTATTATTATTATTATTAATTGAGATGGAGTCTCGCTCTGTCACCCAGGCTGGAGCACAGTGGTGCGATCTCAGCTCGCTGCAAGCTCCGCCTCCCGGGTTCACGCCATTCTCCTGCCTCAGCCTCCCGAGTAGCTGGGACCACAGGCACCCGCCACCATACCCGGCTAAATTTTTGTATTTTTAGTAGAGACGGGTTTTCACCGTGTTAACCAGGATGGTCTCGATCTCCTGACCTCGTGATCCGCCCGCCTCGGCCTCCCAAAGTGCTGGGATTACAGGCGTGAGTCACTGCACCTGGCCTGTAAAGCGTGTTTAATGTGCCCGGTATGGTAAAGGGAATGGGAAGATGGTTAGAATTCAGCAGGCTGGGAGAGACCTCCATTGTGAACCAGGTGGATGGCGTCCTCAAAACTTGCAATCTCTTTGTCCCCATACGCCATCCCCTAAGCCGTACTCTGTTGTGATTGAGTACAGGAGAGTCCAGGAAGACTCTGGGCCCCACATATTCTTTAGAGTGAATTTCAGTTACCGTTTTCCTCCCCCAGAGAGCTTGTGCTTCGGCCTCACCTCTGACTAAGGAGTGAAAGGCTGTGTGTGTTAAGGGATTTTTCAGCCTCTTAGAGTGCTCTGTGGCAGTGAGGGATTTGTGGCCTCCAAAGTCACACCTGGCAGCCTGCCTGGCCCCTGCAAGAGGTCAGGAGGGAAGGAATGGGCTGTGGAGCTTCTGGGGCCTTAGGGACTAGGTAGAGAGAGATCTGCTGCGGCCCTTAGGGCTGGCTGAGGCTGTGTGGCCAGCTTGGGCTGAGGGCTGGGGCTCCTGTTTTGAGTCAGAAGCTCTCAGACCCCGGACCCTGCTCGTATAGGGGAGATCCTCAATTTTATTTTCCAACCCTGCAATAGAATTTTTCATTTTTACTACCACATGTTTAATTTCCCCGAGCTGTTTGCTGTTTGTTTTTTCAAATGGATGAATTCTGTGAAGTGGCTTTATTTTTCCACTTTTACAGATATCTCTTAATCTTAGCTTTTAAAATTTTGTTCTGTTTTTATTTTGCAGGGTAATGGCTTTTCTTAGCTATCTTGGGATCAATCTTTTTTTTTTTTCTTTTCTTCTTTTTTTTTCTTTTGTTTGTTTTTTGAGACAGAGCCCTGCTTAGTCACTCTGTCTGGAGTGCAGTGGCATGAACATGGCTCACTGTAGCCTCTATCTCCTGGACTCAAGTGATCCTTCCACCTTAGCCTTCTCTGTAGCTGGAACCAACAGGTGCATGCCACCACACTCGGCTAATTTAATTTTTTTTTAAAGATGGAGTCTCACTTTGTGGTCTGGGCTGGTCTTGAACTCCTAGGCTCAAGTGATTGTCTTGCCTTAGCCTCCCAAAGTGCTGGATAGTTTTTTTGGGGGGGATGCTTTCTTGTTTCAGAGTTTCCTTTTTCTTTTAGGGTATGTGTCTTTATCTTGCATGTTGGGACATTTCTTGGAGGTCTGGAGACACTGGGTTGTCCAGAGCACTAACAAGCTGACCAGAAGCTCTGAGTGTGTGTCGGGCACACTTAGCTTTTGAGGAAGTTGCTGTAAAGTCCCCATCTCACTGGTGCCTCCCCTCTCCTATTCATGATTATTCATGAATGTTCATGAATGCACATTCATGATTTGTCTGGAGCTATGGGAGCATACAGAGAAGGATCTTCTCAGTTCCTGGGGCAGAGAGAATCTCAGCATTCATCACTCATCATCTGATTGCCACCTCCCCTGCCTCAGCTGTGCTTGAGGTACCCCAGTTCAGGGACTTTGTTGAACCTCCTCCAGTGAATAAGCCTCAGCTTCCTACTGGTGGGGAGCAGAGGTAATTGCTGTGTGGCATGGATGGGGGTCAAGGTTCTGGTCCTCAGACTTTGAACCCGATCTCTTTCTTTGGGCCGTGACTTCAGCTCTCACTTCCAGGGGTACCAGGCTCTTCTACTGCCGAGTCTCTGGTGGCTTCTGGTGAGAAGCCCAGGTTGTATCTCAGTTGTTTCTGCTGCTAGTCTAAGATTGAGCAGCTCTGGGAAGCCAGGTTACCATCTTCCGGCTGTCTGGTTATCCACATTTTGCAGCTGATGTCTCCTTTCCCTTTCTCTTTGCCCTTCTGCAAGGTTTATGGCACCTAAAAAGTTCCTGTACTGTTGTCTTTAATGGAATTTTGGAGAAGAGCAAAAGTACATGCATACATTCAATCTGTCATTTTTACTCGATTCTTTTCATTTCTATTTCATTTGATATCCTAATATTTTTCTTTTCTTTTCTTTTTTTTTTTTTTTTGAGACGGAGTCTCGCTCTGTCGCCCAGGCTGGAGTGCAGTGGCATATTCTCGGCTCACTTCAAGGTCCGCTTCCCGGGTTCACACCATTCTCCTGCCTCAGCCTCCCGAGCAGCTGGGACTGCAGGCGCCCGCCACCACGCCCGGCTAATGTTTTGTATTTTTAGTAGAGACGGAGTTTCACTGTGTTAGCCAGGATGGTCTCGATCTCCTGACCTCGTGATCTGCCCGCCTCGGCCTCCCAAAGTGCTGGGATTACAGGCGTGAGCCACCATGCCCGGCCTATCCTAATATTTTTCTTGTTGAAAATAGTCATGAACATAATTTTAGAAATTTAATAATCTTTCATGTGTGCCATTATTGAAAGAGTGGAATGAGGTTATTTATGAGACAGTCAGTACGTTGAAGTGTCAATGAAGAGATTGTGATTATGAGCCTGTGGTCAGCTCCCTGATGACCCAACTCATTTTGTCTCAGTTCCAGGAGGCAACCCTCTGGTGTGGTGTGGGTTCCATTCAGATCAAGAGGTGTCGGGACAGTTTGCCAGGGCCACGAGAAGGGGGCAGGTGGTAACTAGGTAGTTGGCTTCAGAAGCAGCGGCACAGGGCCCTATGCTTGGTTTAATGCTCTGTGCTCACCATCTTGAACTTCTTAATTTTTAACAAGGTGCCTGCATTTTCATTTTGCACTAGGCTCTGCAAACTCAGTAGTGGATCCTTACTGTAAGTGATTCACTTAAATGTCTTTGGGGTTTCAGCTTTCCTCTTCCAAAGGGGCTCACTTTGCCTATCAATTTTTTTTTTTTTTTTTGAGATGGAGTCTCACTCTGTCACCCAGGCTGGAGTGCAGTGGTGCTATTTTGGCTCACTACAACCTTCGCCTCCTGGGTTCAAGCGATTCTCCTTCCTCAGCCTCCCAAGTAGCTGGGATTACAAGTGCACGCCACCACACCTAGCTAATTTTTGTATTTTTAGTAGAGATGGGGTTTCACCATGTTGGCCAGGCTGGTCTCGAACTCCTGACCTCAGGTGATTCACCCGCCTTGGCCTCCCAAATTGCTGGGATTACAGGCGTGAGCCACTGTGCCCGGCCCACTTTGCCTATCTTATGGTACTGTTGCATGAGATAATACTAGAGTGAAAGCACTTTTGCAAGTTAACAGCTTAACCCACACACAGGAGGGCAATGGTTGTAAAGCACATTACAAGTACCAAGTACAAAAAAGAAGGATCACTATGGACTCCATTGCTCCCTCCACCTCCCCTTCAACTGCCATGGAGTTTTCCACACCTCATCCCACCTCCACCCTGTGCTCCAGCCACTTTGCTGATGGTGCGTTGTGGTCAGCTTCTGAGGTCAGGGGACCTGTGTGTCTCGTCTTTGCCCCACCCCTCAGTGCTGAGCACCCCTCACCTGCAATGGGGGCTCGGTAACTCTCGGTGAATTAGATTTCTTCAGCTGGACAAATAGCCTCCTTAAAGTCTTTAAACGCTTCTTGCTTGACACCTTTACAGTTTTATCCCAGAACACTTGAGCTAGGGGAGGCCTTGGACACTGAGTTCATCAATGTCATTTCAGCAGTGGAGACCCAGGGAGGTGGCGTGACTGGAAAATGGCAGGGCCTGGGCCGGAACTCAGGTGTCCCAGCTGACTGTCTTTCTCATGCTTTTTCCCTTTCATAGACTCTTAAGAATATTTGGAAATGTGGTACAGCAAATATTAGAGGTTTATCAAGTATTTCTAAAAGCAACTACAGACAAAGGGAAACGAAGCACAAATTTTGAAATCGAATGTATAGACAGACCTTAGGGGATGTTAAGTTGGTATGTTGCAAATAAATAATACACATTGTGGCTCTAAGTGTGAGTCTGGTTTTTTGTGTTCACTAGGATTTAATTTTAATAACATCATGAATTCACGGCAGTTTTGAAATAGGGCTAATATACTGTTGTGAAGTTGACGACAACTGCGGTGTCTTTGGTTTCTTTTTGAAATGGCTGGAGTGCTGGTGGTTAAGTTTTATGCTCTCGTGTCTGCTTTCTCACTTCCTGTTTTAAAATAAATGCTTGGTTTTACACGGCTTTGTGCACACGGAGGAGCTAGTTCTGATTGATGTCATTCTTTCTATTTTAGGAGCTCCCAGATTCATTGAAGGAGCAGACACACCTGAGAGAATGGTACATAAGCAATACCTTGATTCAAATCATTCCTACATATATTCAGTTATTTCAAGCGATGAGAATTCTGGATCTGCCAAAAAACCAAATCTCACATCTTCCAGCAGAAATCGGTATGTCAACTTAGCAGGGGTCTTCGGGCCTCTGGTGTGTTAAGCAGGCAGCTGTCAGGCAGGTGACAGACACTGTGCAGACACCGTGTTTCCTCTCCAGCTTCCCCAGGAAGTGGTTGGGCAGGGCCGTTTGGAGGCTCCCCAGAGCTGCTTGTTTGCAGCATCCCTTTGGGTGGTGAGGTCGGCGTCTCGCCTGTATAACTCAGCACACAGGACACTTGCCAATTGCTCAGAAACCAGAAGTTTCATGAGTGAGCAATATTTTATTTAGGAACTCTGTGTTTATTTTCTTTTTGTTTTAAACCTATAAACGTGCAGTATGCTTATTAGAAATGTAATGTATTGCTCTTATACATTAGTCCATTGATAAATCTAGTTTAGCTTATGTTGTCTTTTTTTTTCTTTTCCTTGAGACGGAGTTTCGCTCTTGTTGCCCCAGCTGGAGTGCAATGGCACAATCTCGGCTCACTGCAACCTCTGCCTCCCTGGTTCAAGTGATTCTCCTGCCTCAGCCTCCCAAGTAGCTAGGGTTACAGTCACGTGCCACCAGCTGATTTTGTATTTTTTTTTTTAGTAGAGAAGGGGTTTCACCATGTTGACCAGGCTGGTCTCAAACTCCTGACCTCAGGTGCTCTGCCTGCCTCGGCTTCCCAAAGTGCTGGGATTACAGGCATGAGCCACAGTAACCAGCCTGATGTCTTTTTGATGGATCAAAATTTTATAATTCTCAGTCATTATTCAGTTGTGTTATCTTAAAATGAAAATGACAGTGATCATTATTGCTTCTCTTTTTCCTGGGGTGCAAGGAGTGAAGGTCTGGAGCTGCATGGAGCTCCATTCTTACACATGTGCCCTGGGACCAGTGGTTTCGCATAGTTATGTGAAAATTTACCAGAAGCCAAGACCCTGTGGGACAGGTGGCTTGTGGAGCCTCTGGTGTTCATACATGTCTTGCTGGCTGTGTCAAGACTACAAGGCTCTGACCACCCTCTTACCCAGGCCGATCTTGGGGATGCATATGCATGTACTAACCTTGAGGGATGAGGAGACACCTGCTCCCAGGCAAAGAGCAGCCTTGCTAACCACTTGCTGTAAAAGTGGTGGGTTCCCCAAGCTCAGGGTTCTCAGCTGTGATGTATATGTGCATAGCATCTATCCAGGCCATCTGCATCACGCTTGGTAAACTTAGCTGTAAGTGCAACTCACATCAGTATGCTGTGTTGGACCAGGAGCCTCGTGTCTTCTGTCGGTATCCATGAAACAGGAATAGGCAAAATTTATTAGCTTCTAAGCAGGGTAAAATCAAATTTTAGACCCAACAAGGATAAGTACTTCTGTTTCCTTGCCTAGTTTCTGGAAAGGTAGAAAGGACCTTAGAATTTCTATGACTGAAAAGTACCATTTTTGACATGTAAGGGGTCATTTACCTCCTGCCCCTTTATTTTGCAAATTGGAGAGACCCACTGACTGAATCATTAACTGACTGAATCATTATCATTTACATATTACACTAAGGAACTTCTTCAGAGCCTGGGCTAGAAGCCAGATTTCACTATTTGCAGGTCATTTTTGGGCAAGCTCATGGTATATTTAAATAACTGGATAGAGTTTCTGAGGACTGAGTTACTTTTAAAAACCCTTTTTAGGCTGGAGGCGGTGGCTCATGCCTGGAATCCCAGCACTTTGGGAGGCTGAGGCAGGCAGATCACTTGAGCCTAGGAGTTTGAGACCAGCCCGGGCAACATGGCAAAACCCCATCTCTACAAAAAGTAAAACATTAGCCAGGCATGATGGCGTGTGCCTGTGGGAGGATCGCTTGAGCCCAGGAGGTTGAGGCTGCAGTGAGCGGTGATGGCACCAGCCATCACTCCAGCCTGGGTGACAGGGTGAGACCCTGTCTCAAAACAAACAAACAAACAACCCTTTTCAAGTAGAAAGGTTCTGTCCTTATACATTTGAGAAGCCACAGTGGTTGACCTAGACTCAGGGATCCTTGCCATCCTGCCACCTTGGCTTGGGAATCCAGTGGTTGGCAGCAAGATAGATGGGGTATTAAGCATGGAGCTGTCAAAAGGCAGGGCATCAGAGCATCACCATGGGATGAGTCATGCTCACAGTTGTCTGAAATGTCATCAGAGGTGCTCCATTTAATATGTATCTTTGTTCATCTCTTGAAATGTCTTCCTTGAAATTATTGCCAGCCAGATTAACACCTGTTCTTTTTTAACTTCCCACACTACACCAATGTACTATTCATTCTTTCCTTGTGAGCCAGTTTGATTTGAGCAGTGGTTTTCACCCTGGCTACACCTTAGAATCCCCCAAAAAGCCTTAAAAATCTAAACGCCCAAGATCCACTGCAGACCAATTCCATAGGAATCTCTGGGTACAGGGCCAGGAATCAGCATTTAACAAACTCCCTACATGATTCCCATGTGCAGCCATGGTTGAGACCACTGGTGGGGGAGTGAGGATGTTATCCTTGCACACTCGGAGGAGGAGAAGAGATTGGTGGGTGAGGGGTATCCGTGGGGGACCAATGTGGGATTGGGACACTATACTTAATCTCTCTGCTCTTCAGTTTCTTCATCCGTAAAGTGGGGATAATAGTTGTTGCTGTCATTTAGTGGTTGTGAGGATTAGATAAGGCAATAAACACCAACATATTGGGTACATAGTTGTTATTCCAAGCGATTATTCAAGTGATTATTCCAAGGCACTCGAATCCTGTTGGAGACATGATGTCATCCCCACAGACCTCATTCATGTGCACGAAAACTATTCAAACATTCTAGAAAGGTGTAAAATGTAAAATCAAGCCTCTCAGTAAGCGCTAAGTTTCCTGGGTATTCACACTGTACATACACTCATGCTCTTCTATAGACCTACGTTGTAGCTGTCTATTTATAAACAGACATGTAACCATGCATGTTAAATATACTTACACACATGGGCTTACACTGTGTTCTTCAGTCTGTGCCTCACATGTTTCCCCCGATCACACCATGAAGGCGGAGGTGGACTCTAGGATCAGGCTGCCTGGGTCTTTGACTTACTGGAAGGTAACCTTGAGCAAGTCATTTACTCGTTTTCAGTTTCCTCATCTGTAAAATGGGGATAACAATAGTACCTAGTTCACCGCGTTGTTGTGAGGATTAAATAGATAATACATAGAAAGCATTTAGAGTAGGTGAATCCCTGGCATTCACTAGCCATTATTATTATTATTGCTATTATTAGCATCATCTTTATGTTAATGTTATTTTTCAGTATCAGAACATCTAAACCTTCCCCATTCTCCCTAGTAGCTGAGTGATGATTATGGCATGATTTATTTAACTTGTTCCCAAAATATTTTAAAATTAAACTTAGTGAACTGAAGACTGACCTAAGATTCTGAAGACAAAGATGTTATCTAACTTTGAGTAACTTGAGCACATACTTTAATTTTTTAAATCTTAGTATTCTCATTTGTAGGATAAGGGGTCAGAATGATCTTTAAAATATCTGCCACCTCTAAAATTCTCTAGTTGAATTTTTTTGTGAGTTAAACTATGGGAAGGAGGGGGACAATAAATCTCAGAGGCTTTAATACTCTCTATACCAGATTTAAGTCATATATATATTTTATCCAACTTATAATTTTCAGTCTATATCAAATCAACAGAATATAATTTATCCAAATACATCCATAACTTAGGCAAAGACAGACGATTCCCTTCTCACATGGCTGAGACATATATCATATCTCCAGTTTGGAAATTCTTATGACATGTGAGTATCACAATTTTTCATCATTATATAGGAAATCGTAAGAAAAGAACACAATAATAAAAAGGGAGATGTTCTTAGAATGATTTAGGTAAGGTTGTCACCCTAATTTTCTTCTAGTACTTGCTTCTTGATACTCTGAGTTATTAACATGGAGTATTTTGAGCAAATCCTCTTTTTTACCAAACGTAAGTATTGAGGGCATCTAGAATAAATCAATTTTCACATGTGGGGCAAAATGAAAAGAAATGAAAATATATTAGTTCAGGGCATGTTTCTCTCCTAGAGGAGCAGATATAGCTCCTTACAAACTAGGGATAAATGAAGAAACACTCAGCTGCAGGATCTGATGCTCAAGCATAGTGAGGAACGTGGGAATGAACAAAGGATTTTTAGCTCTTTTATGTTGAGCAGCTGAATTTTGTAAAGGAGGTGGGGTTTGATCTCTTATCATATTGTCTTATAGATCTATTGAGGGCTGATGAAGGGGAGGAGTCAGGGAGGTGTGATTACTAGACAGGGTATTCTTTTTCTCATTATTAGAGCAGTTATTTTTGACATTTGACATCAAGGAATTAAGAATGACAATGAGTGGTGCTCTTAACTTCTTTGTGAAATTCCCAAGAAATTATCATTATATGGATTTAAAATAGCTAATTATTGGAATTACAGATGATCCCCAGTTTACAATGGTTAGATGTAAGGTTTTTCAGCTTTTTGATGGTGTGAAAGTGGTGTGCATTTAGTAGAAACTGTACTTTGTTCCTAGAAGGGTGCGGCTGCTAGAAAGAAAGAAAGAAACAAAGAAAGAAAGAAAGAAAGAAAGAAAGAAAGAAAGAAAGAAAGAAAGGAAGGAAGGAAAAGAAAAGAAAAGAAAGAAAACAAAAAAGAAAAGAGCAGCACTATTTACAATAGTAAAGACTTGGAACCAACCCAAATGCCCATCAATGATAGACTGGATAAAGAAAATGTGGCACATATACACCATGGAATACTATGCAGCCATAAAAAGGAGGAGTTTGTGTCCTTTGCAGAGACATGGATGATGCTGGAAGCCATCATTCTCACCAAACTAACACAAGGAACAGAAAACCAAACACCGCATGTTCTCACTCACAGTGGGAGTTGAACAATGAGAACACATGGACACAGGGAGGGAACATCACACACTGGGCCTGTTGGGGGCTGGTGGGGCAAGGGGAGGGAGAACATTAGGATAAATACCTAATGCATGTGGGGCTTAAAACCTAGATGATGTGTTGATAGGTGCAGCAAACCACCATGGCACACGTATACCGATATAAGAAACCTGCATGTTCTGCACATGTATCCCAGAACTAAAAGTAAAACAAAAAAAATTAAAAAAAAAAGAAAAGAAAGGAAGGAAGGAAGAAAGGAAGGGAAAGAAAGAGAAAGAAAGAAGAAAGAAAGAAAGACAGGCAGAGAGAGAAAGAAAAAGAAAGAAAGAAAGAAACAAAGAAAGAAAGAAAGAAAGAAAAGAGAGGGAGGGAGGGAGGGAAGGAAGAAGGAAGGAAGGAAGGAAGGAAGGAAGGAAGGAAGGAAGGAAGGAAACTGTGAATACCTATACAAACATTCTGCTTTTCATTTTCAGTGCAGTAGTCTATTTATTACAGGAGACATTCAACACTTTATTATAAAACAGGCTTTATGTTGGATGATTTTGCCCAACTGTAGGCTAATGTAAGTGTTCTCAGCACATTTAAGGTAGGCTAGGTGAAGCTACAATGTTTGATAGGTTAGGTGTATTAAATGCATTTTTGACTTATGATATTTTCAACTTATGATGGGCTTATTGAGGTGTAATTCCATCGTAAGTTAGGGAGAATCTGTATTTAAACATTTTTACTCAAATATTGTAAGATATGGTAATTCCTTAAGCTGCTCCTTGGGCTCTAGAAACCAGGAGCCGCTATAGACACTGTGCTCCAGTTGCAATTATCTTCCCCTTACTGGAAATTAGGTCTGAGGGCTTTGGGAGAACAGGGAGTAGGTAGGCAGCTTCATTTCAGTTGGAAAAGATCCCTGGGCATTTCAAGAAAGAATAGACAAATCAGTTATTTAAAAATATGACACACTGAAGGCATGAGCCTTAAAAGTTTTGTTTCAGATTCTGTAATGTTGGACGCTTATCACACTGAAAAACTCTGTGATTTCCAGAACCTCGGGGTCATGATGCTACAAGATAATGTTCATTAGATACACCCCCCAAAACCCAAATACTAAATTATGTTTAGTTCCTTCCCCATCATTATTTACAGAGCTGTTTACTTCTTAGTTTTGCTTTTTGTTCTTAAAAGACCTTAAACGACCTATTCAATGGATGTTAACTTTTTCTGCTGACAGGTTGTTTGAAGAACCTGAAAGAACTCAATGTGGGTTTCAACTATCTGAAGAGCATTCCTCCAGAATTGGGAGATTGTGAAAATCTAGAGAGACTGGATTGTTCTGGAAATCTAGAATTAATGGAGCTGCCCTTTGAAGTAAGAGATAAACATTTCTGTACTACGATTCACTTTTATTTGGTTTATGACATAGAATGGTCTATAATATGGCAAGAAGTTTTAACATATGAAATCTATCTTTATTATATCACCTTTTCCTGACATTTCAATCACCGTATACTGGTCTTTAAAAACTTCTTTTTTTTTGAGGTGGAGTCTTGCTCTGTCACCCAGGCTGCAGTGCAGTGGTGTGATCTCAGCTCACTGCAGGTTTTGCCTCCTGGGTTCAAGCAATTCTCCTGCCTCAGCCTCCTGAGTAGCTGGTTCTGCAGGTGCACACCACCACGTCTGGCTAATTTTTGTATTTTTAGTAGAGGTGGGGTTTCACTATGTTGGCCAGGCTGGTCTCTAACTCCTGACTTCAGGTGATCCACCTGCCTTGGCCTCCCAGAGTCCTGGGATTACAGGTGTGAGCCACCGCACCTGCCCTTCTTTAAAAACATTTTATACTATGTCAGAACCCGAATTTAAGTTCAGAAATGCTATCAAAGGAAAACCAGGCAAAATTTCACACAAGAAATTTTTATTTAATGCTTTGCTTGTTGATGCTTGTATTATAAGATGCCTGTTGTCTCTAATGCAGATCCTGATTTATTTATCCACAATGGTAAAATTGAAAATAAAAGGGGTAAAATTTTTTATATACTCATAGCAAAACTTGTAGATGATTAAAGTAGTCCTACAGATAGGATTTAAGAAATCCACTAATTTAAAAATATTCATTAGTTTCTTTTGGTCTGTATTCATGGACAAATGATTTTAAATCATTTTCTGATAAAGTGGAGCACATAAAAGTGAACAATTTTTAATGCCAAATTAAACTCAATAAGCATCTCATGCTGGAGCGAGAGAAGGATCTCACAATCCTACTGGTAATGAATGGGCTAAAAATGGTGATTGCTGGTGACAAGGCACTGGACACCGATTGCCATCCTAGAAGGGGCATTATTTTCCTTTCCTGAATGCTGCAGGGTAGGAGGAAGTGGCTGCTTCTAAGCTGTTAGCACCCATTCCACCCTAGGAGATGCACAGCAGGGGTCCTGGTGAGGGTGCACAGCCAGGGGTCATGGTTCCCCGCACAGATCCACTCATCTCCCAGTCTTTTCCAGTTCAGGCAATGGCTCAATCTTCACACAGATGTTAAGGCTGGAAGTAAATTAAGTCATCCTCTCTTCTCCCATGTGCCATATCCAATCCATAAATAAATCCTGTTGAGCATGCCCTCCAGAATATATTCTGTCTAACCGTTCTCATCACCTTCCCACTGCCACCCTGGTCAAGACAGTGTTGTCTGTCATCTGGAATGGGGCAACAGCCTCCCTGTTTGCTTCTCTGCCCCTTCTTCTACCTTTTCCTCCTTTATTAAAGTGTAATCTACATACCATATGACTCACCCATTACAAGTGTACAGATTCAAATTTAGGCCTTTTCCATCACTCCTCCCCCACCCACTACCCCCAATTCTCTCTTGCTCCTTTGATATGAATCCCCATTCCCACTCCCAGGACTAGGCAACATGGGAGGTGGAGGCTGAGATCTCTCCACTGCACTCCAGCCTGTGTGACAGAGTGAAACGCCATCTCAAAAAAAAAAAAAAAAATCTAACTATAATTGTTGAATTGTCTCTTTGTCCTTTTAATTCCATCAGTTTTTACTTCATATATTTTACGTTGTTAGTTGCATATACATTTATGATTCTTGTATCTTCCTGACATACGTCAGGGGGGCTCCTGCTATTGACCCTTTTATTATTATGAAATGTCCTTCTTTATCCTTAACGATATTATTTCTTAAATATAATTTGTCTGATATTAATATAGTCACTCTAACTCTCTTATAGTTATGTTTTACATGATGATATGGTGATATGGTTTGGCTGCGTCCCCACCCAAATCTCATCTTGAATTGCAGCTCCCATAATTCCCACACGTTGTGGGAGGGACCTGGTGGGAGGTAATTGAATCATGGGAGCAGGTCTTTCTTGTGCTGTTCTCGTGAGAATAAATCTCATGAGATCTGGTGGTTTTATAAATGGGAGTTCCTCTGCATAAGCTCTCTTTTTGCCTGCTGCCATGTAAGACGTGCCTTCGCTTCTCCTTTGCCTTCCACCATGATTGTGATTCCTCCCCAGCAATGTGGACCTATGAATCCATTAAACCTCTTTTCTTTATAAATTACCCAGTATTGGTTATGTCTTTTTTTTGTGTGCAGTGGC
Source organism: Homo sapiens (assembly GCF_000001405.40). Lineage (NCBI taxonomy): Eukaryota > Metazoa > Chordata > Mammalia > Primates > Hominidae > Homo > Homo sapiens. Next base: position 46,530,536 of record NC_000003.12, on the reverse strand, counting down.
ATAATCTCAGCTCACTGCAACCTCCGCTATCCGGGTTCAAGTAATTCTCCTGCCTCAGCCTCCCAAGTAGTTGGGATTACAGGTGTGCACCAGCACATCTGGTTAATTTTTGTATTTTTAGTAGAGACGGGGTTTTGCCATGGTGTCCAGGCTGGTCTTGAACTTCTGGGCTCAAGCAATCTGTCCACCTCAGCCTCCCAAAGTGCTAGAATTACAGGCATGAGCAACCACGCCCAGCTTGCACTGATAATTTATAGCAATATAAAATCCTGGAAGGCAGCCGCAGTGTATTATTTATCTTAACTTCTCTACGTGTGCACAGTGAATGACACATCTGAGGTGCTTCAAAATACATACTGTATTGATCTGCTTTGCATATATTCATAGAAATGCCTTTGGGGAAGAAATATCCATCTTAAAATTATTAGTTGAACTTAATTCCCACTCTTATAAAAGTAATTAGAACATTTTGTTATTCATTTCTAGTTAAGTAATTTGAAGCAAGTTACATTTGTAGATATCTCAGCAAACAAGTTTTCCAGTGTCCCAATCTGTGTCCTGCGGATGTCGAATTTGCAGTGGTTGGATATCAGCAGCAATAACCTGACCGACCTGCCGCAAGATATAGACAGGTAGCTACTTGCATTCTAAGGTGAGGTGTATGTATTAGTTACTAACGCTTCAAACACTGTTAACATTTGAAACATGTATAGTACATGAATGTTCTTTGGAATCAACTAATTTTCCAGAGTTTCCTTTCCAGGAAATCAGTTTCCGAGGAAATTATAGAATAAGACAATTTCCAGTCTGCATCATACATGTATGTGTTTACGTGCATTTGAACACCTCTTCATTGTCCTGATGAACTTTAATTTGCTTTAGTCTCCGTAGAATGGCACCATTAACTTTCCTTCACTCTACAGAAGTGGAAAAGTTAATTTATTAAGTATAGAATAGAAACATATCACTGTATGTTTAGAATATCAATGAGGACAAATTTTATTAGTTTCATTTATTGATTCGTTATACATAAACTTTCAAACAAAATTGATATGCTTAGCCAGGTTTTCAAATTATATTCTTTCAAATTAAAAATGTACATATTTTTAAATTTTTATTTTTTGTTCAGACAGGGTCTTGCTTTGTTTCCCAGGCTGGTCTCAAACTCCTGGGCACAAGCAATCCTTCTGCCTTGGCCTCTCAAAGTTCTGGGATTACAGGCATGAGCCACTGTGCCTGGCCCAAATTATATTCTTGCAGCTATTTCATGTTTTTTAAAATAAGAATTATCATGTAAGTTTCAGTCATTCACTTATATTATTAGACTCCTGTATGGCAAGCCTAGAGAACGGGATGGGTTTAAAGTGGTAAATGAAACACAATCTCTGGCATCCTGGAATCTACAATTTTTTTTTTTTTTTGAGACAGAGTCCCGTTAGCTGCCCAGGCTGGAGTGCAGTAGTGCAGTCATGGCTCACTGCAGCCTTGACTGCTTGGGCTTAAGCAATTCCCTCACCTCAGCCTCCCAGGTAGCTGGGGCCACAGATGTGTGCCATCATGCCTGGCTACTTTTTTAAAATAATTATTTGTAGAGACAAGGTCTTGCTATATTACCCAGGCTGGTCTTGAATTCCTGGACTCAAGCAATCCTCCTGCCTCAGCCTCCCAAAGTGCTGGGATTTCAGGCATGAGCCACCGTGCCTGGCCTACAATCTTTTTTATAAAGAAACACAAGCAAGCTATGATGACACAGAGGCCAGCAATGGCTTAGGCCTGAATGCCATCTTGTATGACTTTTTTTTATTCCTGGTACATGTGATGTGTATTGATGCTTTCTAGGCTTTTGAGGCTAAGAGGGAATCTTTTAGTTTGCAACATGGGAACTTTATGAAATATTTGTATGATAATCCAAAGTTTTGGAAATAAATGAAAGAAAAATTCCCAGGGGGAGGCCACTGAGTTAGAATAAAATGGAAAACAGAATAAGACATATTTGGAACATATTTTGCTCATTTACTTTTCACTCCGCAGTTGCCTTCCTGTTTTAAAGTTGGAAGACGTAATGAGAGAAGGATAATAACTGGGGTTTAAAGATATACAAGAGGAGGCTGGGCACAGTGGCTCTTGCCTGTAATACTAGCACTTTGGGAGGCCAAGGAAGGAGGATTGCTTAAAGCTAGGAGTTCAAGACAAGGCTAGGCCACATAGTGAGACCCCGTCTTTCTCATTAAAAAAAAAAAAAAGTGTACCAAAGGAAGTACATTGCTAAAATCTGTTTATTCTCATTTCAATTCTAGTATGATTGCCTTCCCATGCTCTGTTAACCCTTGTAAATGCAGTAGACTCTCGGAAGGGACATACTGATGTTTGAGGCTCCATCATGGCCTAGTGTGTATTGTGCAGTATGCTTATCCCGCTGCTATAGCTGTGTCTTCAACTGGTGATTAAGTCAGTAAAAACTTCCAAAAAATCACGTCACCTGGCATGACTTTAGTTACTTAAAACTTAGGCAGAGCATAGTGGCTTATGCCTGTAATCTCAACACTTTGGGAGGCTGAGGTGGGCAGACTGCTTGAGCCCAGGAGTTCAAGACCAGCCTGGGCACTATGGCAAGACCCTCTGTCTCTACAAAAAATAATTAGCCGGGCATGATGGCGTGTGCCTGTAGTCCTAGTTACTCAGGAAGGAGTCTGAGGTGGGAGGATCATTTGAGCCCAGGAAGTTGAGGCTGCAGTGAGCCGAGATTGTACCACTGCACTCCAACCTGGGCAACATAATAACACCTTGTCTCAAAAAAAAAAACGAAGAACAAAACTTAGAATAAGTTGGTTCTCATAAAGGTCACATGTATAAAATAAAGTAGGGACTTCCTGTTAGAATTTATTTGTAATTCATGTTGGTTTTCTTAGCTATGATGCTAAGTCCAGTGCTATGATTGTTTTTACCTCTTCTTAGGCTAGAGGAGCTGCAGAGCTTTCTCTTGTATAAAAACAAGTTGACCTACCTTCCCTATTCCATGCTGAACCTGAAGAAGCTCACTCTGTTAGTCGTCAGTGGGGACCATTTGGTGGAGCTCCCAACTGCCCTTTGTGACTCATCCACACCTTTAAAGTGAGTAGCCCGGAAATCCCAGTAGACACACTCAGACACAGGTAAGGAGTGAGAAGTACCAGAGCCTGGGCAGCTGTCTCAAGACCCGGATTAGATGGCTCTCGTACTCTGAGAACCTGATCCCAACTCACAGAAGTTCTGGTGACTTTTTACAGGATTTTGGAGTTTGTGGCATATGACACGAGGAAGAGGCATAGGGTTCAGAGGATTTCTGCACAAATGCATGCTGGTTGATGGTGTTGCGGGACATATGTCCAGGGCCTGTGATCTCTTGCTCAGTGCTCACATCGCTGCTGGCCTGGAGGGGTCAGCAGATGTTGAAAGGACCCTCCCTGGTTGCTTCACCCTTCTTTAGGTTTCCTTAAGTGAACCTATAAACCACCCACAACTAAGAAAAACCATCCATGCAAATGTACTCCAAACAGCCTCCAATCTGGGGATGTGGAAGTGGAATTGAAAAGTCCTGGCTCCGCCCTCCCCTGAAATGACTCCAAGGCAGCTGATGGCTCCCTGGCAGCACATCCTCCCAGAATCTGGAGCTTTGGGGTTGCCCCATTAATTCTACCTGAGACCATTTTTGTCCATCCCTAGCGGTTTGGGCCCTCCCCACATTATTCACACGAGGCTGCTCTATTAAGAGCCACCTTCTCTCTGTCCAGAGACCTATTGGCCTTGAGCACCAGGTGGCTGTTAACGCAACCACTAGCGAGAATATTTCCCCAGGACTCCTAGTTCTTCAGTGGTAAGTGCTTACTATCAGCAGAGTTCAATCTTGTCTTCCTGTCCTTGCAATAAATGCATGGCAAACAAATAAAGAGGTTTGACTGCTGGAAAGAAAGAGAACAACTCCATATCTGTATAAGCACAAAATAAACAGGGTGTAAGACATCTCACGCATGCCCTACTCTGCTCCTTCCACTAGAATAGGTCTTCCACTGTGCTTGGCTGTGTGTGGAATATTGTTTGAATAAGAAGAGGACCACTGGTGAGAGGGGTAGCAGGACTCCTCCCTAGAGCCCCTTCCACATCCAGCCCCTGGAAGCAGGCTTGGCAGCTTCATGTCTCATAGCAGTCAGGGTAAACCTGTCACCTAACTAAAGTAATTTCAAATGATATAATTGTAGGACTCAGAAATCTAAGAGAGTCAGATGGAAGCTCTTTGAATTATTGAAATTTCAATAAAAAGAATAGATACAGGTTTGCATAAATATTTAATAGCTTACTGATTCTTAGAAATAACCTGTAGAAGTTCAAGACCAGCCTGGCCAACAAGGTGAAACCCCGTCTCTACTAAAAATACAAAAAATTAACTGGGCACAGTGACGGGCACCTGTAATCCCCGCTACTCAGGAGGCTGAGGCAGGAGAATCGCTTGAAACCGGGAGGCGGAATTTGCAATAAGCCGAGGTTGCGCCACTGCACTACAGCCTGGCGACAGAGCTAGACTCCATCAAAAAAAGAAAAAAAAAGAAACAAGAAAAAAAGGAAATAACCTGTAGAAAAATAGTGGAAGAAATGATGACATTAATAATAATAACCAAAAATCTAAAATATCTAGGAAAACCTCTAGTGAAAATAGTCCTCTTACATGAATAGTATTAAACAGTCTTCCCAAAAAATAATAAAGAAGTCTTGAATATTTGAAAAAGGTATAATGTATCTTTTCTGGGTGAAAAGGCGGTAAAGATGTGATTTCTTCCAAAAATTATACTTAAGTGTAATATAATTCCAATCATAACTCTAATGGAATTTCTTTTTTGGAGCTTGAAAAATGCATTTGACAGTATATGTGGAAGGACAAAGCTAAGGACAGTAATAATAATTTTAGAAAACAAGAGTAGTGTGACAGAACTTGCCTTATCAAGGATTATAGTGTGGCCAGGCACAGTGGCTCATGCCTGTAACCTAACCCTTTGTGAGGGTGAGGCAGGAGGATTGCTTTAGCTCAGGAGTTCGAGATCGGTGTGGGTAACATAGCGAGATACTGTCTCTACAAAAAATTAAGAAATTAGCCAGGCATGGTGATATGCCCCTGTAGTCCTAGGTACTTGGGAGGCTGAGGCAGGAGGATTGCTTGAGCCCAGGAGTTCGATGTTACAGTGAGTCATGATTTCACTGCTGCATTCCAACCTGAGCAACACAGCAAGACCCTGTCTAAAAAAAAGAAAAAAAGGCCTGGCATGGTGGCATGTGCCTGTAGTCCCAGCTACCTGGGTGGCTGAGGTGCAAGGGTCGCTTGAGCTTGGGAGGTCGAGGCTGCAGTGAGCCATGATTGTGTACCACTGCACTGCAGCCTGGATGATAGAGCAAGACTCTATCTAAAAAAAAAAAAAAAAAAAGAAAAAAAAAGAATTACAGTACATTTAGAAGGGGTGACCTCAAAATGATGCAATGCTGGGCAATGATTTATAGGTGAGTTATTGGAAGAGAATAGGTAGTCCTGAAATCAATGCTAATACATGATATAGGAATTTTCATAAGCAACTGGGGAAAGTATGAATGACTTCATATGGTATGAAGAAACTGGCTAGTGATAAAGCCTGTTCTTCACTTTATAGCATAAGAAATCTTGGAGTACTACATCGCTATATATGCCATATATAGTTAATATCACAAATATATGGTATACATAGCATATAGAAAGAAAACTAGACCAAGAGACAAGTTAAATATAAAAAGAAAGTTATTAAAAGAATAAGAAATGCCATGTTAATCATGATGGCTTGATCCCTTTTAACACTTATACACTTATCCTTTATAACAGCCTATTAAAATGAAAGAAAAAATTTAAAATATGAGAAATCTCAACATTTTTATGAGATACATCAAGTAGACAGAATAGCAGTCATTGATGAAAGTAAGGTGGAACAAACCAAATCCCAGAGAACAAGCCGAGGAGCGCACCGCTCTGTCCTGAAGATGTTGGTGGCCAGAAATTTCGGTACAGGGAGGTGTAGACAGAAATATGGTGCTTAAAACAAGAGGAAAAACGGAAGAATTTTTATATCAACAGGCACCCCCCAACCTCCTCCTTAATTACAATGGGCAGACCACTCTGTACCAGCAGTCCAGGCTCCAGACCAAAAGCCTGAGATTTTCTCTAAGGTAGCCTGGAGAAAAGACCCCAGAGTTCTGTGTTTGGCGACTGCCCTGAGGACCTGCTAGCCCTGTGCTTGAGTGATCACCCACAGTGAGGCCGGTACCTTGGCCAGCACTGCCTACATACTCAGGGGACCAGCCAAATTCTGCTGTCTCATTCTCAGATATGAAGGCATTACCAAGCCTTACCAGATGGTTGTCACAAAAACGTAAATATTATTTATTGATTTTCAATTTTAGAATCAAACTGCAGGCAAAAGAAAAGTGAGATGTGATTACACAAAAATGTAAATATTATTTATTGATTTTCAATTTTAGAATCAAGCTGCAGGCAAAAGAAAAGTGAGATGTGATTACACATCAGAATGTGTATAGTATTAACCTTAACAAAGTAAAAGTACACAATGTCTGTGATTGTGCTTTGAGATACATCAAAAAAAATGAGATGTCCGACGTGTGGTTAGATGGGTGGATAGATGTGTGAACAGATGGGTGGGTAGATGGGTGGATAGATGGGTGGACAGATGGGTGGATGGATGGTTGGATAAATGGGTGGATAAATGGGTGGATAGATGGATGGATAGATGGATGGATAGATGGGTAGATGGATGGGTAGATGGATGGGTGGATGGATGGGTGGATAGATGGGTGGATAGTTGGGCAGATAGGTGTGTGGACAGATGAGTGGATATGTGTTAAAGCAAGTATAGCAAAATGTTAAACATGGAATCTAGGGGATTGTACATGGGTGTTCACTATGAACTTTTTTCTACTTTTGTGAATATTTAAGAATTTTCATAATAAAATGTTTAAAAAGTAAAATAGTAGGTAAAAATTTGGAAGTGGGAAGGTTGGGAAACTGGAAAGAAGGGGAGAAATACCACCACTTGATTGAATGACAGGAAAGTATTTGTCCTAAGGTAAAAGGTATTTTAAATAGATTAAGGAAAAACAGTGATAGACCAATGAAAAAAGATTGCTTCTGGGATCTGAAGAGTAATTAAAGGGAGGGTGAGAGACTATTGCTTCACAAAGAAGCACGATTACATTCTGCAGGTTTAAAAATGTGTACAATGATTACTTGATTAAAAATGTTAAGAATGATAAAATGTAGGTATATTTCTTATTTTTGAATAGGGAAGGATGATAAACATTAACTCAATGAAAAAATTATAAAGGAAAAGTTGAATGGTTCTATCTACATTAAACATTACAACTTTTAAACTCTCTCCATGTTCAGACATTAAATAAAATTAAAAGGAAAATGAAGTGGGAAATATATATATATAATAAAACAACACTCGTGGCTCATATCTTCCATATATACAGCTCTCATCTATAATCCAATGAGAACACGCTAACATCTCAAGACAGCAGGGCCTGCAATTGCAACCAAAAACTATTTAAGAGATTTACTGTTTTGAATTGAAATAATTACAATATTTTTCACATCAATACATCTTTGAAAATTGTGAAGACAGAAGATCAAATACCATTTGGGTTTCCCCCCTTTAGCTTGTGTGTGTGTGTGTGTGTGTGTGTGTGTGTGTGTGTGTGTGTGTGTGTTAGCAGTAGTTCATCTTTTATTTAATTTTATTCTTATATTTTCAGAGATGGGATCTCTCTCATTCTATTGCCCAGGCTAGAGTGCAGTAGTGTCGTCATAGCTCACTGGAGCCTTGACTTCCTGGGACTAAACCATCTTCTTGCCTCAGCCTGCCGAGTAGCTGGGATTACAGGCATGTGCCACCACACTCAGCTAATCTTTTATATTTCTTGTAGAGATGGAGTCTCTCTATGTTGCCCAGGCTGGTCTCCAACTCCTGGCCTCAAGCATATCCTCCTGCCTTGGCTTCCTAAAATGCTGAGATTATAGGCATGAGCCTCTGTTCCTGTCCTATCGTTTGTTTATTTATTTATTTATTTATTTATTTATTTATTTATTTATTTTTGAGATTGAGTCTCGCTCTGTTGCCCAGACTAGAGTGCCATGGCGGGATTTCAGCTCACTGCAACCTCTGCCTCCTGGGTTCAAGCAATTCTCCTGCCTCAGCCTCCTGAGTAGCTGGGATTATAGGCGCCTGCCACCACACCCAGCTAATTTTTGTATTTTTAGTAGAGACAGGGTTTCACCATGTTGTTTAGGCTGGTCTTGAACTCCTGACCTCAGGTGATCCACCCGCCTCAGCCTCCCAAAGTGCTGGGATTACAGGAGTGAGCCACTGTGCCCAGCCATGTCCTATCTTTTAAATACACATTTTGTGGGGATTTTCCTTGAGTCCTTTGTAATTTGGACACGTCATTTTAAAGTTGGATGTCCCTTACTGGGAGTAACATCAAACATTGCATGACGACATGCAGCTGTGAGGATCTGCCTGAGAGGAGGTGTTAGTGTCCACTCCATGGCCTCCTGTACTCTCTGCCTATGACTAGGGAGCTCTCATTTCCCCATCAGGCCTCTGAAAAGTCTATACTTTAAAACTGGCTCTATATTACTGTTGGATTATTCCACACTGGAATTCCACTGGTGATGCTGATATCATGTGGTCAAATGTGACTTTTAAAGGTAAGCCAGAACTTGGGATAACAGAGGTTATTTTATGTGAGGAATTTTGCAGTTTAAAACGCACAGGTGATAATGTGATACTTCCCATGCTTTCTCGAATAGATTTGTAAGCCTTATGGACAATCCTATTGATAATGCCCAATGTGAAGATGGCAATGAAATAATGGAAAGTGAACGGGATCGCCAACATTTTGATAAAGAAGTTATGAAAGCCTATATTGAAGACCTTAAAGAAAGAGGTGGGTTACTCATATTTAAAATTATTTAAAATTAGTGTACAGACGTCCACTTATGTAATACATTTGTTAATAGAAGTCAAATTGACAAAAAGTTTATTGGTTGAGGGGCACGTTACTTCGTAAATTATTTTTCCATTTACCCTCCAACACACTCCAAATGATACATTTCCTTAAAATATCAAATTGTGCTAGTCCATTTGAATGCTTGATGAATCATCCACTGTTTGACAGAGAGGCTGGGAAACGTGCACTTAAAATGTTAGGGTTGCGTTACTAACCATACGTGAGTTTTTAACTAAACGATATTGACAAAATAGTATCCTAAGTTACTAGAAAAATAAGATGTCGTTTCAAAATCCGTTTACATTCAACTTTTGAAAAAGTTATCTCACATAAATCAAGAACACATATAAAAATCACAAAAGGGAAAGCACAGGATGGCCAATTTGCGCATAGATGCATTTAGTTTTGGTTCCCATAGGGTGGTGAGAATACAGAGGGGCGAGGGGGGTCAAGTACCTCAGGAAAGGGTGGGAAGGCTTTTTCCCAGCGCCAGATTCCGGCGGCTGTTTCCAAAGGAGTGGAGAGATCCTAATGGTGTTCTGGAAGCCTTAAGCCCTTCCTTCCATCACAAGACAGCTTCCCCAGGAAAAAGGCATACATCAGTCTTTGGTCTTCTAATCACTGCCTCCTTTCTGGGTGTGGATGCCTGAGAGTCATTCCTTAATTTTTCAGTTCTTTGATGAGCTAGGTGCAGACCTGGCAGGAAGAGAGTTGTCCCACAAGTGGATTTAGGGAGGAAGCGCACTGGCCCTGGGCCTCTGATGATGAGCATCTGTGGGCAGGCTCCCTCAGCCACCCTCAGAAAATGGCATGCGTGAGCATGCCCCTCCCTCATCAGTAGATGTCTGAAGACGATTAGTCACATTCAGATAGTCAGAAATGATGAAAAGTGTCATTTATTGGGCAAATTAAAAATTGTTTCAGCTAAACTAAAATTTCTATATGGTTACTTTTAATCTTTTTGGATATCCCTAATTTTGAATTCTGAACTAATATGAAATAAATTAGAAATTTATCGTAAATGTGAAACTGAAATTACAGAGCCATTTATTTGTCAAAATTTACCTTTGGGTTCTATGGTTTTCCTCTTGTGAGAGCCTTTAGTGTTCCATTTTATTCATTTATTTATTCGTAATTATATTGTAGTGCTATTATGTAAAACTCCAAGAAAGAAAGAAAATAGGTGTTAAGTTCTGGATCTATGTGGCCAGCAATAATAATTTGCTTTTAAAATTAATCAATTTAAATAAAATAAATATATTTATCTATTATAAAATATCATTTAATAAATATATTATTTAATATTAATTTTATCGATAATATATTATTAGTTATTATTTACTTAAATAAATTAATTTGTTTTAAAATAATTTGCTTTTAAAAATTAACTTTAGAGATGATAGATTTTTAATTTGTTTACTTATTTCTAAATAATAATAATTTTATTCTGTATATATTCATATGTATTAGATTGAACACATGATATTGCTAATATTCAGCTGGTTTTGTCCTACAGAAATGACACTTTTTAATGTTTCGACCTAGATATGGTCAGGCATGTGCTCTGAATTTTAAAAAATTTGCTCGTTTTCTTTTCTTTATCATGGTGTCTTCCCTGTTTTCCTTCTTTCCCCATCAGACCAATGTCTGAGTGAAAAAATAGTAGATTTAATCTGCCCACAAGGGCCTACAACTTTGTGTGATTCAAGAAGGATAAGGATGTGAAGCCCTCACTGGTCCTCAAGCTTTAGTGAACATAGGAATGAGAGTTTTTACTCATCAGGCCTGGGGCAGGGCCTGAGAAAGTACACTTCTGACCAGCTCGCTGGTGATGTTGATGCCTTGTGTCTGAGAAGTACACTTTGAGAGCCATTGGTATAGACCATCCTTTGACAAAACTTTGGCTGTGAAGGGAGAGAGAAGAGGGGTCAGCAACTAGTGGGAAGAGCCAGGCTGAGAGAAGGTTTACTTTCAAAGATGGTGTATGGTTTAGGAACAGCCCAAACTTCTCTTATAAACGGTACCCTCTGCCACCTACTAGCCACAGTCCCAAGTCCGTGACCATCTATTTCTATTTTGTCAACTATTAATACTGTAGGGTCATATAGCTTCCAAGATCTTGATGTAGCTGTGAGTTGGCTGGAAAGATGGCAAAAGAATGAAAGTTAACGATTCTTAGATCTAAACATTTCTAAAGTTTGACTGCACATTTGTGATGACTTACTTAATGGTGACAAATGCATTATTTATCACCTATACAGTATCTCTATACTTAAAACATGAAGTGACAATAATGGGTGTATTGACATACATTCATTATGTATGTCATAGCACGTAGCTAGATTTCATAATAAAATGGTGAATGATTGAGCATACTTTTTTCTTTCTGTTACAGAATCTGTTCCCAGCTATACCACCAAAGTGTCTTTTAGCCTTCAACTTTGATATCCATCAGAAGACTGCAAATCTCACTATTCTCTGGAGCTATATATAAATCTTTGTTATGATCATGTCATATAGGAAGAATGGCTTGTGCTTAAGGACAAAGTCTAGAAACCACTATCATAGTTGCTAAAAAAAATGGTTTTCAAATGTCAAATACATGAGTATCTCCCTCCATGGACTGGAGAATTGAAAAATTGGTTTGTATATTGATATTTCCAGGTTCATTTGCATATACTTTTTTCCAAATAATGCACATTTAATATGTTTTAAAATGTCTTATTTTTAAGAATTATAACTAAAAGACCAAATACTGAAGTTAAGTGCATTGTTTTCAGGAATCAAAAGATAAAGGGGCCGGGTGTGGTGGCTCACACCTGTAATCCCAGCACTTTGGGAGGCCGAAGTGGGTGGATCACCTGAGGTCCGGAGTTCGAGGCTGGTTTGGCCAGCATGGCGAAACCCCATCTCTACTAAAAATACAAAAAATTAGCTGGGCATGGTGGCAGTTGCCTGTAATCCTAGCTACTCAGGAGGCTGAGGCAGGAGAATCGCTTGAACCTGGGAGGTGGAGTTGCAGTGAGCCGAGATCATGCGACTGCACTCCAGCCTGGGTGACAGAGCCAGACTCTGTCTCAAAAAAAAAAAAAAAGAAAAGAAAAAGATAAAGGGATTGTGAAAAGAGCATTTATATTGGACTAATCAGATGAGAGTGTTTTGTTATTTTGAAAGAGTTTCTTTTACTGAGAATAATCTTCCTTGAGTTTATATAAACTGCTATTTCCATATGTTTTAAGTTATATTTTGGCAAGTGTAGACTCCCAGGAGAGACTTGTAGGTACAATCTAGGCCTTGAAGAAACAAAGGCTGGAATATCTGCCCATGCTTTGGGCATGAGATGCTCAGATGGTGCGTGGGTAGATCTAGTTGAGGAAGTGTGGGCCTGGCTGTTCATGGGAAGTCTTCAGTGGCCTTCATGGATGGCCATCCAGTCCTGAGTGGTCACCCTGGGGGTCCTGGGACACACCTCAGTAAAGAGCAAAGGCAACGCCCTCAGGGTCCCTTCCTCCAAGATGGCCATGTAGGGTAATGGAGATGACCAGTCCACACTGATAAGGAGTTCCTAGCAAGGCTTCCTTGTGGGTACCACAGGACAACTCTGCCCATAGCAAAGATGCTTCAGTCCAGAGGGAGCCCATGGGCTGTTTGAATTTGGGAGAGGTGGGATTCATTACAAGACTTTGGGCTCTTATGTCACATCACATGATTTGGAGAAATTAGACACAATCTCTTATTTTTATACCACTGTCTTGGGCTAAAATAAACAGGTTGTGGCTGATGGTGTTGAAGATAAATAAGCTTAAACAAATAACTTTGGCCGGGCACGGTGGCTCACACCTATAATCCCAGCACTATGGGAGGCTGAGGCAAGCAGGTTGTTTGAGCCCAGGAATTTGAGAACAGGATTTTGAGAACAGCTTGGACATCATGACGAAACCCCATCTCCACAAAAAAATTCAAAAAATTAGCCAGGTGTGGTGGCATGTGCCTGTGGTCCCAGCTACTCAGGAGGCTGAGGTGGGAAAATCACTTGAGCCCAGGAGGTCGAGGCTGCAGTGTGCTGTGATTGTGACACTGCCCTCCAGCCTGGGTGACAGAGTGAGACCCTGTCTCAAAAGCAAAACAAACAGCAATAACAATATTATTATTGTTATAACTAAAAAAAAAAAAACAAAAACAAGCAGCTTTTGTGACTAAGAAGGAAAATATGCATATAGTGGCATATTTTTATATGAATCATCTCCTCTGTGGTCTTGCCCAGTACCATCCAGTGGAGCTTTCTGCAGTGACGGAAATGTTCTGTATTTGCGTTGTCCAACGTGGTAAACCAGACACATGTGATTCTTGAGCACTTGAACAATGACTGATGTGATTGAAGAACCCATCTTTCAATTCAATTAAATTTAAATAGCCACATTTAACTCCAGCCTTGGGTTTGACCTGATGGAAAATTCCCATGAGAGAGTGCTCCAAACCGTTCCAAGGTGGGGCCAGTTGCGATTCTAAAGGAAGAAGCACTAAATGGCAGGGTGATCAGTCCAAAGCATTTATGAGGGGAGCTTACATACAGCATGGGCTGCAGCGTCCTTGTGATGGGCAGTGAGACAAGGGATGTTCTACCTGGGCATGTCCCCAGCGAGGGGGTTGGGGGATGGAGTTCACATGAAGATGTAAGGAATTTGGGTGGGGGCTGGGCTGGCTTCTACATGTTTAGCAACACGGCTGATCTTTCAGTGTTTCCAGCAACAACCTAAGCACCGTTATCAGTGCCTAGGAATGTTCAAGGCCCAGGCTGGGGTTCAGACCTGCAGAGGAAAACATCAGCTGGCTGGGTCAAGGCACCATGTGTTACTTGGTCAGGACAGAGACAAAAATGAGGAAAACTAGGGGACCCCACACACATGTGGCTACCATACTCCTGAACAGGTCTAGCTAGTTATTTGTTTTTTTGGAAGTTAATCTGGGGTAGAAATGTATGGTGATTTTTATTTTCTCTGTCTGAAGAACCAGCCATTTTTAAAAAGGTTATTATTGACATCCCAATATTTTGTCTTGGTGGGCTTACTCATAAGTCCAAACATTTTATTCTCAACAGGTGTAAAACAGGCAGAGCATTCTAAAACCACATGGTAGTGCTTTGGTGGAGGACTGCTTCCACTTAGAAACAAACTCTGAGAAGTAGGCTAAGAGAAGACAAGAGGGCCGGGCGCGGTGACTCACGCCTATAATCCCAGCACTTTGGGAGGCCGAGATGGGTGAATCATGAGGTCAGGAGTTCGAGACCAGCCTAAACAACATAGTGAAACCCTGTCTCTATTAAAAATGCAAAAAATTAGCCGGGCGTGGTGGGCACCCGTAATCCCAGCTACTCAGGAGGCTGAGGCAGGAGAATTGCTTGAACCCAGGAAGCAGAGGTTGCAGTAAGCTGAGATCCCACCATTGCACTCCAGCCTGGGCAACAGAGTGAGACTCCATCTCAAAAAAAAAAAAAAAAAAAAAAAAAGAGAGAGAGATGAAAAGAGTAGGAAAATGAGAAATCACCTTCGTTGAATCTTAAATAGTTACATTTTTTTCTTTTTAACACTAAAAATACAATTCAAATTTATTAGCTCTACTACTTGAATGATTTTGGAATTTTATGTCATGCTAAGGTATGTGTTACATATGGCCAAGTGGAAAATATATCTGAAGAGGGGCTTTCATACAAATAGACTGTTCATAATTTATGTAAATTTTATTTTAATAAAATCAGTTTTTTGTTTAAAAACCTTGTTTCACTGTCACATATGAAAAAAATACTGCATTGATATATAATTATTTCATGTTACATAATAACCCAAAACAAATAATTACTTGAATATGTTTGTAGAGATACTATTTAATTTATTCATATAAATGTGCAGAAAGATTCCAAAGGAGAATATATATCTTGTGAAAATATGGAGATTTGAAAATTTGACATGATGCAAATAGACTGATACATAATTTGGAAAGGTTATTTACATGGCAGAATACATGTATGAATATTAAAGTAATATGAATGAAAGAATAAAATATTCTTAGAAGAAAAATGTTCTGGTTCTAAAAGCTTTTTATTAAACCTATTTTTTGTATGTTGGAAGTGTAGGGGGGAAAAGATTTTTTTTGCTCGTCTGTTGCTAGGTTCATGGCTGAGACTCCTGTAACAAAAGATGGATTAAGAAGTGAAAATAGCATACAAATATATTTAATATAAGTTTTATGCAATATGGGAGCCTTCAAAAATGAAGGCCCAAAGAAACAGGTAAATTTGTGTTTTTTTTTTTTTTGAGACAGAGTCTCGCTCTGTTACCCAGGCTGGAGTGTGGTGGTATAATCTTGGCTCACTGTAACCTCCACCTCTCGGGCTGAAGCGATTCTTCCACCTCAGCCTCCTGAGTAACTGGGATTACAGGTGTGCGCCACCACGCCCAGCTAATTTTTGTATTTTTAGTAGAGATGGGGTTTCACCATGTTGGCCAGGCTGGTCTTGAACTCCTGACCTCAAGTGATCCTCCCGCTTTGGCCTCCCAAATTGCTGGGATTACAGGCATGAGCCACTGTGCCTGGACAACTAGTGCATTTTTTAATACTAGGTTTGATAATGAAGTGCATAGTTGTGGAAAAATATGATTGGAGGACAACACGGTGTGATCTAATAGCAATACGCTGGGGGAAACTTAACAAGGCCTGTCAGTTCAATTCTTCTTGGTGTCCCTGTGTCTTTGAGGATAAGGATGTTCCTATAATTCAGATACAGGCAGGATACCTCTGGAAGGGGGGGTCTTATGACCGACTGCAGGGAGGAAGGTCAGATAATTCTGTTATGGCCTACTTCAGGGGTGAAGGCTGAGAGGAAAGTCAGAGATACCTTCCTGCTTCTGCAGTTTTCTCAAATGCCAAGGCGCCATATTTTGGGATAGAATGTAATGAAGCCCATCAGAAGTGAAGGGGAAAAGGCACTTAGGTGAAATCCTTAAGTAGTGTATTGTAATTAATAGCAAGACTCACATCTGGTTTCTTGACTGTAGCTTTAATTTTATTTCCACTAGAATCTCTTTTAAATTTATTGATGGTTCTAGCCACCCTCCCCACCCACATGTTTCCTTGTTTGGGGTGTAATGGATCATGGAGCTAGTAAGCTATAAAGTAGTGAATTAAATCCTTACTACCGTATTCCTCCCAATTTGAATTGTGGAAGAATACAGCAGTCTTTTTTGTACAGAAAGAGACAAAAGGTCATTTTAATTTTAATAACTGGATATGGTAGGAGATGGTTCCTTCTTACTTTCTCACTTTTCTGTAGAAAAACCCAGCAAGCTTAGAGATCTCTAAGCTCCTCTGGCTTAGAGATGCCTCCTTCTGAAAGCTTGGCTGGTGTTTATCTGGGTCGTTAGAGCAGACGTTCACAAAATGGTCAGTTTTGTAAACTTTAAAAGGGAAAGGTTGAGGAAGTGGATATCCAATCCTATTGCTTACTGAGGTATGTATTCTAATTGGCTCAGAATGGATTATGTTTTCACCCAAAGACCATTCTGTATTTGAGCCAAAGTTTAGTGCTTTATAATTGTACTGAGGGTACTAATCCTTTTTAAAACGAGGATTTGGTTTTGATACATAGATGACTTATGTTTCTTACTCCAGCTTTGACCTTTAATATTGGCACCTGTTTCTGGTTTCTCCTCTATAGGGCAGCTCCACTTGGGAATCCCATTGACATCTAAAAGAAGTGTATTACAGGTGTGTTTATTTTCTTCCTCCATTTTCCAAAGTTACATGACCAATATTTTATGGGTCTTACAAATGTGTAATTCTATCTAATTTTCTTTTTGAAAAATTACCTATTTTAAAAAATCCACAGATCTTACTCATTTCTCTTTTCTTTAAAATATTTACTTGATTCTAATTTTTCCTGATTAATAAGGAGGACATTTTTTTCTAGTATCTCATCTTCCAGCTTCTCCCACACTACTTGTCAGTGGCAAGATCCGTCATCAAAGTCAGTTTAGACCACATAATAGCATTTCTTAGGATTTTGAAGGGCTTTCCAATTCTTTCTTGAGATTAAAGTTCTTGGCTGTAGTCTTCAGTGAGCTCACAAATAATCTAACTTCCATTTCTTTTATTGTTCTAATTATCCAAGTTTAAAAAATTATTGTCTAGTTTGTTTTCCTTATTTAATCGGTGCTATGATGTATAAATATTGTTTGTGATATTGCCTTGAAAGTGTGAATGTGCTTCATAAAATAGCATTTTCTAGAAATGCAAATCAAAATGACTACAAGATATCACTTCATACCCATACGTATGGCTATGTTAAAGGAAAACAAAAGCAGAAAATAACAAGTGTTTGTGAGGATGTAGAATAATTGAAACCCTTGTGCACCGTTGGTGGGGTTGTAAAATGGTGTTATCACTGTGGAAAACCATGATAGTTCCTCAAAAAAATTAAAAATAGACCTACCATATGATCCAGAAATCTCATTTCTGGGTATATACCCAAAAGGATTGAAAGAAGGGTCTCACTTAAAGTAAAATAAAAAAAAAAAAAAAAAAAAGAAGGGTCTCACTTAAAGTAAAATTAAAAAAAAAAAAAAGAAGGGTCTCAACGAGGGATATTTGCACATTCATATTCATAGCAGCTCAGTTCAAAATAGCCAAGAAGAGTAAGCAACACAGATGTTTATCAATGGATCAGTGGATGAATGGATAAACAACATGTGGAGTATTATTCAGCCTTAAGAAGGAGGGAAATTCTGACACTTACTACAACATGGATGAACCTTGAGGATGTTAAGTTAAATGAAATAAGCCAGTCACAAAAAGACTAATGCTGTGTGATTTCACTTATTTGCAGTAACTAATGTAGTCAGATTCGTAGAAACAGAAAAGTAGAATGGTGGTTGCCAGGAGCTTGGAGGAGAGGAAATAGGGAGCTGTTTGTTAATGGGTATGGAGTTTTAGTTCTGCAAGATTAAAAAGTTCTGGGGAGCTGTTTCACAACAATGTGAATCTACTTACATGACTGAACTGTGCACTTAAATATGGTTCATGATTTATGAGTTTTTTTACCACAATTTTTAAAAATTGCATTTTCTTACTTTTGTGAAATCAGATGTCAAGCCTGGCTTACAAGCACATTCTGTGTGCACTGAAGCTCTGAAACCTTGCGTTAAGTTTCAACTCTCCAGTGAGCCAAGTGAGAATACTTTAGGGCTAATTTCTCATCTTTACCTTTGTCAATTTTACTTTAAAAATCCTCTCATTATAGAACAGAGGATGGTATGTTCATTAGATAACACTGTAATTAAGGGGACATTACAACTGAGGTAATTAGAACCTTGCAGAAGCCAAATTGCTTGGGGCTGAGAGGAGACAACTGGCAGGCTGCATATTTAGTAATTTAATCTGAGAAATTAAAATAACACTCCTTCACAGAGGATTATATTAATCTTCTAAAGTTCTCACTTCTATCTCTGACGTGTCTAGTAACCAGATATTTCTTATTTGTTCAAGTGCAACTTGCTGGACCAAAGGTCCTCAATCCAGCTTGCTATCCTTCCCATCTGGGTTCTGGGGGTGGGTTTGGTGGGCGGGGTGGGGTTCCCTTTTGATTCCCCGACCTGTGCCACTATTTCCAACATTCCTACTGAATAAGAATTTAGGAAAGGGCAGTCAGAAGCTTAGATTGTGACTTAGGATGGGGCCGGGAGACAGTCCCTTTGCTTCTCAGGCAGGGAAATTAAAGAGGTATGAATTCCCTATTGCTGCTGTAACAGGACCACAAATTCAATGGTTTAAAATAACACAAATGTATTCTCGTACAATTCTGTAGGTCAGAAGTTCAACACAGTTCTCACTGGGCTAAAATCAAGGCAGGGCTGCATTCTTTTCTAGAGGCTCTTCTAGAAAATCTGTTTCCTTGCCCATCCCGGCCTCTGGAGGCAACCCCCATTCTTTTGGGCTCCTGACCTCCTTCCTTCATCTTCAAAGCCAGCAACATTGCGTCTCTCTAACTCTTCTGAAGTCACATCTCTCTGACAAAAGCCAGGAAAGATTCTCCACTTTAAGGACTCATGTGATTATACTGAGCCCAGCTGGATGATGGAGGACACTCTCCCCATCTCAAGGTCCTTCACCTTAATCACATCTGTAAAGTCCCCTGTGCCACATAAGGTTACATGTTCACAGGTTCTGGGGATTAGGACATGGGCATCATTGAACCACATCACAGAGGAATTTACTCATTTTTTCCATGTACTTATAAGGTTTTACTATTTCCATTTAAGTCTCTAATTTGTTGGAAATTTATCCTGGCATATGGCTTGAGGAATGGTTCTAATTTTATCTTTTACCATAGGGCTGTCTAATTATCCTAAAAACACTTACTAAAAAGTCTGTCTACTCTTTCTGCACAGATTTGAGATGATGCCTTTGTTGTATATTAAATATGCATATGAGTCTGTTTATCTGTTTATGGAATTTACATTTTGTTTTAACGGTCTTGAATGCCCATTTTTGGTTTCAGAATACTCAATGAAATAGAAATTGATGAGTATTTTCAAAGCCAACATTGTACCTAATGAGGAAAATTTGGAGACATCTCCTCTAAAATCCCTACTACTACTACACAATTAGAGAAGAGGAAGAAAACAGAGATATCAAAGTTAAAAAGGAGGTAAAACCCACGTTTTGCAGATGATGTGATTGCCTACCTGGGAAACCCAAGAGAATCAACTGAAACATTACTATAAAAAATAACAGAAGTCAGGAGAACAGTGGCATATAAAATAATATATGGAAGCCAAAGGCCTTTATACATAGCAATAACAGCTAGAAGATATAATGAGAAACCAATTTGTAATATAAAATATTCCTGATAAGATATATACAAAACCTACATACGAAAGACTTTAAAACACATATGAAAGACACAAAAGATGTTTACAAAGGGAATGAGGTACCATGTTCTTGGATAGGAAGATTTAGCATGATAAAGATTCCAATTTTTTCTAAATTAATATATAAATTTAATGGGATCACAATAAAACACCCTCAGCTTTTCTTGTTTTTCTTTAAATTTCTTTCTTTTTTTGTCAGGTTGATTCTAAAATACACATGGGAAAATAAAGAGCAAAATAGCCTGGGAAACCCTGAAAAGAAGAGTGAAAATTGTGAAAGCACTAGTCGGTTCTTTATCTCTTAGTAAGTTTGAGGAGATGAAACACAAGCTCAGGACTTAGTGAGACTTACGCTGGGAAGGGAAGTCTAGGAAGGTGTGAATGGTTAATTTTAGGTGTCTACTTCGCTGGTCTAAGAGATACCCAGATATTATAGCTGGTGAAACGTCATTTCTGGGTGTGTCTGTGAGGGTGTTTCCCAAAGAGGTTTACATTTGAATCAGTGGACTGAGTAAAGAAGATTGCCCTCCCCCATGTGGGTGGGCAGACAGAATAAAATGGTGGAGGAAAGGCGAATCCACCCTTCTGGAGCTGAGACATCCATCTTCTCCTGCCCTCTTGCTCTCAAATGCCAGAGCTCTCTGGCCTTTGAACTCTGGGACTTACATGTGTGGCCCCACACCTCCAGTTCTCAGGCCTTCAGACTCAGACTGAATTACACCCCTGGGTTTCTGGTTCTCCAGCTTGCAGACTGTGGGACTTTTTGGCCTCTTTAATCACATGAACCCATTTCATAGTAAATCCCTGTCACAGGTGAGTGGTGACTATCTGGGCTGGTGGTGAGGGGGTAAAAGAATTTACCAAAACATTTGTAGGTAAAGAAAGGCAGATTTATTATAGAAAGTATGAAAATACATTGCAAGAAGGCAACGGGCAGGATCAGCAGAAGAGGAGCTGACTGCAAGGAGACAAAGGCTTGCTGGAGATTTTATAGAATGGAACTTGGGCTGGTTGATAATGCCAAGGCAGCAGAGAGCTTAACTTGCATTCTTCTGTCAGCCGGAGTGTTTGATAAATTGAGGCATTTGATGGTAAGCAGGAATTTTTTGAGTTATGTACGTCATCAAGACATATGGCCATATGTCCTGCACAGATAAATCTTGTAACTAAAGGAGATAGGAGTGACTTAGGGATAAAAGACTTATCTTTATGGCCCAGGACATATGGCCATATGTCCTGGGCCATAAAAAAAGGCAGACCTATAGCTCATTTGCTTTATCTCTTTGTTTTCCCCTGGTCCCACCAGCCTGACTCCTTTTCCCTAATTAGGACTTCACATTCCCCTTATAAACCTATATACAGATGGCCCCTGACTTAGAATGGTTCAATTTATGATTATTTTTCACTTTACAATGATGCAAAAGTGATATATATTTAGTTGAAACCATACTTTAAAATGGGAATTTTGATCTTTTCCCAGCTTAGCCACAGGCAGTAAGATACTCTTCCCTATTGCTATTCTGACCATGTTAAAGTGGGCCAGGGTAGGCTAAGCTAAGCTACGATATTTGGTGGGCAGGGTGTATTAAATGCATTTTTGACTTACGATATTTCTACTTATGGTGGGTCTATCAGGACATAACCCCATCATAAGTTGAGGAGCATCTGTATATCCCAGTGGTTCTGTTTCTGCGGAGAACTCTGATTACACAGAAGGCTACTCTCAACCACATATGACATGAATTTAGGAAGTGATGTCTCAGCCCGTAAGAAGGGGAAAATCTTGTAACTGAAGGAGATAGGAGTGACTTAGGGATAAAAGACTAATCTTTAGGAGAAAACTCCTTGGGGGAATTCCTTGAAGAATAGTGACCAAATTATTTTTAAGAAAAGATCATTTCCGGCCGGGCGCGGTGGCTCACGCCTGTAATCCCAGCACTTTGGGAGGCCGAGGCGGGTGGATCATGAGGTCAGGAGATCGAGACCATCCTGGCTAACAAGGTGAAACCCCGTCTCTACTAAAAATACAAAAAATTAGCCGGGCGCGGTGGCGGGCGCTTGTAGTCCCAGCTACTCGGGAGGCTGAGGCAGGAGAATGGCGTGAACCCGGGAAGCGGAGCTTGCAGTGAGCCGAGATTGCGCCACTGCAGTCCGCAGTCCGGCCTGGGCGACAGAGCGAGACTCCGTCTCAAAAAAAAAAAAAAAAAAAAAAAAAAAAAAAGAAAAGATCATTTCCTACGTTAAACTTGAACTGTTTCTAGCCCTGTGTTACTATTAGCATATTTTGTTACTTCCATGAGTTCAAGAAAATAAGAAAACCCAACCCACTAACCAGTGTTTGGAGTCACCCAAGCAGGTCTGGTCTTCCCTAGTCACCATGTTCTCTCTGTGTTTATCAGCAAATATTAGTTGCCTTCCTCAGAACCTCACTACCAAGAATTCTGCAGGGGAGTAAACTGTCATTGGCAAGCAGGTCCCCTATCATGCCACCTGGTCTGTGAGCCTTTGGGTTTTCAGGTGGCCCAGACATGCTCCTGTATATGCCCCTTCCAGGCAGACAGGAATGTGCTCTGATGGCGGGAACACTGTGTCAGACTATGGTGTCCTCTGTTTAGTGGGGAACACAGGGCCAGGATTTTAAACCAGGGCATGGTTCTCAAAGTATGGGACCACTGGGCACTTCTGATTCTCCTACCACATTCATGGGAAAGGGGGAAGATACCAGCACAGCCCCATGTGGTGAACATCACTTATTTCACCAATACAAGTAGTTTCTGATATGTCTTATGCAAATTAACAATGACCCCTTTGCAGAAATATTTGAAACTTAGCACAGCTTTCTTGAGTGAGGATCCCAATTAGTTGCTAATGAATGCTAATTGACCACCTCTGGGATGGGGGCAACAGCCCACAGGGTATAGATGGCACAGAAACACACACACACACCCCAGTATCTATACTGAAGTGTTTAGAAGCAAATCACAATGAATGATTGGGTGTTCTGTGAAAAGGCTGTGCATGGAAAATGACCCCCAAATGACACAGGATCCAAGAAACCAAAGAAAGAGGCAGACAAATCCAGTTTGTCGGTATTGGGTGATTTTTTAGGGGGAATTTACAGATAGAAGTGTGGTCTTTTGCGGTTGCAAGACAGGCAGATCTCCGCATTGCGACCCTCCAGACCCAGGGCTTATATCTTGGGTAAAAGGTGCATGTGCTGTAGAAGGAATGTGCAGGATGCTACAGGCATCTCAGGAAACTGAGATTGGAGGAAACTTAAAATGAATATGTGTTCCTACATAAACATCCAGGAGTTCAAGACCACCCTGGGTGACAGAATGAAACCTTGTCTCTACCAAAATAATAATAATAATAATAATAATAATAATAATAATAATGTGGCTACTGAAAACATTTAAGTTACCTATGTGGCTGACATGCTCTAACTCTACTAGATAGCACTGCCAAAATGAAGGTGATGTTTATAGAAGAGGAAGGAAATTCTCTAAGTTGGCTGGCTTTGCGTTCACCTCTACTTCCATATTAGAAGACAGTAGCCTTGACTGTATGTGAGAAATTTGACAATTCTATTGAGATTTTGGAATAACAACTGCAAAATTCTTTCTGATCCTGGCCACTGCAGAGTAGCTAGGTTTGGACCCTTCCTATCACCAAAAATAGCTATAAAAGCTAGGCAAAAACAAGAAAACAAAGGATGAGATGCACTGGAGAGCAACAAGCATGGATTGGCTGTGAGGAGCTGGTCCTCTGGAGGAGGGACGCACATAAGGCAAGCCCCATGTGCCCCGGGTTTACTCGAAGACAGTTTCTGAATTGCAGCCCAGGAGATAAAGCAAAGCAAAAAGTGATTATTTCAGTTGACTGAGGAGACAGAAGTCAGAATTTGAGGCTGCCTAGGCACCTGAAATTTAAAGGCAAAATCCCAGAAAGAAGGGAATTGAAGAGAAGAGGCTCAAAATGCTGCATTCCATTTTTCTTTCATTGGCTGATTACCAAGATGTGCTGTTCTAAGGGAAAACAAAGCCAGGCTCTGGGAGGCTAAAGGCTTGCATGGGAATTTCGGCAGCCATGCAGCCCTGGGAAGTCAGAAATGGCAGTGAATGCCTAGTAGGGAGTGTGTATGGGGGTGGGAGTGGTGTTGGTAAACACCCGTGGCTTCCAGGCGAGACCACAGAAAACCTCA
Organism: Homo sapiens; assembly: GCF_000001405.40. Taxonomy (NCBI): domain Eukaryota; kingdom Metazoa; phylum Chordata; class Mammalia; order Primates; family Hominidae; genus Homo; species Homo sapiens. Next base: position 46,506,332 of record NC_000003.12, on the reverse strand, counting down.
GCCTGGGATTGACGGTCTCCCCAGCACGGGCTACACAGCCTATGAGTAAGCGCAAAGGTGAAGTATGCCCCAGCTTCAGGTAGGTCCCAACGATGTCTAAAACCAAGCCAAATTGTCCAGCCTGCCGCTCTCACCCCTCTCCAAGCACAGGGACCCTCCTCCAGTTCGCCCTGGCCCTTGCCCGGCTTGCTCTGCAGTGCTGCCTGTCCCGGAGCCAGCACTCTATATGCTAATTACCACAGTGGTGATGTCTTCTAAGGCAAGGCCCACCTGTGGTCATTTTTTCCTGACTTGTTTATCAAGTTTCGGTCACTCATTCTTCCACATGAATTAAACACACATCTTTTTCAGTTTCAGAAACAGTGTGTCCTTTGCCAAAGAGTGAGCTAGGATCACCCATGAATACACATGAGGAGAGAAACGGCAAATGGGTAAAGTGGAAAACACCATTTTCATTTCTAAGCTGTTCATGGCCAAATGGCATGCAGAGAGCCCAGCAGTGCTCAGTCCAGATGTGGCAGGCTCATTCACCATGCAGCCCTTCTTTCAGCTCACACAGCTGTGCAGAGGCTCCTCCCTGGGTTAGGAAGCAGGGAAAGGTGAGGAGAACCGGGCCCTGCCTCAGACACTCCTGGTTCACTAGGAAGCCAGTCAGCACTAGAACTGGGTGGAATAGAACAGGGGCTACGTAGAAGGACAACCAGCACTAGTGGAATGAAACCCTCACCAGAGGGATGACAGGAGGCACCGCAGGGATACTGTCACTTCAGTAGGGAATTAAAAGATGGACATGGTCTCATGAGTAGCTAAGAAGAGGCAGAGGGAATTTGTGAGCAAAAGCCTAGGAGTGGGAAAGATAAATTAGCCAAGGCATGGTTGTAGGTGTGGTTTGAGGGGACAGGTGGGAGATGTGAACTGCCAGAATGACATTCCAGAAGGACAATGTGAGGATGCAATGTGCCCTAGAGGGAGCACTAGGATGCAGGCAAGGCACAACTCCAGTCGATGGAGGGGGGCAGATGGGGAGAGGATGGGGATGGGGTGAGTGAAAAGAAGTTATTGGCTGTAAGTGACTATTACACTAATTTCCATTGCATAAATGGAAGGATTCACATTTCTAGTTTTTTTAAAAAAAGGTGTGAGAAGGAGTCTTAAAATTAATGTCATTAATCAAGACAGAGCATGTTCAAAAGACTGCTTTGGTTTCAGAGTCCTGGTGATATGGTTTGAAAGTGTCCCCACCCAAATTTCGTCTTGAATTGTATTTCTCATAATCCCCACGAGTCATGGGAGGGGCCCACTGGGAGGTAATTGAATCATGGGGGCGGTTACCCTCATGCTATTCTTGTGATAGTTAGTGGGTTCTCACGAGATCTGATGGTTTTATAAGGGACTTTCCCCGCTTTGCTTGGCACTCATTCTCTCTTTTGCCACTCTGTGAAGAGGTGCCTTCTGCCATGATTGTGTTCCTGAGGCCTCTCCAGCCATGTGGAACTGTGAGTCAATTAAACCTCTTTTCTTTATAAATTACCCAGTCTTGGGTATTTCTTCATAGCAGCGTGAGAATGGACTAATACACCTGGTAAGAATCTGTCCACAGACTTCCACATTTGCTCCTTTAGAATGGGAGTCCTCAGTATTTCTTTTTTATTATTTTTATTATTTTTGTGATCATCCAGCCCAAAATGTCAGTCTCAATGTTTTTGTTGTTGTTGTTGTTGTTATTGTTGTTTGTCTTTTTTGTTTTGTTTTATTTTGAGACGGAGTCTCTCTCTGTCGCCCAGGCTGGAGTGCAGTGGCGTGATCTCGGCTCACCAAAAGCTCCACCTCCCAGGTTCACACCGTTCTCCTGCCTCAGCCTCCCGTGTAGCTGGGACTACAGGTGCCCGCCATCATGCCTGGCTAATTTTTTTTTTTTGTATTTTTAGTAGAGACGGGGTTTCACTGTGTTAGCCAGGATGGTCTCGATCTCCCGACCTCGTGATCCTCCCGCCTCGGCCTCCCAAAATGCTGGGATTACAGGCATGAGCCACCAAGCCTGGCCTCAGTCCCAGTGTTTTTGATTGGACAATGGGGTTAAAAAAAATTGAGCATGCATTCCAAATGTGTGTGTATTTGTTATTCATGCATCCTCTGCATACTTATGCATACCATTATTCTAATATATTTGCATACATTATAAAAACATACCATAAGAAATAATAAACTTTAAAGAAAAACTAAACAGGATATCTCTCCCTCCTCAGTGGTGCATCCTGCCTTACCCCTCAGTCACAGGTGGCCCCAGGGAGACCACTCCCTGAGAACCCATGTTTTCAGCCTAACTGGCTCCTTCCTCAGCAGACTCACACTGTGGCAGTCTCCCCTCATCTCCACCAGTTTTGTTTCTCAATATTACTTTGCTCATCTCAAAGGTTACCTAGATTTAAGGGCCCTCTTAAATTCTCCCTTTTGACTATTTCTTTTCTTTCAGCCTCTCTCTCTGTGCTCCTCCCACTGACTCTCAACTTCAGGGAAAGGGGGAGGGTGCAGGGGAGAAAATCTGGAATAGAAGTCCTAGAAGCTTCTGGCCTTGGGCTCTGAGCAGCTGTGGACAATGCCCCAGCCACTGTGGGTATTCCGAGGATGAAGAGCAGCTGTTTATGTGGAAGGGTGCTAGGAACGTGCTATATTTTGAATATTTGACCTTTTAAACTTCATGATGAAATTGGACCCCCAGTGTTAGAGGTGGGGCCTAATGGGAAATGTTTGGATTATGGGGACGAATCCTTCATGAATGGCTTGGTGCCATCCTTGGTGTAATGAGTGAGTTCTAGCTCTTAGTTCCTGCCAGAGTCAGTTGTTAGAACCCGGCACCACCCCGCACCTCTCTTGCTTCCTCTTTCCCCATGTGATCCCTACTTGTGCTGGCTCTCCTTCACCTGTCATGAGCAGACACAGCCTGAGGCCCTCACTCGAAGCAGATGCTAGTGCCATGCTACTTGTACACTCTGCAGAACTGTGAATGAAACAAGCCTCTTTTCTTTGTAAATTACCCAGACTCAGCTATTCCTTTACAGCAACGTAAACAGACTTAGACAGTATGCCTGTGCAGGGAAGGGCCCATAAGCCAATGCTGGTCTCTCATCTGCTTAAGCTTGACAAACATAATTCCAGGATCTATTTGGAACACCCTCTACTGTCACCCAGGCCTACCCACTCTGGAAACAGATATTTATCAACATAAATACCAGCTTGCATTACCATCCCTTATCTGGCAAAGCCAGGGCAGGCTTGGTACTCTCTTCCCTTCCCCTAGGGGGTGGCTTTGTCATGACCCTCCATACACTCACCTCAGTCTTCCAACCCAGAGGCCACTCTCCTTGGAACAGGGTCAATTCCCAGCCTAGACACTCACTGTCAACTCTTTCTGAATACTGCACTGGGCCCTCGTGTGTTGCTGGGAGGAGGCCATCTCTGGCCTTTGTATACTGGGAGATAGTGGGAGCTCAGGGAGGGGTGTGGGTCTCCTTTCACTTTCCTGCTGACCTGCTGGAGGCCTTAGGTCAAATTTTAATTTGCACAGGAGCAATACCAGTATTCATCCGGTTCAGGTCATGCCCCAAGCCCACCACTTGGACACCCCCTTCCTCTTCCCTGCAGACACTAGGCAGCAGCTGTCACTGGTCAGACAATATATTTGTGAGCAGGTGTATGTATGTCAGAGGGTAATTTTTTTTTTTTTTTTGAGACAGAGTCTCACTCTGTCACCCAGGCTGGAGTGCAGTGGTGCAATCTTGGCTCACTGCAACCTCTGCCTCCTGGGTTCAAGTGATTCTTGTGCCTCAGCCTCCCAGTAGCTGGAATTATAGGTGCATGTCACCACATGTTTGTATTTTTAGTAGAGATGGAGTTTCGCCATGTTGGCCAGGCTGGTCTTGAGCTCCTGAGCTCAGGTGGTCTGCCCAACTTGGCCTCCCAAAGTGCTGGAATTACAGGCGTGAGCCACCAGACTTCAATTACTTCTTTAGAAATTAGGCATTCCCTTAGCAGTGATAGATTTTTATGGTTATCTGGAATATTTAAAATCAGAACTTTCTATCTAGCCAGGTAACGTGCCCCCTTACATCCATCTTTCAACGGAAGTTTTATAAAGTCAATCCTTTGTTCGATTTTACTAAGAAAAATCTCAGCTTTGGTTCAGTCACTGGGAGGACATGGTCTAAGGAGCAAATAGTTTCTGAGACTCTGTCCTCTGAACATGAAAAATTCTGGTTAGCTAGTAGGAATCCCAGAGCTCCAAGCTGACAGCCCTCACGTGAGCCTTGTGGGTGAGAACTCCACATGTGGACCGCATGTGTTAGTAAAACAGAGTCATTCACAGTTCAAAGCCATTTGAGAATGCACAGGTCAGCCCCATTATTCGTGGAGTCTATTTGTGATTTTGCCTGCCTGCTGAAATCTATTAGTAACCCCCAAATCAGTACTCATGGTGTGTTTGTGGTCATTCACAGACATGTGCAGAGCAGGGGAAATTGGAGTCACCAGCACCTGTGTTCCCAACTGAGCCAGAGCAGGGCTTGTGTGTTCCCTGCCTGTTTGTTCCAGCTTTTGTACTATAAACAAGCGTCCATCTCCTGATCTATTTTGCCATGCGTTTCACATTTTTGTGCTTCTGTCAGTGATTTTGCTGTTTCAAACGGCCCTTGAGCATAGTGCAGAGTGCTGTCTGGTGTTCCTAAGAGTGAGAAGGCTATGATATGCCTTATGGAGAGAATATGAGAATATGTGTGTTAGAGAAGCTTCCTTCAGGCCTGGGTCATGATGCTATTGGCTGTGAGTTCCCCGTTAATCAACAATTTATACTAATTACATTATCTTTAAAAAGGAAACACCCGGTGGCACATCCTGCCTTTCCCCCTCAGCAGCATACACACCTCCCTCCATGGGGACAACTGTTTGAGAACCCAGGTTTTCATCCTGATGCTTTTGCCCTCACAGTCTGACCTCAGAGGGTCTGTGCAAAATTCCCTGGTGAGGGGGCCCACAGGCTTCACAAGATTTCCAAATGGTTTATGAATCATAGACACTTCAGACTCAGTTCTCTTGAGAGTGAACACAATTGTGAAGGCCTTTTTAAAAAATACTGAAGTGAAAGTCACATAACAAATTTAACCATTGAAAGTGGACAGTTCAATGACATTTAGTGCATTGACACTGTTGTGCAACCGCACCTCTATCTCAGTCCAAAACATTCTCATCACACCTCTCTCCTCCACAAAAAAAACCCATCAGGATTAAGTAGTTGCTTCCCATCTCCCACTATCTCTAGGCCCTGCTAGCAGTTCATCTAATAGATTTGCCTATTCTGGACCTTTCACATAAATGAAATCATACAACATATGACTTTTTGTATCTGATTTTTTTTCTGACTTAGCTTCATGTTTCCAAGGCTCATATAGCAGTTTTTACAACAATCACCACGATAACAATGAGAATGACACAACAGCAGAAAATGCTTAAGTTCCTACAGATGTGGTTTTGGCATGCGTAGGAATAGACATTCTCTCCTGAGGCCCAGGGCTTAACTACCTCCTCCACCTTGTAAATGGAGTGTACTCTTGGGGTCTGAGATGGGGGGAGGCTTGTAACCTGTATGGGCCCAGCACAGAAGCCCTGCAGACATGCCTCACAGTTGTCACTATTGTGTGGCCCTTCAAGAGAGATGTCCTTGATCATAGGAACCTCCTCTATCAACTGAAATCTTCCTCTATAGCATTTCTTCAGAATTCGGAACACCAGGTTTTTCAGGATCCTTGAGATGTTCTCTTGTGTGAACTCAGGGTCCTCAAACAGAGGTTGGGGGCACTTCTTACATCTCTGGGTAAACACCCTCATCTTCACCTGGCCCCTGGACTTCTCCTCACTCCAGTTCATGTGGAAAAGGACCAGAACTTGGGCAGAGGCCCAGTTACGAGAGCAGGAGGAGCACTGGAACCTGTGGAGACAGAAGAGAGTCTCAGCCTGGCTCCATGTGACCAAATCACGGGGAACTGCCAGAGAGAGAAAGGAGCTACCGACTGCACAGAGACATGACTTGACTGGGGCTGTGGCTCAGTGGTGGAAGAAATTGCTAAGACCTCTTTCCCATCTCCATTGTGCCACTGACACACTGCATGCTGCACAGTGTCTGCTATGAAAACAGTGAATTGCAAGCTGTTAGATCTGGGAGGGACCTTGGGCATCTTCTAAGTCCAACACGTCCATTTTAGAGATGAGGCACACTCTGGAAACTCCTCATGTCCAGAGACCCAGTGGGTGTAAAAAGGCATGACTGGGACTGTGGTCTCCCTATTCCAAAGCAAAGCTTCTTCAAATGTAGATTCAAATGGGTCAGAGGCCACAACTGCAACAGCAGCCAGTTCAGTTCAGGACCCTGAAATCCACAAATGCCTATAGGTGGGTGTTGATTAAGTTATAGACTCATGGGTTGGCGGTGGGAGCCTGAAGTGTCCAGGGTTCTCCTAGAGGAAAGCCTTTGCCTTTCTCTTGGCTGCCGAGGGTCCCTGGTCTGCGGTATTGCAGGGAGATCACAGTGTCCAGCTCTCTCTTCATTTGTTTCCCCTCCAACCCAGTTCCCTTGCTCAAGGTAGCCTGGAAAACTTCATATTCTGAATGCCACTGGCTTCAGACAGGATACAAGATAATACACCTTGTCTCAGCAGGGAGGAGGGCAGTTTTTGAGCTAAGGTATCTGGACAAATACATGTCAGGAGGTAGAGAGAGAAGAAGGCAGGAAGCACATGGCTGCACCTGGGAAAGGAATTATGGGAGAGGCAGAGAGCTGCACTGTGGCGGAGACATTTAATGCTCACCAAATTATCCATGCACTCCCTCCCACTTCCCAGCCCCTTTGCCGTGAGGCTGGGGCCATGGGACCAGTTGGGCAATGAGATGAGGCCAGCAGTGATATATGTTCCTTCCAGATATGGTCACAGAAGCCTTGGTAAGACATTCCAGCTCTCTCCTCCTCTGCTTCGGTGACCTTGGGAGCCACGTGTAAGGTTAAATCAGTGATATTTCCAGGTTTATTTGTCACTGTGGCTGAGCCCCCGATGCCTGGATACAGAGAAATTAGGCTGCAGGTGGTGAATTGGAGGGGGCTGGGAAGAGGGAGTTAGTCCAGGGTGTGCTCCTGTATCTTGACTCTAGCCGCAACCCACAGGGTGAATGCAAGGTTGAAATGAGAGGGAGAGGCCAAGAAGCTGTGATCACTGTGAGAGGACCTTGCTGGGAGTCACCCAGAGTCAGCAGTGCAGAGGGGCCTGGGCCCTGTTCTGAGCAGAAGTCCACTGCCATCCCCTGGGTCTCAGTGCTCTGTTCCTGTGCTTGTTCAGAGTTCAAACTTCCCATGGATAAATGGACTGAGACTTTGGTGCAATGCTCCCTATGGCAGCTCCTGGCCTGGGATAGCCATAGGCCAGTGGGAGAGCTCTGCCCCCTCTATGTAGACTCTCCCTGGGAGGGGACAGCGGGTGGGACCCGGCCTCCACCCTCTGTGCACTGTGGGCAATCAGCCCCAAGCCTTGGGGCTCCCCATTTCCACCTGGGAAAGAGAGGATGAGGCTTAGGATGATTTCTAAGACTCCTATTTTAAAAAGATTCTATCAGCTCAGAGTAGAGAGGGGCAGGATTGCTGCCTGTTGCCCAGGCCCCCTGCTCCTCCGGCCTCCCCCGAGGGTGTCTGCTCAGTGCCGTGAGTCTCTCCTCCTAGGGGCTCCAAGGTGGGTCCAGCAGTCTCCCTAGGCATGGGGCACATGCACCGCCCGTGGGTGCAACAGCTGCCCTTCCTCCCCTCCCCTTTCCTGGCTGCTCCCTCTCCCCACCCCCACAGACTGATTTCTCTGTATCCAGGCATTAGCTCACAAGGGTGCTCAGGCCTGCTCTTGCTTTGGGGTTCATTGTAATAGTGAAAAAACGATCTTTAATGAAGTTACAACTTCTTGGATGATGGGCATCTTATTACCCATAGTCTTCAATTTGAAAGCACAGAATAGAACAAGAAAAGTAACAGGTATACCTAGTAAGAAATGTGCAAGAATTTTCTGGAACGTGTACCATCACATTCCCCCTCACCTGGCGAAGGTCCACTGCTGGTATTGCATCCAGCCTGGCTTCAGGACGTTGGGAAGAAGGCCCTTGTCTGGTCTCAGGGTCCACCTGTGCCATGGCTTCACCTCCCGCATTAACTCCTGAAACATTTGCTTCCACACTTCTGTGTCCCCAGCCATCTCTGGGGCTATGGTGTGCCTGGGTGGGTCGAGCTCTCCTGGGCCCTGGCAGGTCTGTAGTGGGAGATGAGGTTTCTGACTTCAGAGGGCAAGGACTCAGACCTGCCCTCCCTTTGAGGACCTGGATTGGGCCCATGAACCATGTCTCTGCCCCAAGGACAAAGGTCAGTTGGCTCCAAGTTCAGAGGATGGCACTAGGCTCCACAAGGAATTTCAAAAGACACAGAACTTGTGATTTTATTCATCAAAATGTTGCCAAAGAAGAGCTCTAAACTCCAAATCAGGAGGAGTGAATTTCAGTCTGGCTCCGCTGTCTACCTGCCTGTGACCTGGAACACATCTTTTCACTTCCAGCACCACTGTAAACGGTGGAGACAGGCTACAGGTGTTCTTTCCAGTTCTAACATTGGAAAATCCTTCTCCATCAGGCTGCTGTGCTCATGCTGGGGAGGAGAGGCACAGGGAAGAAGGATGAAGTGGTCCTGGGACCTCAGCGGGATTCGGATTCCCATGTCCTTGCTCCATGCTCTTTACGTTCCGGCAGACAGCCAAGGCTGCCCACCCATGAGAAACCAAAGCTGATGCAATCACTGTTTGCCCAGGCGACAGGTACAAGGGCACAGGTCGGTGAGAGGCCATTAGCCCTAGGCAAACCCAGAGTCACTGCCCTCCTTCCTGAGGGGGTTCTCCATCCTCTGCTTCCTGCAAGAGAGGATTGAGGAGGAAGAGGGGAGATTAGGGAGTGGGTACTGGAGTGGGCAACACTCCAGGAAGGTGCACAAGACTCTGGGTGTCCGCATCCCAAGACCCGTCCACAAACTGCATGTGTCTTCCTCGGGGCCAGGCACTGACCTATGTCCCTGGCCACCTCCCAAGAGGAGGAGAGGAAGGAAGGGAGCAGAGCAGGAAGGAAAAAGGAAAGGAGGCTGGGGATGCAGGGGGATGAGGAGGTCTTCCAGGGCAGTTGGAAACAAAGCCACCTCCTTCCTCCTCTCCAGCCCAGCTGCCTGCAGCTCTTGCCCTTGGGTTTAGCTCCTCGGCAGGCTCAAGTCCTGGGTCTCCCCTCTTTCCAAGCCAGTTTTGTTTCTCAGCATTAGAGCTGTCCCTCAGTTCCAGGTGGATTGGTTCCAGCGCCCCCTGCAGATAGCAAAATCCTCAGATGCTCAGGTCCCTTATACAAAATGACATAGTATTTGCATATAATCTATGCACATCCTTCTGTATACTTTAATTGATCTCTAGATTACTTATAATACCTAATACAATGTAAATGCTATGTAAATAGTTGTTACACTTTATTGATTTTAAACTGCTAACTAAAAATAAGTTCCTAAGCCCCCAAACCAACTGAATGGACTAGCTTTTGGCCAAGGGGACCCCTGAGAAACCTGAAAAACTAAATTCCCAGCTATGACAGGAGGGGAGGTTGGAAACACCTTATCATACTCCCTCCCTTTGACTTTAGGGACAACTCACCAGCATCAAGGTTAAAACAGAGATCATAAGACTGACAAAATAGACTGCTTGTTGCAATCAGATAACCAATTTATAAACAAGACCTAAGGCTATGCATGGTAAAAGTTATGCCCTACAAACCATAATATCTCATTAAAGGGAGTTTTATTAACCTGGTATAATGGAGCTACTTTCCAACCTGACTCTGGTATAGCATCGCATGACAGAGAGCAGACTCCCTTGACTTTGGCATTCCTTTTGCTGACTTCATCTGTATACAAGGCTTAAGTCATTGCTACATCCCGAAAGAGATGTCCACCTTTGAATGTGACCACATTTGGAAAAAGGGTTTCTGCAGATGTAATTAAGTGAAAGATCTAGAGATGAGGTCAGTTTCATGAAATTTAAAGTTTCTTTTGATGGCGGGACACACCACAATGACACGAAGATAGATAAAAGGCAGAACTATTTGTTAGTTATACCTCCAAACAAGGCAAGGCTGCCAGGCAGGCCCACAGAGGGTGCCTGGGGGCAGAGCAACAGCCAGCTGGAGCTGTGAGGGACAGTTTATGGGTAGGAAGTTGGGGAGTTGCGTGGGGCTAGCTAGGTTTCATGGGCTCCCTGTGGATTGGCTCATTTAAATAATTCTGAGTGCTCCAGGGCATAGGGACTGCCTCTAGTTGTCTAGTACTATTACAGACAAAGCTGGTTTCCCCACAAATGGGATCTTTTCCTGTTTAGTGCTGCAAAGCCAATATGCAAAACCAAAAGTGAATCTTAAGCAGCACAAGTTTTATTCAATGGCCATGGAATTGAGAAGCGGGAGCTTGGCTCACAAATCAACTTCTCAACTAGTGAGGGAAGAAGGATTTCTCTCTTTTTTTTTTATTTTATTTTTATTTATTTATTTATTTATTTATTTATTTTTTGTTGATCATTCTTGGGTGTTTCTCACAGAGGGGGATTTGGCAGGGTCATAGGACAATAGTGGAGGGAAGGTCAGCAGATAAACAAGTGAACAAAGGTCTCTGGTTTTCCTAGGCAGAGGACCCTGCGGCCTTCCGCAGTGTTTGTGTCCCTGGGTACTTGAGATTAGGGAGTGGTGACGACTCTTAAAGAGCATGCTGCCTTCAAGCATCTGTTTAACAAAGCACATCTTGCACCGCCCTTAATCCATTTAACCCTGAGTGGACACAGCACATGTTTCAGAGAGCACAGGGTTGGGGGTAAGGTCACAGATCAACAGGATCCCAAGGCAGAAGAATTTTTCTTAGTATAGAACAAAATGAAAAGTCTCCCATGTCTACTTCTTTCTACACAGACACGGCAACCATCCGATTTCTCAATCTTTTCCCCACCTTTCCCCCCTTTCTATTCCACAAAGCCGCGATTGTCATCCTGGCCCGTTCTCAATGAGCTGTTGGGCACACCTCCCAGACGGGGTGGTGGCCGGGCAGAGGGGCTCCTCACTTCCCAGTAGGGGCGGCCGGGCAGAGGCGCCCCTCACCTCCCAGACGGGGCGGCTGGCCGGGCGGGGGGCTGACTCCCCCACCTCCCTCCCGGACGGGGCGGCTGGTCGGGCGGGGGGCTGACCCCCCCCACCTCCCTCCCGGACGGGGCGGATGGCCGGGCGGGGGGCTGACCCCCCACCTCCCTCCCAGACGGGGCGGCTGGCCGGGCAGAGGGGCTCCTCACTTCCCAGTAGGGGCAGCCGGGCAGAGGCGCCCCTCACCTCCCGGACGGGGCGGCTGGCCGGGCGGGGGGCTGACCCCCCCCACCTCCCTCCCAGACGGGGCGGCTGGCCGGGCGGGGGCCTGACCCCCCCACCTCCCTCCCGGACGGGGTAGCTGCCGGGCGGAGACGCTCCTCACTTCCCAGACGGTGTGGCTGCCGGGCGGAGAGGCTCCTCACTTCTCAGACGGGGCGGTTGCCAGGCAGAGGGTCTCCTCACTTCTCAGATGGGGTGGCCGGGCAGAGACGCTCCTCACCTCCCAGACGGGGTCGCGGCAGGGTAGAGGCGCTCCTCACATCCCAGACGGGGCGGCGGGGCAGAGGCACTCCCCACATCTCAGACGATGGGCGGCCGGGCAGAGACGCTCTTCACTTCCTAGATGGGATGGTGGCCGGGAAGAGGCGCTCCTCACTTCCTAGATGGGATGGCGGCCGGACGGAGACGCTCCTCACTTCCCAGACTGGGCAGCCAGGCAGAGGGGCTCCTCACATCCCAGACGATGGGCGGCCAGGCAGAGACGCTCCTCACTTCCCAGACGGGGTGGCGGCCGGGCAGAGGATGCAATCTCGGCACTTTGGGAGGCCAAGGCAGGCGGCTGGGAGGTGGAGGTTGTAGCGAGCCGAGATCATGCCACTGCACTCCAGCCGGGGCACCATTGAGCACTGAGTGAACGAGACTCCGTCTGCAATCCCGGCACCTCGGGAGGCCGAGGCTGGCGGATCACTCGCGGTTAGGAGCTGGAGACCGGCCAGGCCAACACAGCGAAACCCCGTCTCCACCAAAAAAAATACGAAAACCAGTCAGGTGTGGCAGCGCGTGCCTGCAATTGCAGGCACTCGGCAAGCTGAGGCAGGAGAATCAGGCAGGGAGGTTGCAGTGAGCCGAGATGGCAGCAGTACAGTCCAGCTTCGGCTCGGCATGAGAGGGAGACCGTGGAAACAGAGGGAGAGGGAGACCGTGGGGAGACGGGGGAGACCGTGGGGAGACGGGAGAGGGAGAGGGAGAGGGAGAGGGAGAGGGAGAGGGAGAGGGAGAGGGAGAGCTGGATTTCAAAGCTTCATCCATGCTGAGCTGCAAGGGGAATGGACAGAACTGGAAACTGGGGCAGACTGGAGTTGCCAGCCTAGGCTGGGCTGTGAGCTCCATGGAGCAGATGCCGGGCCATCCTGTCCCGGCTCTAAGCCCAGCCCCAGGCCAGGGCTGGCACCTGGTAGGCTCTTCATGAGTGCTTCCTGAATGAATGCTGCAGAATCAATTTTTTGTATTTTTAGTAGAGACGGGGTTTCACCGTGTTGGCCAGGATGATCTCGATCTCCTGACCTTGTGATCCGCCCGCCTCAGCCTCCCAAAGTCTAGTTTTTGGTTTTTGTATTTTTAGTAGAGATGGGGTTTTACCATGTTCAAGAAGGATTTCTCTAATGAAGGGGTTGAACATTAGAAATGAGGGGAGGAATATTCAGGTCTTTTCTGGAGATGGGTGGCGAACTTCTTGGAAATGGAGTGCTGCTTTCCTTTTTGTCCTTTTATGGCCTCTTTTGGTCATGGTCATGGCGATTGTCAACTGCCATGGTGCTTGTGGGAGGGTCATTTAGCATGGAAATGACATTATAATAAAGCCTCAGATCTTTCTGAAGTCATTTGATTGTCTATCTTGGTTCTAACCAGTCTTAGTTGGTCTGGTTACAAAGGGAAATTTGTATCACAGGTGTCCTATTTCTTAAAGATAAGCAGAGGTAGAATGGGGTAGAAATTCAGCTATGTCACAGAGGCATTACACCAGGTATCATTTCCTGGCCTTGGGGTTACTAGGGCAGGTGCACAGTGATCAGGAGTGTGACGGCCAGATAACAAACGTGGTTGGAGTGTGGACTGACTCCTCTTTAGCCAGGGCCTCAAACATCATTAAAAAACAAAACTAAGCTATATTGCAAGACTGTCCTGGATTTGGGGTAGGCCTTAAACCCAGTGACAGGTATCTCTATAAGGGAGCGGCAGAGTGAGATTTGAGACACAGAGACCTAGGGGAAAGCCATGTGGAGACATGAGTTAAGCTGGCACAAGCCAAGGAACACCTGAAGCCCACAGAAGCTGGAAGAGGCAAGAAAGGATTCTCTCTAGACCAGCCTTTATAGGAGGCATGGCCCTGCTCACACTTTGATTTTGGTCTTCTAGCCTCCAGAATTATGAGAGAATTCATTTGTATTAAGGCGTCCAGCTTGTGGTATTTTGCATGGAAGCCTTAAGAAATGATACACCTGCGTTTAAACCCTCCTTGACTTCCCAGCTGTCCTGAGGGTTGGAGCCACCTGCCTGCTCTCTACAACAGGTACAAGAATAGGAAGCAACTGCAGCTATACTTGTGCTAGTGTGGACTTTCCTTTTCCTACCTGCCACCACTTCCTTGGGTTCAGGTCCTCACTATTTGACTGGACAATTTTGGTTTATATCCCCGAGTATTGTCTTTCAAAAATCATCCTTTACAGAGCGCCAAAGAGCCTTTTAAAAATTCAAATGCCACCCCCTGGCTAAGCTGGCCTCCTTGCTCTTCCTTTCACAGAATAACCTGGAGCATGGCTCATTCTGTCAGCTCCTCTGGGCCTCCTCTTGAATTATTAGGGAGGCCTTCCTTAAATTCCCTCAATAAAGTGGCAACTCTCTCCCTCTCCTTCCACACTCTCTTTCTTTCTCACTATTCTGTTTTTCCACAATTGTTCATTTTTTAATCACCTCTTGACATAGCCTTGGTTTCTAGGAAACTGCCAGTCTTGACATAGAAAAGCAGGGAATTTTTGCTCATCTGAACAGTGCCTGGATATTCAGTAATTATTTGAATGAATGTTGAATGAATTCTGTCCCAAATTCTGTTAACTCTATAGAACTATCCCAGTCTGGGGTTCCAGGGGTGGGAGGAGGGAGGACGGGGATGGTCTTGCAATTGCTCTTATTACAGTTTTTATGAGGGCAACTGTCCACAGTTTTCTGGATCTATGCATTCTCTGGGGAATCCTCCATTTCCTCTCTGATAACTTACCACTTTTTCTGTTGGGGCTTGCTGGTGTGTCATCATCTCAGACCTAATGACACTTAAATAATTCCCTCTTTTAGTTTCCCAACTGTAAGAGCCTTTGGGTCAAGGTAAGCCTCTTTTCCCTTTCAAATGTGGCCAGCCTACCCTCTGTGATCTTATTCTCCAAAGAAATTGCTCTCTCGGTCAAGTTTAACGAAAATGCTTTCCACTATTTTTCTTTCCTTTTACACTGTCCCTGTGCTGAATGCAAGATCAAAAGTTTTACCAGCCAGTTTAGTTCCTCCTTGAAGCTGAGATGTGATTCCTAAGAACAGAATTTTCCAGGGCTGGTACTTTTAAAAGTTTCCTTTGAACGACTGGTTTTATGATTCAACTGAGAATTTTTAACTGCAACCCAATGAGAAGACTTGCCCTCCATGTTCTAAAAGTTCTCATTTCTGATGACCTGTTCATTGGCTGAAATACACCACTTCCCTGAGATAAAATTCGCAGCCTGCGCCAGGGCTTATGTAAACCAACAATCCAGAATCAATATGAGACCATGTGAGTTTGGAAGTCTGTGGATGGCTACAGGAAATCCCTCCTTGCCCAGCAGTCGGGGCAGCTCAGGCAGCGGCACCTACTGAACCTAGACCAGATATCCACGTGTGCTCCCAGGCTGCAGAGGTTCCTAACTGGCAGAGCTCCTGGGGCCTGCTCTTGCCACGAAAATGGAAAACCTCCAAAGTGGGCAGTGGCCCTCGCTGCTCCTGGTCCTTCTGTCTTCTGGAACTTTTTTGTCACTTGTGTGTTTCGAATTTGTTTTTTTTTTTTCATAATTCTGTTGTCAATGGCATAAAAAAGGCATACATAAAAATGATTATTATTTTTATTACGTGGTTTTGGTCTACACAGCCTCCTCCCAACCCTGTGGCAGGAAACATGAAACGCCTTCAAAGGGGTGTTGGAAGAGCCTGCTGACCAAATACCAAATGTTTATAAGCCTGTGGAGCAACAGGGACAAATATAGCTGCCACTCTTAGAAATTAGTACAGCCACTTTGGGAAACAGTTTGGGATTAAAGATACACATGCCCTGTTCAGCAATTCTACTTGTATGTATACCATCCAGATAAACATTTGCACGTATAGTATACTGATATGTATTAGAATACTTATAGAAATACAATTTTAAAATAGAAACAACTGGAACACTCCTCTCTCCTCCCAGTGAACAGATAAAACCTTTTGTTAGAGTCATCCAGTGGAATTCTATGCGGCAGTGAAAATGAATGAACTAGAGTAGGGTTTGGTCACCTTTGGCCCACAACCAAATCTGGCCCATCACGAGTTTCTGTGTGGCTCAAGAACTAAGAATGACTCATAAAGATGGATATTTGAAGTAGATAAAAAATAGTCACTTTGATATTTTCCCCAAAAGAATTTCATTATTCTAGATCTGTATTACAAAACAATTGATTTGATTATTATTATTTTATTATAATATTACATTTTGAATTTCATCAACAAAGTTTTGTGGTAATTTGTCTTCCTTCTTATACCTAGATAAGGACCTACATAATATCTTTGATTTGCCTCTTGGTCCACAAAGCCTAAAATATTTATTATCTGGCTCTTTACAGAAAGAGGTTTGCCATTCCCTAAACTAGAGCTACATAGATCAACATGGGCTTATCTCACAATCATGGCATTGAGTAAAGAATTCAAGCTGCTGGAGCTTCTACACAACAAAATACCTCTTACGTGAGGAACAAAACCACAATGCCATCACTTAGGAAATCATGCACTTGTAGTTAAGAACATAAAGAAATTTATAAACATAAAGGAGGGTGGATGAGAGGTCCTGTGGCTGTGCTGGGGTTGTGAGCTACCCTGGCTATGGTAGTATTTCCAGTTCAGGCTTGAGAGAGTGAGTGCTACCTACCCTTCTAAATGCTGCAAAGAGTATCACTGAGCAAAGGATGCCATGATCAGCACAGGGAACAGAGAACACACTGGACTCAAAGGAGAGAAAGTGAATTTGTAACTTTGGGTTCCTTTAAGCCTGGTTTTCTTGTGATCCCCGCTCTCTTACTGTTGAAGCTGTGGCCAACCTGTTCCTGAGACCAGCCTGCCTCAGGTCCCTGCCTGAGTAGCTCTGCCTGTGGGGCAGTGGAGAGTATGTCTCACGTCCCTGGACCAGGTGACCCATGGTTAGTGGCTCCCAGGCCAAGCTCCAGGTGAACGTTCAAGGCTGGGGTTTGACAGTGGGATGCTAACCAGCCCCGCTGCTCCTGCCACCAGCCCAGGGGCACAGGGCACGAACCAGAACCTGCATTTCTCATCCCACTGGCCTTGGTCCCCAAGGTGCTGCAGTAATTGAGCTGCTTTTTAAATTAGGACACATTCCTCTGGGGCCAAGGCTGGTCTTCTTTCCCAGAGGGAGTGATCCTAGGACAGGAGAGGAGTTAATGAAGAAACTGCATTGTATCCTCGTGCTGAGGGAGTGCACCCTGGGAAGGACAAGCTTGGAAGGGTTCAGACTTCTTGGAGGTGCAGTCAGCACACCTGCTAG
Organism: Homo sapiens; assembly: GCF_000001405.40. NCBI lineage: Eukaryota > Metazoa > Chordata > Mammalia > Primates > Hominidae > Homo > Homo sapiens. Next base: position 46,489,294 of record NC_000003.12, on the reverse strand, counting down.
CAGAGGACTCTCACCGGTTTGGTCAGGCTGGCGCTGGCCAGGAATTTGTTGGGCAGGCAACAGGCCACTGTCTGTAAGCCGACAAAGGAGCAGGGGATCGGGAACCAGTGACATGGGCATACAGTGGGGACAGGAGGCCTTTTGAGCGCCTGAGCCACTGGAGGCTTGCAGGAAGTGCTGCAGCTCAGCATGGAACCTTCGGGGCCACAGGGCAGGCGGGAGCTTGGAGAGGAAGTCTGGGCGCCAGCACGGACAGCAGGCCTGCAGAGCACACAGGCTGCTCGGAGACTCCGAGGTCTGTGTTGAGAGGGCTGCAGAAAAGGTCATCGCCACACCCAGGCTGCAGGTGCAGCAGACCGCAGTCCTCACACCCGGACCGCCCTCCCGTGGCCCTCACTGGAAATGGCAGGAGCGCCCCTTCCTCCTGCAACGTCCCTCCACCGCCCTCTACCGAGCAATCTTGCCGAGCTCACTGAAGGAGAGAGATGCTTGGAGAAGTCCACGTCAGCGCATATGCTATATTGAAGGACGCGTTCGGAGCTGGGAGACAATGCATAAAAAGCATATAAACTTTATTACAAATTCATTATATAACCGCACCAGTGGGGGCTGGGGGAGAGAAGGGACTGGCCTAAATAACATTGGAAGATAATATTTTGCCTGGAAATTATTAGGCTAAAGATGAAAGGTACTATGAACAATGTACTCTAATTGATAAATATATATATATATATATATATATATATATATATATATATATATATTTATTTATTTTTGAGACAGAGTCTTGCTCTGTCTCCCAGGCTGGAGTGCAATGGCGCGATCTCGGCTCACCGCAATCTCCGACTCCCTGGTTTAAGCGATTCTCCTGCCTAAGCCTCCCAAGTAGCTTGGATTACAGGCAATGCCACCATGACCAGCTAATTTTTGCAATTTTGGTAGAGATGGGGTTTCACCATGTTGGCCAGGATGGTCTCGATCTCCTGACCTCATGATCGTCCCGCCTCGGCCTCCCAAAGTGCTGGGATTACAGGCATGAGTCACTGTGCCCGGTCGATAAATTTATTTTACATAAGGGTACCCAGGTTAAGGATTCTGAAACAGCTTCATGGGTGTACTGGGGATGAGCAAATAAGTAAATACATGAGAGAAGGTGGGCCAGGTTGTTCACACTGTGGGAGAGGAAAGTTACAATTAACAAGAAAGGAAGGCTGGAATGAATCCTGGAGATGGGATTACAGTTGGAGACATCAGTACGATGCTCAGTATATACACAGATGGATAGATACAGAAACAATGTGGATATGTGTATATCTAATAATTTAGTATGTATGCATATATTACCTGGCTCAGTCAGCTGAGAGGGCCTAGAGGCAATGACACCCCAGTGCTCACATCTTGGTTTCTAAATACCTTTCTCCAATAAAAGAAGCAAAGGCTCCTTGGAGAAATGACTGATAAAATACAAGAGCCTGGAGCATCTTGTAGCACCAGAAAGAAAGGAAGTACTCAAAAACAAAAAGGGTGGGAACACATCAGAGGGACACAGGAACCAACCTGAAGGAGCTCCCAATGGCCAATGCTGGAACGATGTGAACAACAAAATAACTAACATAGTATTGTATTGTGTTATAACCCAAAGTATTAAATATAAGTGAGGCTATTCTGATATAAATGATTGAATAAATAGAGTACAAAGACGAATCTTTTTTTTTTTTTAACAGAATTTGAAATAGCATGTTAGACAGTCCTCCCTCCAGGGGATGAGGCTTAGTTCAGCTGCTACCATCCTCTTTCTGGGTAGGCTAGACACTTCCAAATAACAGAGTATGGAAACGGAAAAAGAGTAACTAGTAGAGAAACCTGGTAGATACTACCTTTAACCCAGTGATGAAGGTGAGCATCACCAGTGTGGATGTAATGCACCCTCTAATAGGTTGTGATAAGAAGGGTGCTCCTCCTCTGTAGTGTGCTTCCCCCCAACCTGTAACCCCAGTCTAATCGTGAGAAAAACATGAGACAGACTTAGACTGGGGGACATTCTACAGGATGCCTGACCAGTACTCCTCAAAACTGTTGAGGTCATTAAAATTAAGGAAAAACTCAAAAACTGTCACAGCAGATCAGAGGAGGCTGGGACAAATGACAAGTAAATGCAATGTGGTATCCTGGATGGGATTCTGGAACAAAAAAGAGGACATTAATAGAAAAGTTGATGGAATCCAAATAAGGTCTGGCATTTAGTTAATAGTAACATATCAATGTCAGCTTCTTAGTTTTGACAAATATACCATAGTAACGTAAGATGGTAACAATGGGGGAAACTGGATGAGAGGTGGATGGGAAATCTCTGAACGGTCTTTGTAACTTTACTGTAAAACTATACCAAAATAAAAAGTTTATTTTAAAACATGGATGTATTGGGCAGGTAAGTTCTCCTTTGTGAGACCCAGTTTTCTTACTTGTGAAATGAGGCAAATAGTCTTCTCCGGGTCCTGCCAGGCCATGATGAAGAAATGTCTTTGTGGTCAACAGATGCACTGTGCATGTTGAGGTACGGGGGCTGGATAGTGAGGCCAAACTTGCGCCTTTACAAGGTATCTTGGTCCACCTATGTGGCTGAGCTGGACTTCTTTTGGCCCCACAGCTTTCTTTACCCCTCTCTGTGGAGAGTGGCAGTTCTGGTGTCTATCGTACCAAAGTCTTCCCAGCTGCAATTCATTCTACTGCTTTTGTTCCCTCCTCTGGGAATATATGAGTTCCCTAATGCAGCCTGGAGATCACCTCATCTTCATGGATGGAATATAGGCTTCTGAGAAACAAACTCCCCCATTCAAACCCAAAGAATGGACTCAGAGACCCCGAGAATAGCGAAAGTGAGACTTTTAATGATGGTCTTGCAAGATTGGGTGTGTGGCATGCAGGCACACCCAGCAAAGTTTCAACAAGCAATTTATACCCTAGTGCGCAGGTGCCTCCCCCGGTTCCCAATAGGCTGAGTACTATGGGGTTACAATCTTCCTGGATGTTGCCTATTGATTGTTAGTCAGGGGCTTCAGGTGTTTTGTTTGTTTGTCTGTTTGTTTTTAGGGTTGTTTTGGTGCATTTTGTTGCAGCCCACAATGCATTGCAATCCTGGTTAGCTTAGGGGCTCTTTAAGTATTTGACTTATGACCTAAGTAGCTGGGCAGGCTGATAAGAACAGACAAAGCAAGCTATTTTGCAGACTATTAAACTTTTACCTTAGACTAAACTTCGTTGGTTCAGGTGAGGGCAACCAAGTGTGGCGGAAGGGGGAGGAAAGGGGAGGCCAACAAGCAGGCCTTGGCTATCCAAGCAGGAGCCTAGTACATTCTGTTTCTTCTGCAGTTTGCTGACCTAAGCCGATTCAAGGCACTTTGTCTTGGAAATGGACCACTGTATACATTATTTCCTTCAGACCTGTCTGGGCCTTGGTCTCCAAAACCAGAAAATGGCAGCAACAATGAATGCGCCACAAACTGCTGCATATGGAGGTGAACCCTGACCCCAAGGCTTTGAAGACTTTACAGGGGTGAATGTCAACATTTGCTGGAAGCAATAAAGCTAATCAATGTGAATGGATGCTTTAAGAGTGAGTGACTGGGCACAGGCAAGGGTTAGGGTTGAGGGCCTCCTGGGGCTGGGGCACCTCCTGAAGTCTCTTCCTCAGAGGAGAGCCTGCAATTCTCCCTAGGAGCCATGTTGGGGCCTCTGCCCCTGCCCCCAGCCTTAGCCTGTGAGTTCAGCATTCCTGTGACTGCACTAAGCAAGCAGATGGTCCTCAATTCCACCAGCAGCTGTCACCGAACTGTGGGTGGACACCTGCCATACAGGGCTTCCTCTTTCCCATGCAGAAACTGCTGGCACTCCCAGAGGGAGGGAAGGTGGGAGCTCTTCTGAGGGGCCAGGAAGTTCTGGAAAACTTCCCCTCAGCCGAGCTCCCCACCTTCCCTCCCTCTGGGAGTGCCAGCAGTACCTGCATTCCCGCCCATTCTGGCTCTCCAGCAGGGAGCTCCGCCTCACTTCCCAGTGGACGGTGACGTGGCCTTCACAGCTGGCCTGAGTGAGCACAGCGGGCACTGAGGGGAACAAAGCGTGGGGGCCCTCCAGCAGCCCTTATCATCACCTGCCAGCCACCTGCCTCAGGCTGGGCAGGCTGCACCCTGGGCTTTCTGCTATTGGCTTCCCAGATCCCTGGAACTCCAGCTGGGGCCCTGGGCTGTGGTCTGACTTGATCCAGAATTTAATGAGTAGAAGGAATGGAAGAAGGCTCATTCCCCCAGCCCTGGTAGGTGCTCCCAGAGCCAGAGGAGCTGGCTCTGCTCCGAGAGCAGCCGGGTCCCAGAGAGGGTCTGTAAGCAGTGGGGCTGGCCAGGGAGGAGGCATCATCCCAGGGCCAGGCCCATACATCTTCCTTTCTTCCCCAGCAGCCCCCAAGGATGTGAAAGAATTGACCTCTCTGCCCCGAGGTGGTGGGTAGGGGCATGGGGTGAGACACACTGTACACCTTCAGGTGTTAGCACCTGCTGGGAATGTCTGACTTCATTTTTCATCTGTTTCCTTATTCCTCCTCTGGGCACTTTTAATGTTCTTGCTTCATCAAGTTTAGCTAATTTTGATTGACAACAATATGCTGGGGCCCCCAGATCATAAGGGCTCAGTTCCAGCATGGGAGGAGGGTGGATATTGGCAGAACATTCCAGGCCCTTCTTGGCACTGCCTTCCCAGCAGGGACATGCAATTTTTTAGGGGAGCAAGGGTAGGGGTGTTGTGAGGACAGCACAGCCCCTAAGGCCTGACGCTGCCTGGAGGGAACCTCAGTTTCATCTTGCCCCAAGCCTCAGTGTCCTGATCTGTGAGATGGGGATTATGGTCACAGGACCTACCTCACGGAGATGGCTGAGGATCAAGCAGTGTTCAGAGCAGCATCCTATGGTAAGTGTTCAGAAGATGTTCCCCAAAGTCTGCCAAACAACTTTGTTCTTTCTTTCCTCCCTAGTTTTTACCCTTTGCTAGCCAGAGCCCAGGCCCCAGCTCAAACACCTATGCCACTATGACTTGGGTAATCATGACTATTGTCCATTTACGAATTTCCATGCTCTTGTCTTCTCCGACCCCTCCCTTCCCTCTTCAGCCATTGACAAGGGTTGACATTTGAGGGAGGAGGCCATATTTCAAGAAAGCTTTGCTCTGTAGCCTCCAGGGGGCCTTCCAAGGGCATCTCTGGTACATCCCAAACAAGGACAGCACCTCTGGGGAGTGCCAAGGTTATTTATGAGGCCAAAGTCATTTGTATGCCTTCCTGCTGGGGGCTTTTAAAAATAAACTTTTGGCCAGGGTGCAGCAGCTCACATCTATAGTCCCAGCACTCTGGGAGGCATAGGCAGGAGGATTGCTTGAGGCCAGGAGTTTGAGGCTACCCAGGCCAACATAGCAAGATCCCTGTCTCCGTTTTTTTTTAAACTAAATAAAATAAAATAAACTTTATACTGACACCTAACCTACATATAGAAACATGCACAATTAATATTTGTGTAGCTAGATGAGTTATCACAAAATGAACACTTTTGTGTAATCACCACCCAAATCAAGGAATAGAAACATTTCCACCCCCAGGCTCCACTCTTGCTCCTATTAATCACTTTCTTGCCCCTCTTCCCCAAGGTTAACACTCCCCTATCTTGTGGCCTCACGGGCACTGATTTTTACTGTTTGTGAGCTTCACATAAATGCAGGCAGGTGGTAGGTGCTCTTTTGTGTCCAACCTCTTATGCTCAATACTATGCATGTGAGATTCAACCATATTGTCGTGGGCAGCAGAAGTTAGCTCATTCTCACTGCTTAGTTGATAGTATTACAATTGATTTATCCATCTACCACTCACAGACATTTGGGACATGTATGGACAATGCTCTTATCAACATTCTTGTTTGTGTTTTTGGTGTACACATGTATGCATTTCTGCTGGGCGTACACCTAGGAGAGGAGAGGCTGGGTTCCAGGCAGTGCTGTGCTGGAGTTGGCTCATTCTGGCTCATGGGAGCTGGCTGTTAACATTGTCAGGGATTTGCAAAATTTTCCCCCATTCTGATTTCCCTTTCCCTTGCATTCCTGTGGCTCTTGAGGTTATTTCAGCCTATTGTATCTGTATGGTGGGAATGTTATACAACAGTGGAATATCATTCATCTCCTCCCAACTCCAAATTCAGTGGCACCCATCCATGTCAGCAGCTTGAACTCAGTCATTGGAGGAGTTTTTACACCACAGAAACTGGCAAATGCTACAAATCAGGGCTTCATAGGTTTATTGTTTTGTTGATTGTCCAAAGTTAGACTTAAGAAAGTGATAGAGAAAATGTTTTTCTTTCTTTCTTTTTCTTTCTTCTTTGTTTTCTTTCTCTCTCTTTCTCTCTGTCTGTCTCTTGTCCCTCCCTCCCTTCCTCCCTTTCTCTTTCTTTCTTTCTTTCTTTCCTTCCTTCTTTCTTTCTTTCTTTTTCTTTCTTTCTTTCTTTCTCTTTCCTTCTTTCCTTCCTTCCTTCCTTCCTTCCTTTCTTTCTCTTTCTTTCTTTCCTTCCTTCCTTCCTTCCTTCCTTCCTTCCTTCCTTCCTTCCTTCTTTCTTTCTTTCTTTCTTTCTTTCTTTCTTTCTTTCTTTCTTTCTTTCTTCTTTCTTTCTTTCTCTCTCTTTCTCCCTTCCTTTCCTTTCCCTTCCCTTCCCTTCCCTTCCCTTCCCTTCCCTTCCCTTCCCTTCCCTTCCCTTCCCTTCCCTTCCCTTCCCTTCCCTTCCCTTCCTTCTCCTTTCTTTTTTGACAGAGTCTCACTTTAATGTCCAGGCTGGAGTTCAATGGTGTGATCACAGCTCACTACAGCCTCAACCTCCCAGACTCAGGTGATCCTCCCACCTCAGCCTCCCTGGTAGCTGGAACTACAGGTGCTCGCCACCAAGCCAGACTAATTTTTATTTATTTATTTGTTTATTTTTGGTAGAGATGGGGTTTCTCCATGTTGTCCAGGCTGGTCTCCAACTCCTGGGCTCAGGCAATCCACCTGCCTCGGCCTCCCAAAGTGTTGGGATTACAGGTATGAGTCACTGTGCCCAGCCTGAGAAAATGTTAATAATGCAGACTAAACTTAGGTGTGTGTCATCTCTATAGCTGTGACATTGTGAGTCGCATAAAAAGTAAGAAAATATTTCTCCAGTATCAAAAAACTATTATCTGATTCATGAAAAAAAATGCTTATGTCATTGATGAATGGGTGACGTTCTGAGACATGTGCAGTGTTTTTCTCTTTCTTCTTACTCTTTACCACAAACACCTCAATAGTTTTTATTTTTTCAATAATTCAATATTTTTCCAATATTCTTGTTGGAACTCTATTTTCAGAGATGGTTATTAAGCACTTGCCAGCCCACATTAGTCATTAGGCATATCCTGCTTTAACTGATGCTGCCAAATGGTTTTCCAAAGTGATTGCACCAATTTCTACATCTGTTGGTGGTTTTTTAGTTTTGTTTTATTTTGTTTTGACGGAGTCTTGCTCTGTCTCCCAGGCTGGAGTGCAATGGCACAATCTCGGCTCCCTGCAACCTCTGCCTTTCAGGTTCAAGTGATTCTTCTGCCTCAGCCTCCCGAGTAGCTATGATTACAGGCACCTGCCACCAGGCCCAGCTAATTTTTGTATCTTTAGTAGAGATGGGGTTTCGCCATGTTGGCTAATCATGACAATAGTCACAATTACCCAAGTCTTAGTGGCATAGGTGTTTGAGCTGGGGCCTGGGCTCTGGAGAGTAAAGGGTAAAAACTAGGGAGAAAAGAAAGAACAAAGTTGTTTGGCAGACTTTGGGGAACATCTAGGTACCCAAAGTGCTGGGATTACAAGTGTGAACCACCACACCTAGCCCTGTTGGTGGGTTTTAAAGCAAAGTTCATTTGTACTTTGTCCTCCTATCTTGGGACCAGCAGTTTCCTGGACATTAAAGCTATGGCTAAGGGAACAAGCTGGCCAGCCTAGTTGATAATTGTCCTAGGAAAGGATTCCATAAGCAGTTGCTAACTTCTACAGGACCACTTGCTCAGGGGTGATCCAGGCAGGGTGGTGAGTTGCAGGATGGAAGAGGTCACAAAGGTGCAGGTACTGAGCTTCCTGGAGGGGGGCTGCACTCAAATGGCCCTGAGAGTTGGAGGGGCCAAGGAGAGACATCATGCACCAGGGCAGGGACAGCCTGTGAGTGCTGTGGGCAAGGAGTGTGGCTGGGCCGTGCTGCCTATCAGCAGTGGAGGAGGGTGGAGGCTGGGGCACTTCCACTGGCAGTTGTGTACCTGCTGTCCAGGGCTGCTGTCTTTTATGTGTCAGCCCCCATGGCCCACCTGGAGGGGAAGCTGCATGGCTGTCCCTGGGGCAGATGCCTAGTTTGAGGAAGTTTTGCTTCCTTCTTGAGACTTCTCTCCTAGGTTTAATTCTCACGTCTTGTATTTCACTGCTCAGATCTAGTCTCAATACGTTCTTTTGTGTACTGACAATGGTGGGCAATGCAGAGTGACCCGTAAAATAACAAATCAACATTGTCCAAAGCTGCACACAAACCCTTTTGAGGCCCGTGAATGTGCCATTGTCCTCTTTGTAGCTGGGACACACATTTCCTGCTATTACTCTCATGGAAAGGCCATGATGCTGTCAACAATTGACCACAAGCAGGTTTTAATTTGAAATTCCCAGAGCCAGGCCCAGCACCAGATAGGGACCATGCAGAGAAAAGCTTTAGTGCCTCTCTGGGTCCACGAGCAAGGAAGGAACCAACGTGCATGAAATAAGGCAGGAGAGTGGCAGGTCCCTGCAGCCAAGGGCATGACAATCCATCACCACAGGCACAATGGGCATGGTGTGGAAACATCAGAGTGGGGTTTCAAGGGTAGTTAGGAAGGTTGCGGAGTCCAAACTCTGGAAATGTGAGAACAATCCAGGGACATGATACAGAGCATTCTACAAACCCCAGGAGCTGGACACAGCAATTTGTGTGAATAGGCATTGTTCTTGGAGGAAAATGAGCCCATGGTCCAAAAATTAGTTTTAAATAAAGTTCAAGGCCTCTAACTTTGGCTTTTATAGCAACAATGCCATTCTGAATGGCAGCGAGTCAGGGAGCTGGCTCTTCCACGATCCACCTGGGTGTCCGGGGTCTGTCAGTCTTACCATGATTAGAATGGAGCTTCTGATCCACCTCCTCCTCAATCTGCTTTATTCCCAGTCTTCCCCATCTCAGTTAATGAAACTACCTCCTTTTAGTTTCTCAGGCCAAACACCTTGGTGCCATCATCCACCTCTCTCCTTCACACCCCACATCCCCTTGTAATGTAAGCAAATCCCATGACCTCCTCCTTTAAAATATGTCAAGAATCCAGCCATCTCACTATTTCTCCACTGCCACATCCTAATCAAAGCCACTTCTGGCCGGGCGCAGTGGCTCACGCCTGTAATCCCAGCATTTTGGGAGGCTGAGGTGGGTAGATCACTTGAAGTCAGGAGTTCGAGACCAGCCTAGAAACCAGCCATGGTGAAACCCCGTCTCTACTAAAAATACAAAAATTAGCCAGGGGTGGTGGCACTTGCCTGTAATCCCTGCTACTTGGGAGGCTGAGGCAGGAGAATCGCTTGAACCCTGGAGGCAGAGGTTGGAGTGAGTTGAGATCGTGCCACTGCACTTCAGACTGGGTGACAGAGCGAGACTCTGTCACAAACAAACAAACAAACAAACAAACAAACAAACAGAAAAGCCACTTCATCTCTCTCCCAGGTCACTGCTGGAGCCTCCCTAATCATCTCTCTGCTCCCCACTTGTTCTGCCTCTCAGTCCATTCTCAGCCTTCTGCCTTGGCTCCTACATCCTCAGAGTAAAAGCAGATGGTCTTCTAGGTACCCACAGGGCCCCACAATTCCCGGGCCCTGTAATCTCCCCCTCAATCACTTGGTTCCGGCCAAACCCACTTTGTGGAGGTTGCTGGAAGATGCCAGGGTGGGAGAGAGGGGGCTATGGGGTTTTCCCTGCCTGTCACAGGTCAGGCTGCCCCTCCTCCAGAGCTGCCACAGGTGGGAGGCAGATTCCCTACCACGCACAGAGCCTTGGGCACAGGCGTGGTTCTCCATGCTTCTTCTGTTACCGTGGTCCATGGACATTCTCATCTCCTATGGTGGTAACTGACTATTCCCTTGTCTGTTGCCCTTGGGGGCAGAACTGAGTCTAACTCAGTTTGGTGACCCAGTACCTAACAAGGACCTGGTCCAGGATAAATGCTCTGTGAGGATGGCTTTAGTTGAGGGAACCCCTCTAAGTGCAAGGAGTCAGGAAGCTGGATTCTACCTGGCCGCACTGTGTCAGGTCTGAGCAGGCCACACGCCCTCTCTGGGCTTAGAGACCTCATTTGTAAAATGGCATAAAAAATATTATTTTCTGAGAGTGTCTGATTTTCTTGGTCAAATTATTTCAAGGTAGTAACCTCAAGCCAGAATATTTCCAAATATCCTGGAAATTGCTCACTTTTGTGACTCTTTCCTCCATTTCCAAATAGCCATCAGGTTCTGCTTCATCTACGAGGTCCCCAGGCCCACCCACTAGTTCCTCATTCTGCCAGTCATCTTCTGCCCTACCCTCTTCTGTCCTCCCCTTGGCCCTCTAGCATCTACGTTGCATCCTGCGGCTGCTTCCTCATCCAGCTGCACTGTCCAGGAAGATGGGGAGTGATGGTTAAGAGCGGGGTGGACCTGGCCTCACCCTTTGGTCCCTGGCACTCTCTAGGGACCCTGCTCATGCCTGCTGATAGCACTGTGGAGAGCAAAGTGTGTCACCTGCCCTTTGTCACCAACATAGCGACCTTCAGCCTCTGGGGAAGTGACTGAGTGGCCACATGGGTTCTGGGAAAGCTTCCCTTGTAGCCCAGAGACCCTTGGAGGGGGAGAGAGAAGATGTGTGGAGCAAAGCCAAGACTGACAGTCGGGACGCAGCTGGGTTACTGGTGAGCAGAAATTCAAGGAGGCTGCCCAGGCTGCTGAGAGGGGCCATTAGGAAAAGTCTCAGGGCAGTGGGGCGGGAAGAGGGCATGATGGTGAGAGAGACAGAGAACTGGAGAGAGAAGTGGACGTCATAAAAGAGAGAGGAGTGAAAGAGTTACAAAGGGTTGCAGATAACAGGACAGAATGTGGGCATAAGGAGTGTGGGTGTGGAGAGGGGCCCAAGGAATCACAAAGACAGATGTCTGTAAAAGGGCTGGGGCACGCTGCTGGGTTAGCTTGAGAAGGAAGACTGGGGAAAGTGGCTCCCGCTCGGCCCTCTGTCCTCCCTGTAGGGTGAACTTGCCTTTGCTAACACCTTCTGTTGGATTGTGACTCAACTGGAGCCGCCTGGGGAAAGGGAACTCTTTGCAGATTCCCAGGACTCTGCATAGGTTCTGGCTCACAACGGGGACCAGAAATGCATGGAAACAATAACAATAATAGTTAATATTGACTGAGTTTTCACTGTATGGTTTGGCCTTGTACTGAAAATCTTACATCCATTCATTTATTAATTCACACACCCATTCCTTCGTTCAAAAAATATCGATTGAGCAGCCCCTATGTGCTGGGCACTGTTCTAAGCATCTTTATAAGTTACTTCATTAAGTTCTAACAATTTTATGAGGGAGATGCTTTTAGTATTCCTATTTTCACATGGGGACACTGAAGCTGAGACAGGCTGAATGACGTGGCTAGATCTGGGGAGTGGGGAAGAGGTAGAGCTGGTTTCAAACTCCCCTGCCTGCGATGTTTAACCACTCTCATCACTGACCCTGCCTTTCAGGCACCAGACTACCCAGTGAATCAAAGGGACAAGGGAGTCGCCTAGAATGCAGGTGTGGCCTTGGGATGTGCTCAGAAGGGCCAGGCTTCATCTGGGCTTAGAAGAGCTGAGGGAGGAGGAGCCCTGGGCTCCCTCACAGAGGCAAGTGGAGGGAAATGGTGACTCTGAAGAATATTGAAAGAACTATCCGCCAATGAGAAAAAGCCTTACCAAATAATCAAACAATGGACAAAAGACATTCCCAAACAGAGTGGCTGAAATGAAAAAGACAGACAATGGCAGTGTTGGCAAGGATGTGAAGCCCCTAGAACTCTCATATACATTGGTGGGAATATGAATTGCTACAATTAACTTTGGAAAACTAGCAGAATTTTCTAAAGCAGAACGTAGTCATATGCTGTAAAACTCCATTCCTAAGTACATGACCAACAGAAAAGAATACATATGTTCGCTTCAGCACCATTGTAATAACCCCAAGTTAGAAACGACCAAAATATCTATTACCAATAGAATAGACAGGTAACTTTGGTACACTCACATACATAAAGATTATACAGAAGTGAGCATGTAAGAGCTATTTCTTTATGGAACAACATTGGAGAATCTAATAAACAAAATTTTAAACAGAAAACCTCAGGCACCTTCTATACAATTCCATTTATAAAAACTTCACACACAGTCATAATGAATACATTGTGTTAGATGTCAGGATAGTGATCACCTCTGGGGTAGTGATTGGAAAGAGGCATGTATAGAGTTTTTGTGGGCGGGTAATCTTCTCTTACTTTATTTGAGAGCTGTTTTTTAGCGAGGTGTTCAAATTTTAAAAATTCATCAAACTCTACATGTATGATTTGTGCATCTGCTGTTATATATGCATATGTATGCTACACTTTAATAAAAAGTGTGTTTTTAAAAGACAAATATTGTCATTTACAGACTGCAAGAGAAATGTAAGTTTGGCTTGGTATTTGAAAATAAATTGGTATGATTCATAACCAAAGAGAAAAATCAAATGATTATCTCAGTTGATGCTGAAATTCAACATCCATTCATGTTTATAACTAACTATCTAAAGGGACTTCCTTAATCTACAAAAGTTTCTATAGAATCTACATATCTACAAAAAAGCCAACAGCAAATAGATATCATATTAATGGGGACAATGTTGAAAGCTTGCCTTCTGAGATCAGGAACAAGACCCGGATGCTGTTATCTCCATATCTGTTCAACATTGTACGGAAAGTCCCATCTAGTGCAAAATCACTGGAAAGAAAGGATAAAGCTCTCATTATTATGTTAGTGGAAACTCCCAAGTAATTAGATTTTATAAGTGAATTTAATAAGCTTGTCAAACAGAAGGATAAATACAAAAATAGATTGTATTTCTAATACTAGCAATTATTACCAAATGAAATAAAAATTAGAAAATGAATTAAAGGATGATCTCACAAGCAGAATGTTGAATGAAGGAAATCAAATACAAAAGAATACATATTATATGATTCCATTTATATAAAATTCAGAAGTAGGCAGATCTAAGGTGTAGTGTAGAAATTATAGTAGTAGCTAGCTTTAGGGGTTGGGAGATGGTGTGGGGTTGAGCAGAGGCATAAGCGGTTTTTGAATGTTAGCAGTTTTCTTTGACCTGGGTGGTGGTTACATGAGTGTTCTTTGGGATAATTTGCTCAATTGTACATTTATGTTTTATATTTCTCCATATGAGAGTTTTTTTTAACTTAAAAAAGATTACTTGGCCAGCTTGAGTTGGGTGGTCTCTAATGGTCAATTGGCTGCAGCTGGATCAAAGGAGCCACATGGTTCCCATGGTAATGCCTTGCAGGGCCATAGAGTTGGAGAGTAGATGAAGAGAGGGTGTGTGTGTGTGTGTGTGTGTGTGTGTGTGTGTGTGTGTGTGTGTGTGTGTTTAGGGGGAGAGCAGATGAAAGTGACTGACATCTCATAGGGAGTTTCTCCCAAGAATAACAGAGATGACCCTCTCCTTTTTCTCTCTTGCTAACAAACGGGCCTCATGGAATGTATTGGAGAGTATTTCCTCTTTTCGGTTTTGGAAGAGGTTGTGTGGAATTGGTGATAATTATTTAAATGTTTAGTAGAACTCGACAGTGAAACCATTTGAGTCTGAAGATTTCTTTTTTGAGAGTTTTAAAATCATGAGCTCTGTTTCTTAATTCAGATGATCTGTTTCATATTGTGAGTTGCAATAGTTTGTTTTTTTGGAGAAATTGGTCAATTTCATATCAGTTGTCAAATGTATGTGTGTAGAGATCTTTTAGTAGTCCTTGAGTTATCCTTCCATTGTCTTTAGGATCTGTTGTGATAGCTTCTGTTTTCTTTCTTTTGCTTGCTTTAGGTTTATTTTACTCTCCCTTTTCTGGTTCCTTGAGGTGGCAGTTTAGATTACTGATATGAGGCTTTTCCTCCTCTAATGTAATCATTTGGTGCTACAAATTTCCCTCTGAGTACAGCTTTAGCAGCATCCCACACATTTTGATATGCTGTATTTTCATTCTCATTAAGTTCAGTGTATTTGAAAAAAGTTTTACTTGAGGTTTCCTCTTTGACCCACTGATGATTTAGAAGTGTGATATTTAGTTTCTAACTGTTTGGAGATTTCTCTGCTATCTTTTTGCTAGTGATTTCTAGTTTGATTTTATTGTGATCAAAGAATAAATTTTTATGATTTCAATTTTTAAAAAATTGTTGAGGTTTGTTTTATGTCCCAGGAAATGGTCTATCTTGGTAAGTATTCTGTGGGAACTTGAAAAGAATGCATATTCTGCTATTGTTGGGTAAAGGGCTCTATAAATGTTGATTCAGTTCTGCTGGTTGATGGTGTTGTTGAATTCTTCTACACTCTTGCTAATTTGCTGTCTGTTCTATCAGTTGTTGGTAGAGGGGTTTGAAGTCTTCAACTATAATTGTGGAGTCTATTTCTCTTTCTAGTTCTATCAGATTTTTCTTCATGTATTTTGCAGCTCTGCTTTTTGATGGGTACATTTAGGATTGTTATGACTTCTAGGTGTATTGACTCTTTCATTATTACATAATGTTTCTTTCTGCCCCTAATAATTTTCTTTGCCCTGAATTCAACTTTATCTAATATTAATGTAGCTCTTCCTGCTTTCTTTTTATTAATGTTTGCATGGTTTATGTTTTTCTATCATTTTACTTTCATGCTACCTACATTGTTATTTTTTCTAATGAGTTTCTTGTGGAAAGCTTAGAGCTGGGTTATGTTTTTTAATCCACTCTTCCAATCCCATTCTTTTAATTGGAGTATTTAGACTATTTACTTATGTAATTATTGATATGTTAGTGTTAAGCCTACCATTTTATTTTATTTTTTTCTCTCTGTTTTTAGATTTTACTGTTTTCTTTTTCTCACTGTCCTGTGGGTTACTTAAACATTTTTTAGAATTCCATTTTGATGTACCTATAGTAACTTTGAGTATATATCTTTGTATAGGTTACGTAGTGGTTACCGTAGGTATTACTTAGTACACACATGATTTATCACAGCCTACTGGAGTGGTATGCTGAATAATGGACCCCAAAGATGTCCATGTCCTAATTCCTGGAATCTGTAAATATGTTAGCTTAAATGGCAAAAGGGACTTTGCAGATGTTATTAAGATCTTGAGATGGGGACGTTCTCTGGATGGTCACAGTATAATCATGACAGTTCTTACAGGAGGGAGGCAAGAAGGTCAGAGTGTGAGATGGAGATGTAACGAGAGCCACAGAGGTGAGAATGATGTACAGCCCAGATCCAAAGAATGGAGTCAGCCTCTAGAAGCTGAAAAAAAATAAGGAAATGGATTCCCCCTGGAGCCTCCAGAGGGAAAACAGCCCTACATTCTTTAGTTCACTGCTGATTTTGAAACTCTGATCTTCAGCATTGTAAGATAATACATTTGTGCTGGTTAAACCACTACATCTATAATCTTTAGCATTTTAATCTGTACTTAGTGGGAGGAATAGAGAGAGATATGCCTACTCCATCTTGATCCAGAACTGGAAGTTGGACATGCTGTTTTGAGGCGCTGGTGGAACTTCTAGGCTGAGCTGTTCTGTTCACAGTTGAGTACACATTGCCAGAGTAGAGTAGAATAAAGTAGTTTTCAGCACAGAGAAGGTATTAATCCAAAGGAGGAAGGAGATTGAGGTTCTTCAGGAGCAGATTATGGGAGAAGAGAGGAAGGGCAAGAAAATATTCCTTGGAACCATGGTTAGCTCTGTGATTCTGAAAGTTTCCCTCAGGAAAGGGTGCACTTGGGGAGATGAGGGTCAGGAGAGTGGTCAGAAGCTGAGGCAGGAGTCCAAGGTCATCTCCAGACCATGGAATGGAAAGGAACAGGCAGGCGCAAGAGGCAGGATGGAGGAAGAACTGAATGCATCTGGGCCCAGATGACATGTAGTGACTGAAAGAGAAAGGGGAATCTGTAAGGACACACATGTATTGACCTAGAGACATGGGGAGTCTGGCCCCCGCCTTGCCAGATGAAGTGAGGAGAAGGCCACCTGGAGGGGTTCCAGAGAGGGATGAAGAAGACAAAGGGAAGAAGCAGGAAGGATTGATTCAAGCTGAGACAAATTCTTTGATTGCTGAGTTTCCTTCACAAATGGGGCAACATTTAGCAACAACATTATTGGTTCAGAGGCATTGCTCTCCTGGACCCCAGCCCCATACCCACAGCTTCCCCCTAATTCCTCCAACAACACATGTTCTGGAGAGGTCAGCTTTACTCAAAAGGGCTGACCATGTGGCTGAACTTCAAGAGGATCTCTTGAGCCTGGGAGTTCGAGGCTGCTGTGAGCTATACTGTGCCACTGCACTCCAGCCTGGGCAACAGAGCAAGAACTTCTCTCTCTCTCTCTCTCTCTCTCTCTCACACACACACACACACACACACACACACACACACACACAATAATCTTTTCCAAAATTGATTTTCTGGAGATTAATACCCTCTGGAGGAAGACTTTGCTTAGGATGAAGTTTTGCTAGGTTGATCACGAAAAAGGGGCATCTTGCTCCCTGTCTCTGCTCCTTCTCTGTCCTTCAACAGTAGCACACAGGAGGCTAAGGATGAGTGGACAGGATGCCCCCGAGAGGACTCTGGATGAGAACTCTCTGTAGCTTGCCTGCCACATGGCCTTGGGAGGGTGTAATTTCAGTAAAAACACACACTATAAATACCACAGCTCATGGCAGGCACCTCCTAAAGTCATATGAGTTTGTGCTAGCTTTACTTCTGGTTTTAGCTGAATAAGAGTAGAGGAAGAAATGGGGAGGGTAGAATCTAGAGCTGGGAGGGAGAAGGGAGGGAAGGGTGAGAAGGGAGGAGGGTCGCTGGAAAAGACTTATGCCCAGAAAGAGCGACACAGGGAGGCCCTGGGCTGCCAAGGACCCTCTGGAGGCTCCAACAAGCCTCTGACTGCAAACAAAATTGGCTAACATGACAGCATCTCGGCCTTAAAGTGGTGCGTGTTAAAATTTGGGGGAATTGTCCCCATGGCCCCCAGCCCCTATATTTCTTTTTGCTCATCATTGGCACTGCCCTGATACTCTCCCGGTGCCCTTGCTGCTTACCCTTAGAAGCTGATGGGGCTGTAGGAGAGGAGACCTTTCAGTAGGAGAAGTAGGTCCCAGCTTCTCTGCAGGCAGGTGCTGGGTGCTGGGGGTGATGGAGAAATCTCCTCTTCAGCCTCTCCATCCTCAAGACACACACAGGTAGGTGCTACACAGGGCGAGGTAGGGGCCATCGGGTGGCCCGCTCCCTGCTCCTTTCTCCGTGTACCTTTATGCAGGGCTTGTCCTCCTCTGCTCCCCACACTCACCTGGTCAACAGCCCTGAGGGAGGCTCTCCACTGGGCCAAGCCTGGAGGTGGACCCTGGGGATGCACAGCTAGTCAACCACAGTCCTTTCCCTCCTGGAACTCAGAGTGAAGGCATGGGTGCAGGGACAGGTGTCAGTAGTTACAAGTACTATGCTAGAGGAAGCTCAGTCAGGGTCAGAGCCCCTCCCTATGGCAGGCATCCATAACCCGTATAGACATAGGTGTTTAAGGCAGAGAGGGAAATAGAGACAGAGAGATAGAGAGGGAGAAGGTAAGCCAAGGAGAGAGAGAGAAACAGACAGAGAAAGAGAGGAGGCAGGGATTAGGACAGAGACACAGATGGAGAGTAGGCCAGCCAGACTGTGAACACTCTAGAAAAGGCAGGCAGCTGGGGGCAGTGTGTGCTCTCCTAGAAGGGCCATGTTGGAGAACAGACTCTGCCACTCTCTCCTCCACTCTCAAAACTCCCCGCAGCCTCTGTCAACACTGTCTGCAAGTAGGATGGCGACTCTCTGGGTCCATGCAGCCCCTCTCACTGACCAGGAACTGCTGGAAGCTGGGCTCCTTCCTGCTCAACCCTGAACCTCTGTGCCCAGCTGAGGTTTTTGCACACAGTGGGGGCTCATGAATGTCTGCAAATATCAATGACAGCTTGTCTGTACTGAGCACTGCACAAGCATCTCAACATCGGGTTTTAATTCTACCCACCTCATACGGTGGATATTATTTGTGTCTCTTTTTTACATATGGAGAAACTGAGGCTCAGATAGGTTGAGAGACTGACCTAGGTCCAGGGAGCTGTTTAGGGTGGAACTGGTTCAAACTTAGCCAGCCAATCCCATCTCTGAGCTTCTAACCACATCTCTCCCCATGCCTTCCCGTCTGCCCAGCTGTCAGGTGAATAAAGGAATGGTGGGATGAGGAAGTCCACTACCAGAGCAGTAGTGAGGCTTGAGGACTGGTCAGAGGAGCTGGGCATCTCTAGCCTGGAAGAGCTGGGGATGAGCAGCCTCACCCAGAGAAATGGAGGAAAATCATGCCTCCTCACTCCTCTGCTCGCCCATCTCAGGCTCCTACTGAGTGAAGGATCCAGCTGATCTTGTCCTTGCAGGACACAGACAGCAGACACAGAGGCCTCCAGCACAGTGAAGCCTGTGGAGCAGTCCCCTCCAGAATGCAACCTTGTAGGAGGGCAGCACCATGGGCCAGCAACTCAGGTACTTTCTGCCTGGAACTTTCCCTGGGCCAGGGCCTCATTCCTTCTGGGAAGAAATTTGCATGGCTGGCCTTGGGCCACACACATGCTCCCTCCAGGCCAGCACCTTCCCAGAAGGCTCTCCCCCAGGGCCTGACCTGCTGTACATTCTCAAAGGATATGGTGATTAGGTGCTCAGTTCAGATTCTGCCAGGAACTTGGGGTGCTATCCCGGCCAGGAGAATTGAAAACTCAGAAGTGGGGTGGGACTGGAAGCATGAGCTCATTCCACTGCCCCTTGCCCACTGGGGAGCAAGCTCAGCAGGTCTTTGGAGAAGCCAGCCCCAGGAGGGCTGTCCCTGTGAGGAGAGGGCCAGAGGGCAGAGGGTCCTGCAGAGGAGGAGGGTTAGGTGAGGGGAGGGAAGAGGAAGAGGAAGAAGAGGGCTGATCCAAGCAGACAGAAGCTCCTTGTCTCTGTGGGGCCTTTGTAAATTGGGCAACATTTGGCAACAATACGTGTTGGCTAATGAAGCCACTGTTTTCCTGCCTGCTGCCCTTCAGCAGATCTTCCCTCCTGATGGAAGCTCCCAGGAGCCCAGAAACGTTCCCAGACTCTTAGGGCCTTTGGCTGTCTTCAAAAGGGCCAATGTGGGGCCAAATGTGAGGGCCTTTCTCTCAAGGTCATTGTCTGTGTTGGGATCTTGGGGGGACTTGGGTGGGTAGAGACACAGGCAGCTCTCCATCCATCTCTTTCTCCTTCTCCCCCATTCTCTGCCCCTCTCTTCAGGGTGATCAGCAAATAAATGATCAATACTAAGACACCAAGGCCCTAAGAAGTCACTGGATGGGGTCCCGGGTGGATTTCTAGCTCTACTGTCCACTGGCTGTGAGACCATGAACAGGGTGCATTGCCCAAGTCCACTCAGCTGGAAACAGGTATAACAAGCACCTTTTGGTATTTCCAGAGCATCAGAAGCCAGCTGATGTGTGGAAGGGGCCAGGCAGGGCCTGCTTCACGGAAGGTTCAATTCTTGCCAGGTTCCCTTTGTGCTGAGATCCCTGGGCCTCAGTCCCTGCACCCTGAGCTCTCAGAGGGTTCTTGGCTCATGGAGGAGAAAGCCCCTGGCTGTGGGCCTAATGGGAGACTCAGGGATAGCAGTTGTATCTCACTCACTGTGTGACCTCAGGCGACACTCAGAGTACCTGTTTTTAGAATGGAAAGAGTGACTGTCTTAACTCACAGAGTCGTTGTTAAAGCCATGTGAAACAAAGTCACTGACAGCACTATTTGGATTTTAAAATGTCATCCAAATATTAAAGATTATTATCCTATTTCTCTGCTAGGGATGGCACAGCCACCCATACACAAACACACCCACACTAATGTGGACACTGCATGCCACCAATGATGAACGTAGGCAGCTGTGTGCTGGTCAACTGGCCCTCTGGGGGTGTGGAAGGAGGAAGCCCTGATTTAGAGCATTTGCTAATTCCATGGCATAAATACATCGACTATGCCTGATATCAAGCTGCCATCAGTTAACCCACCCCAAATCCCTAAATGTTTAACAAGTGGTTCTCAAGTCAGCAATCTCTCACCACTGGCAGGGAAAAGATACAGGGCCCAAGGTCTCCCATCTGCCAAGCTATTGTCCAAGCGTGAGTTGATGTCTCAGGAAGGCCTTTTCTGCCTTATCCCACCTGAAGCCAGTTCTACTCAGATCTCACACTTCCTTCCCAACACTCTTCTTGGGGTTTGAAGCTAGAGGCTCATAGAGGGCAGGGTGTGAGGTTTACTGGCTTGCAGGGAGGACTTAGGTTGGCCAGAGACTGTTGCCTGCTAATGGGGCTTGGGCCTGCAATTCTGTAAAGGCTCCCTGGAGGAGTTTTGAGGGTGGGGGCAGAGCAGGGTTAGGGGGAAGGGAGTCAGCCTCACACATCTGCCTGTTGAACACTAGCTCTTGCCACTGCATGGCAGTTTCCACAGCAGCTACCTTCTTTGTGCTCCTTAAACTCATGTTACTGTCTCAGCATTTGGAAACCTGCATTCTGCTTCCCTGCAGGCTCTTTGAGATCTGACCCAACTCCTGGCACGTTGGAGATGTCCCATAGACCAGTGTTGAATGAATGGGTAAGTTAATGAGTCCATGTACACAGGCTTTGGCATGGCCTGGCTTAGGCAGCCCTGACCCTCACTATCCTTCAGACCCAACACATTACAAACAGGATCCTTTGTCCCTTTCTTAGCCTGTTCCTCTTCCTCATTTATTCATTCCTTCAACCGATATTGATCATCAAGTGCCTATAACATGCACAGAGCTAACTGGCCAAAGGATTTGAGGGTGCCTCTGCGGCTCTTTGGTGGGTTTGGTGGAAAGCGGTAGGAAATATGAGAAAAGGTTCAGGGTTGGAGGGACTGGGTGAGTTGCATTTTCGATGCATTAAATTTAGGCGCCTTCAGGACCTGCAAGAGTACCTTTCCAGAGGCAGATGAACACATGATGTGGAGCTCAGGATAGAGGAGGAGGATTTTGTTAATCCTTCTTCCAACAAGAGTTCCAAGCCATGGCTGGGTGCAATGGTTTATGCCTGTAATTCCAGCACTTTGGGAGGCCAAGGTGGGAGGATCGCTTGGGCCCAGGAGGTCAAGGCTGCAGTGAGCTGTGATTGCACCACCACTGCATACCAGCCTAGGTGACAGAGGGAGACCCTGTCGGTAAAAAAAAAAAAAAAAAAAAGAAAAGAAAAGAAAAGAAAAAAAGAATTCCTGGCCAGAAAGCCAGAGGGAACTTTTGTTGTCCCTAGTGCTCAGGTAATTGGTCACTGGGTTCATGCTCCCAAGCCTTTACTTGTTTGGTTGTTTACTTTACAGAATGCTCTACCTGTAGAAATCCCACCCTTCCTTCAGGTACCCAGGCTAAATCTTCCTGGAGTTCTTCTGGAGCCCTCATGATGGGTGCTGGTCATTCCTCCTCTGGGCCCTCACACTCACTTGCTTTATGCTGCTTGGCCTCTTCTTAGGGAGCCTCTGTGATAGAAGTGCATTCCTGTGACTGTCCCTCCCCCATAGTGCTGTGAGCTCCTGAGGGCAAGGACAGACCCCTCTTCTCTGTCTCTCATGGCATCTACCAGTTCTGGCATGAATGAATGAATGAATGAATGAATGAATGCTGTTAATAGATCAGTGAAACTTCATTGTTTTTTGGGGCAGACTCATCCCCTACATCAGCCTCCTCTGCAAATGGCCTTGAGGGGCTGCTCTGCCTGTGTCCAGATGCTCACATCCCTGCCCTGGGGCTGGGCTGTTCCAACAGGCACAGCAGGAAAACAGTCTGCCCTGTTGCCTACCCATGCTGCCTTCAGGGCACTCCTTAAGCTGAGCCTCTTGGTAGTGGCCCCAGGTTCTCTGTGTTCTTGCCAACACTGTAACATACTTAAGAGGGCCCAGGGCCCTCTGACCTCCCAGTCATCCTTTTTTAAAATTTGGACTCAGAAAAAGAGACACGGGTTATGATGTTTCTTAATTCTTTTATAATGATGAAAAGGCAAAGTCTTGTTGCCAATTTAGGTACAAAGATGCTTCAGCACTCCTGGGAATTAGTCAATTTTGTATTTCTTCAGTATTTTTGAAAGAACTTATTGCAATTATTGATGATGGCAACTTTAAATGGTGCAATATCATGTTTCCAAACAATGAGAGACCTTGGATCTGTCACCCCAAAACCCAGCTGGTGATTCTAGCACCAAATCTCAGACCCCAGTCTCATGGCAGGCAAGCATGATCCCTGATTAGCCTCCACCCTGTGCCTTGGCAGGATCATGCCCAGAAATGGAGGGGCTCCCCAGCCTCCTTAATGGCCTCTCCACCTTGGGCTGAGCCTGCTTCTCCATGGCTAGGTGCCCACTGCATGCTCACTCTTGGCAGAGCTGGCTCCCTGGGGCATTGCCTATCTGCTCCAGGAAATGCTTTTTAGTACCAAGTAGTCTAAGCAGAGTCAAGACCAGCTTTTCAGAATAAGCAGATTTCAGAGTCACATATTGGTCAGACTCACCTGCCAAGAAAGGTGTTCAGGTGACCTATTATTTCCCTCACTGTTAGTACCTTTTTTCTTCACTTAGTTACCCTTTTTTTTTTTGGTGGGGGTTACAGAGTCTTACTCTATTGCCCAGGCTGCAGTGCAGTGACATGATCATGGCTCACTGCCACCTTCATCTCCCAGGCTCAAATGGTCCTCCCACTTTAGCCTCCCAAGTAGCTGGGACCATAGGCATACACCACCATGCTGGGCTAATTTTTGTATTTTTTGTAGAGATGGGGGTTTCCCTATGTTGCCCAGGCTAGTCTTGAACTCCTGGGCTCAAGCGATCCTCCCATCTTGGCCTCCCAAAGTGCTGGGATTACAGGCATGAGCCACTGTGCCCTGCCTAGTTACTCTTGGGCTAAGTTCACATCCATACACACAGGATATTCTTTCTGAGGCCCCCAATGTGTCCCACAGGCACCATGCTGTATGTGACACTCCCCTAGAGATGGATGTTTAGTTTGCTTCCAACTGATTAATGGCATGCAGTGGTGCCTGGAAACATTTGTACCTGGGGTGCTGTGTGTCATGGGAATGTATTTACGAGATGTATTCTTAGAAGCAGTATTCTAGCTTTTGAATTTTAAAATCTGACATTTATGGCGATTGTTAAAATGAGGTTACCATTTCCTACTGAATACTATCAACACCAAAAAAGAAGAAGGAGGAGATGGAGAAAAAAAAGACAAAAAAAAAAAAAAGTGGTAGGGCATCTTAGCCATAGGGCATCTTTCTCATTGGCAAATAAGAACATGGAACCAGCCTTGGGTGGTGGCCATTCCCCTCTGAGGTCCCTGTCTGTTTTCTGGGAGCTGTATTGTGGGTCTCAGCAGGGCAGGGAGATACCCCATGGGCAGCTTGCCTGAGACTCTGGGCAGCCTCTCTTTTCTCTGTCAGCTGTCCCTAGGCTGCTGCTGGGGGTGGTCGGGTCATCTTTTCAACTCTCAGCTCACTGCTGAGCCAAGGTGAAAGCAAATCCACCTGCCCTAACTGGCTCCTAGGCACCTTCAAGGTCATCTGCTGAAGAAGATAGCAGTCTCACAGGTCAAGGCGATCTTCAAGTAAAGACCCTCTGCTCTGTGTCCTGCCCTCTAGAAGGCACTGAGACCAGAGCTGGGACAGGGCTCAGGGGGCTGCGACTCCTAGGGGCTTGCAGACTAGTGGGAGAGAAAGAACATCGCAGCAGCCAGGCAGAACCAGGACAGGTGAGGTGCAGGCTGGCTTTCCTCTCGCAGCGCGGTGTGGAGTCCTGTCCTGCCTCAGGGCTTTTCGGAGCCTGGATCCTCAAGGAACAAGTAGACCTGGCCGCGGGGAGTGGGGAGGGAAGGGGTGTCTATTGGGCAACAGGGCGGGGCAAAGCCCTGAATAAAGGGGCGCAGGGCAGGCGCAAGTGGCAGAGCCTTCGTTTGCCAAGTCGCCTCCAGACCGCAGACATGAAACTTGTCTTCCTCGTCCTGCTGTTCCTCGGGGCCCTCGGTGAGTGCAGGTGCCTGGGGGCGCGAGCCGCCTGATGGGCGTCTCCTGCGCCCTGTCTGCTAGGCGCTTTGGTCCCTGTGTCCGGTTGGCTGGGCGCGGGGTCTCTGCGCCCCGCGGTCCCAGCGCCTACAGCCGGGAGGCGGCCCGGACGCGGGGCCAGTCTCTTTCCCACATGGGGAGGAACAGGAGCTGGGCTCCTCAAGCCGGATCGGGGCACGCCTAGCTCTGCTCAGAGCTTCTCAAAAGGCCTCCCAGGCCCCTGTCCCTTTGTGTCCCGCCTAAGGATTTGGTCCCCATTGTATTGTGACATGCGTTTTACCTGGGAGGAAAGTGAGGCTCAGAGAGGGTGAGCGACTAGCTCAAGGACCCTAGTCCAGATCCTAGCTCCTGCGAGGACTGTGAGACCCCAGCAAGACCGAGCCTTTATGAGACTTAGTTTCTTCACTTAAAGAAACGGCCTAACCATGGGTCCACAGGGTTGTGAGGAGGAGATGGGGCATTCGCACACCTTCCGTGGCAGAGGGTTGTGGAGGGGTGCGGTGCTCCTGATGGAACCCTGTGTCAGAGGGTTTGAGAGGGAAATGTCAGCCAAACAGAAGGAAGGAGTAGAAGGAAGGAAACAATTGTC
Source organism: Homo sapiens (assembly GCF_000001405.40). NCBI lineage: Eukaryota > Metazoa > Chordata > Mammalia > Primates > Hominidae > Homo > Homo sapiens. The sequence goes on along the minus strand of NC_000003.12, from coordinate 46,464,196 downwards.
AGTTCCATAACCAAAGTAATTTCTCGGGTGCTCAGAGGGCACTCCCCAGCGCTGCACATTAGTGACCTAAATGCGTGAGTGCGGAGCTCCCTGCAGCACCGGGAGGGGAAGGTCCCAGGCCGCAGCAGAAAGGGCTGTGATGGGCATCAGGACCTAGGCAGTGGGAGGGGCACAGTGAAAGCCCAGGTGTCACACCTCCCCAGCCCAGTGCAGCCTCCACTTGTCTTACGGCATCTACCTAAGGCTGGGAGCTTCCTGGATGGAAGAGGTGGCGGTGGATAGAGAGCAGCAGTGGGAGCCCAAACCCATCCTTGTCCCTGCCCTTCTGGTCTCCTGCTCCAAATTCCTTCCCATGGGTGTTGGTCATCCTTCTCTTCTCTAAGACAGATTGGGACTGGCCAGGACCCGACTGTTCTCTTCCCCTCAAGCTCCCTGGCGAGTGGCCTGTTGCACAGGGTTAGGGCCACCTGGGAGGGGCAGGAGAGGAAGGAAGCCTTGCCTTCCTGGAAGTGGTCATGGGCTGTGGTCCAGGATTCTGGCTCAGAGTTGCACCACTGGGTTTTATATTCACTTGGATCTTTAGTTGTTTTGGCGCCTACTGAGGTCTGAAGTTTGAATCCTGCAGTCAATTGGGATGGTGGCTTGTACCCCAAAGTGCCATTGCAACCCTTGTCCTTCCTGAGGAAAGGGTGGCAGTTGCCCTGTGGAATTCCTGCCCTGCTCCCCGTGGGTGTCCAGGCTGACAGAAGTTGGGTGAGTGGGGCCAGCTGGATCTAAGCCGTGTGAGCATTGGGTGGAGGAGTCTGTCTGCTTAGCCCTGGAGCCATGGGCTGGGAGGCACTCATGAGGTTTCCCATCAGTCTGAGCAGTCTGCTTGGGCCCTATCATGAGCTGTGTGGGTAGGTGGGGAGAGTAACTCCTGTCCTGGCCCCTGCCTTGGAGGCCAGCGCACTGCATGTCTGCCCAGAATGTGTGTTTTGGCCAGTGTCCAGCCAGGTCCAGTGGGCAGCATCTGAGTGCCTGACACTGAATACAAGTGTGGGGTTGAAGATTTTGGAGGGGCCAGACCTAGACCTGCTTCAGGGGGTCACATAGCTCCAGAGCTGGGAGGTAAGAGCTTGTGGGTCACACAGCTCCAGAGCTGGGAGGTAAGAGCGTGGAGACTTCACCTGGTGTTTGGGGGGCTGGGGACTGGGAATCCTGGAAGGGAGCTCAGCGGTCCTTTAGTCACTCTGGTTCAGCTCCTCTTAGGGGAAGAAATGAACTCTGCCCACAGGTTCCCGTCATTGCTCAGCCCCCACCTCCGGCTTGAGGCATGGTCTTCCATTTTACTCTCTCCCTTCACCCCCAGAACCCACCCATTACCAAGCTGATTTCTGATACCAGCTCCCTGCCCCCTTCTCTGTTCTCAGTGCTGTCCCCTCTCTCCACTCAGACTAGCCCTTCCCTGGTGCCTTCGTTGGCCACAGCTTCTCTGCCTGTTCCCAGGTCTCAGTTCACTCTGCCCCTGCCCTAGGGAGAGTCTCCCGTGAGTCACAGCTTCACTGCATCCTGAATAAGACCTCCCTGGATCAGCATTGGAGACTTTCCAGGATCTGACCCAGACCCTTTTCTAGCCCCATCTCCAACCTGTCTCTAACTTTGCCAACCTAAATAGGCAGGCTAGCCCAGTGGTAAGAGTAGGGGAGTTTAGTGCCTGACTGCTTAGGTTGGAGTCCTAGATCCAACACTTACTTATTAGCTATGGGAACTTCCACAAGCCACATAACTAGTTAAAGCCATAGCTCCCTCCCCTGGAGAATGGAGAGGTTGGCAGAATTCACAATACAGAGGAGCTGTGGCAACTAATGGAGACACGTATGTCTCCATTAGCTGGTATTTGTTTGGTATTTGTTCTCTTTTAACACATCCACCATTCTTAGCTTCCTCTTTTTGGATTTTTGCCTCTCCAGTGAGAAGTGAAATCTGGTCCTGTCCGCTTACACATTCCTTGCGTGACACACAGTGCTGTTTGTACAGCAGGCATCCAGTTAATGCTCACTGGGTCACAAATGGCTGCATCTGATTGGGTTAATTCTCAGTGTGGGATAGTTCTATAAAGGCTTCCAAGGCAAGATTATATTCCCTGGGATTTCCCCGGGATGAGGGTGGATGAAGGGGGAGTATGGCAGCTAGGTGTCCCCAAACCTCTGCAGACTCAGCCAGGGAGCTACAGGCCTCTTGCCCACCCAAGGGCCATGGGTGGCTCTCGCCATAAGGGGATGGCTCAGAAACAGGAGACAGCAGAGGCTGAACATTCTACCCCATAGCACATCCAAAGGGCAGAGGGCTTTTACAACTGTGTGTTTATTTTGTTTTTTTGTTTGTTTGTTTTTTGTTTTAGTTTTTGGTAACAGCTTTACTGAGGTACATTTTCCATATCATAAAAAATCACCTATTTGCGTACAATTCAATGAGTTTCAGTAACCTTACCGAGTGTGCAACTATCACCATAAATCTGTTTTAGAACACTTTTATCCCCCCCAGTAAAGGTCCCTCATGCCTGTTTATAGTTAATCCTCATTTCTACCCCAGCATCAGACAACCACTAATCTATTTTCTTGTCTCCATAAATTTGCCTTTTCTGGACATTTCATTCAAATGGAATCATACAGCATGTGGTCTCTTGTGTCTGGCTTCCTTCACTGAGCATAACTGAGGCTCGTTCATGTTGTGGGGCATGCCAGTAGTTCTTTTCACTGCTGAGTAATATTCCATTGAATGGATGTACATTCACCAGTTATTGGACATTTAGGTTGTTTCCAGTTTTCTACTATTCTAAATAACACTGCTATGAATATTCATGCACAAGCATTTATGTATGATAGGTTCTTATAATATTTCTTCTGGCTATATGCCTAGAAGTGCAATTGTTGGGTCCTATTGGAACTCTGTGCTTCACATTTTGAGAAGCTGCCAACCTGTTTTACAAAGTGGCTGGTCATTTTACATTCTCAGCAATGTATGAGGGTTTCCACTTCTCCACATCCTCATCGATATGTGTCATTGTCTGTTTTAGCTATTATAACCTGTTCAGTGGCTGTGAAATGATATTTCGTTGCATTTTCAATTTGCATTTTTGACTAATGATATTGAGCACTTTTCATGTGCTTATTGTCCATTCATATATCTTCTTTGGTAAAATGTCTGTTCTTATCATTTACCCGTCATGTACTAAATCCTTTTTGATGTTATACTATCTAGCATTATGTTCTTAATTTCATTTTTAGATTGTTCTGTGCTGTATGCAAAAATATGATCAATTTTTGTATATTGATCTTGTATCCTGTGGCCTGGCTGTACTTGTTTATTAATTCTAATAGTACTTTGTAGATTCTTCAGTATTTTCTACATAGAAGATCATGTTATCTGAAAGTAAAGTCAGTTTTACTTCTTTCTTTCCAATATGGGTGTCTCATTTCTTTTCTTGCCTTATTGCTGTGACTAGAATCTCTAGTACTGTTGAATAGAAGAGTTGAGTGTGGACACTCTCTCATCATTCCTGATCTTAGGTGGAAAGCAGTCAGTCTTTCACCATTTTAGTATGATGTTCATTGCAGGTTTTTTGTGGATGCCTTTTATCAGGCAACCAGGTGAGTAAATTCAATGCATCTTCCTCCCTAATTACATGGATTTGAGCAACAAAAGCAGGCTCAAAAGAAGAACCAGTATTTGAGCAAAAAAAGCAGGCTCAACAGGAGCACCAGTCTTTCTGTGCAGAGTGAATGGTGGTAGCTCAGGCACACCAACCAACTGATTTGTCCCCATTGACACTGACTTACCATTTACCTCAGCTACCAACCGACTCAGGTATATTTTCCCCTGTTCTCTTGGCATTCCCTGGGAAGAGATTTATGCACAAAACAATCTAGAGAGACGTGGATTCTCAGCTGGGCTCTGCACTGCTGAGTGGCGAGTCACTCAGCCTCCTTAGGAGCCAATTTCCACATCAGTAAAACAGGAGCAATGACTCCTTTCCTGCCTACCTTCCAGGTTCAAAGTGGGCAAAGCTGGTAGAAGAATTCCATAACTGATCTGGGGGATCACCATCATTTTTTAAGTGGTAGGAAACATGTCAAAGTCATAGGAATGAAAATAATCTAGAGGGACTTTCTCCTTTAATTTATTGAGAACCACAGACCTCTAGCCAATGCAGAGATCCTATTAGTCCAGCAAGATGCCTCCACTTGTGGAGAATGGCTGGACATAGCCATGAAATGGAGAGGGAAGGAGGGCAGCCGAGAGAGAGGGAGGAGTCTGGAAAACTCCATCAGAGGGTGCGGTGGTCACGCCCTCAGTCAGTGGTTGAATCCTTACTCCTTGGCCCCTCTCTCCCAGGACTGTGTCTGGCTGGCCGTAGGAGGAGTGTTCAGTGGTGCGCCGTATCCCAACCCGAGGCCACAAAATGCTTCCAATGGCAAAGGAATATGAGAAAAGTGCGTGGCCCTCCTGTCAGCTGCATAAAGAGAGACTCCCCCATCCAGTGTATCCAGGCCATTGCGGTGAGTCAATGCCGGGTGTTGGTTGGGACCAAGCTGAATGGAAGGGAGAGAGAAATGGAAAAAGATAGAACACGAGCTCTCCTTACTTCCTCTGCTTCACCTGTTGGGCAACGAAGTGGGGAGCCGTCCTCTCTCACAGGGAACTGTGCTATTTTCAGAGCAGAAAGGAAGGAGCTTAAGTCAAGAGACCATGTGTGAGGAACCTGGAGCCTCCACATAAACTATAATAACAACTGTTATTCATTAATAACAACTGTTCCAAAATGAAATGTAATCAGTTGTATTTGATGAATACATAGGATCAGCAAAAAGCAAAGTTACTCAGAGAGGGAAATCCTCCAAAAGAGTCATGACCTCTAAACCCTGTGAGAAAGAAGCTTGTCCTGGTCACCGTTGCCACATCACATGGCTGGGGCAGGGCCTGCCAGGGTGCTGGGTGTTAGAAAGACTTTTGTCCAAGACACTTTCAGAGAGAGAGAAAAGGGTATCATGACTTGTATATGATTTCTGATTCCTTTTATTTTTTGAGATGTAAGATCTACTGAAATGATTTTTACTCATTCATTCAACAAATATATTCTGTGTACCTGCCATGTGCCATAATCATGTGTACTCAACTCCAGCAGAGTGAATAATTTGCATAAAAGTTCCCGAGGCAACTTCATAGGATTATCTTATAAATACAATGGAGTTATTAGAATAGCACTTAGGGAAAAATCTAGTTTAATCAATGTTTTAGGCTATTATTTTACAACTATTACCTGCATACAAACAGTACCAGTGGCTGGGCGCGGTGGCTCACGCCCGTAATTTCAGCACTTTGGAGGCCGAGGTGGGAGGATCACCTGAGGTCAGTAGTTCAAAACCAGGATGGCCAACATGGTGAAACCCTGCCTCTACTAAAAATACAAAAATTAGCTGGGTGTGGTGGCACATGCCTGTATTCCCAGCTACTTACAAGGCTGAGGCAGGAGAATCACTTGAACCCGGGAGGGGGAGGTTGCAGTGAGCCAAGATCATGCTATTGCACTCCAGCCTGGGCGACAAGAGCGAGACTCCATCTCAAAAAACAAAAAACAAAAACAAAAAACCAGCACCAGCATCTCTTGCTTGTTTAAAATGCAGATTCCTAGGCTCTATTCTAACCTACTCAATCTGAATATATGTGAAAGAAGCCACAAAATCTGCCTTTTAAAATAAGATCCTGTCCAAGGCCATACCACGCTGAACGCGTCTGATCTCGTCTGATCTCGGAAAATAAGATCCCTGTTTGAAATCAGTACTACATACCATTCATTCAAATAAAGTTGAGATAGATTAAATGGTTAAAAATAAAACTTGTATTATTGAAAAACTAGGGGGCAGGTTAACTAGCAGAACTGTAGAGGAAATAGAAATCTCTTAAATGATGATCTAAATCACGAAACAAACAGATATTCTAAAATACAGAAAATGTAATTCATAGCCCATAGAAAATATTTAAATAAAAAAATTAGAAAGGACTGGAATGAATGAATATGCGCCAGCTCTGACACATGATTACTATTTACACTCTATAAAAGAATAACTCAAGGCCGGGCGTGGTGGCTCACATCTGTAATCCCAGCACTTTGGGAGGTCAAGGCAGGTGGATCACGAGGTCAGGAGATCAAGACCATCCTGGCTAAGATGGTGAAACCCCATCTCTACTAAACATACAAAAAAAAAAAAATTAGCCAGGCATGGTGGCACACGCCTGTAGTCCCAGCTACTCAGGAGGCTGAGGCAAGAGAATCGCTTTAACCCGGGAGGTGGAGGTTGCAGTGAGCTGAGATGGTACCACTGCACTCCAGCCTGGGTGACTCCGCTCGAAAAAATAAATAAATAAAAGAATAACCCAAATTGGAAAAAATGTAGAATCATAGAAGAAAAATGATATGAACAGAGTTACCAGTAAGAGGGAATTCATAATTAATAAAAAATACTTGTGAGATGTTCCCCTTACTAATCAGACCTGAGCGATTTGTTAGTACTCACATTTTCTATAGTAATAACAGCTAATAGAATGATAGCCTGCCCTGCTGGTGATTCAAGAGTGAAGCTGGTCCTCACGGTCAGCGCCATTCTGAATTGGTATTATAAGTCTTCTGGAAGCAGAATGGCAACGGCAGCCCGGGTCACAGGGGGAAACGTGCTCCTCATCTGGGGGATTCCACCCTCAGCTGCCTACCCAAGGACACAAGTGGTCACAAGGAAAAACACTGAGGACAAAGATATTCATGAAAATACAGTCTTCACAGGAAACAGTTAGAAATAAACTTAAATGCTAAACATTGGGGGAAATTATTCAATACACGATAGAACACCCACATTATGAGAAAACATTATGCTGTCTACAAAATCAGTAAAGGCTCTGCAGAAGTTAGAAAATGTATCCAGTTTTAGAGGAATAAGCAGTCCACAAAATATGATGTATCCCAGGGGTCCCCACCACCTGGCCACGGACTGGTACCGGTTGATGGCCTGTTAGGAACTAGACCTCAGACCAGGAGGTGAGCAGAGGGCCAGTGAGCATGACTGCCTGAGCTCCACCTCCTGTCAGATCAGCGGCGGCATTAGATTCTCATAGGAGTGTGAACCCTAGTGTGAACTGTGCATGCGAGGGATCTAGGTTGCACTCCCTATGAGAATCCAATGCCTGATGATCAGAGGTGGAACGGTTTCATCCCAAAACCATTCCCCATCTGTCTGTGGAAAAATTACATTCCCTGAAACTGGTCCTTGGTGGCAAAAAAGTTGGGGACCACTAAACTATCCCACATTGCAAACCAAAGAAATATGTAATCATGTGGGAAGCAATGTGCTGAAGCGGAGGAACATGGTTTCTTATGAAAATTTTAGGATAGCTTAATAACTATATTTTCTATCCAATAAAACAGAACTTAAAAGAAATGAATATAGAGCAAAAATAGAAAGTATCTAGAACAAACGACTTCAAATATAGATGACTGTGAGGGGTGTGATCGGGAGAGTGACACAGGCAGGCAGAGGAGAAAGAGGGCAGGCGCCAGTCTCAGGACTTAGAGGGCTGGTGCTCACTGTCCCAAAACAGGGGTCCTTGGCTCTCACCATCTCTCATAGGAAGTGAGGGGACAGGATGGAAAGCGGACCCCTTTGACGACCCTTCCAGCCATGGAGACTTTTTGAGGTCCTGAAGTCCCACTTGCTGGGTTTGGGTGAGTTTTCTGCTGAAGCCAGTCTGGCCTCTTTACTTTCAGGAAAACAGGGCCGATGCTGTGACCCTTGATGGTGGTTTCATATACGAGGCAGGCCTGGCCCCCTACAAACTGCGACCTGTAGCGGCGGAAGTCTACGGGACCGAAAGACGTGAGTTCTGCCTGGGGACCCAGAGGCCACGGTGGCCTCAGCCTGTGCCCTGAGCTGTGTGGATTAAGACTGGGGGAACATGTGGAGGTGGAGTCTGGGTCACATCACACATGTAGGGAATGGAGTCGCTGGGCTCTGGGCCAGATGAAGGCCGTTCCTCCTGACGCTGACCCACGAGAGGAGGACACACGTGAGCTGTGAGGAAACTGCAGCACAGCATTCCCCCTTCCCACCGGAGACTTTTCAGGATGGGTTGTTTTTGTCCCTCTTGTCCAGGCTAAGAACTTTCAATTCTGTCTGCCCCTTTGCAGAGCCACGAACTCACTATTATGCCGTGGCTGTGGTGAAGAAGGGCGGCAGCTTTCAGCTGAACGAACTGCAAGGTCTGAAGTCCTGCCACACAGGCCTTCGCAGGACCGCTGGATGGAATGTCCCTATAGGGACACTTCGTCCATTCTTGAATTGGACGGGTCCACCTGAGCCCATTGAGGCAGGTAAGATGGCTGGGGGATAGTGAGTGGCCTCAGGCAGGGGGCTCTATTCCAGTTGTAAGCACAGGCCACACAGATCATGCAGGTGAAAGTGTGGGATGAATCAAGGTGGGGGTGAGGCTGGCCAGCTTGTAACATCCTGCTGGCAGGATCCGTTACCCTAGCAGCCCTTGGGAGGCACAGCTGAGTCTGCTCTCGGCAGAGGTGCATGTCTCGAGCTCCCAGCCCCATGACAGAGTCTCTCCTGCAGGGGTGGAGGAAGGGGCCTTGCCCACGGAGACCTCAGGATGGGAGGTGTAACCTGCTGTGACCAGGGCTGGCTCACACTCTGTGGTCCACTTCTCTGTGTTTAACAGCTGTGGCCAGGTTCTTCTCAGCCAGCTGTGTTCCCGGTGCAGATAAAGGACAGTTCCCCAACCTGTGTCGCCTGTGTGCGGGGACAGGGGAAAACAAATGTGCCTTCTCCTCCCAGGAACCGTACTTCAGCTACTCTGGTGCCTTCAAGTGAGTGACCCTGTCCCCTTCTCGTCAGTGGCCAAGTGTCCCTTGGCCTCAGGCCGGGAGGCCTTTTCTCTGGCCCCACATAGAGCCCAGCCTGCTCTTGGGGACGAGAGGAGGTCTGTTCTCCTACTGCTGTGTGTCCAAAGAGAGTGCAGGCCTGCCCAGTGTGTGTTCCCCTCCAGCCTTCCGGGCCCAACTGTGCCCCCAACTTCTCACCAGCCCCACGGGCAGTCACTGTGGCTGTGGGCCCTCCTGTTACCTCAGAGAGCCCTGAATCCAACTTGGCTGCCCTGTTGTCCTGGGTTCCTCATACTAATTTCTGCCGCCTGCCTAACCACAGCAGGACTGAAGGCATCTTGTCATGAGATGTCCAGTCCTGGCTCCTGGTTGGGCAGGACCGCTGCAGTGTCCAGGCTGATGTCCTTCTGCCCACCTGGGCCTCTCCCCGTGGCTGAAGGACAGTGAGCAATGCCTGATTCGCCCCCATCCTCTCTGCCCCCACGCGGAGGCTGAGCTCCCCCTTTTCCCATTCTGTCTGCTGGCACTAGCGTATTTTTGCAGAGGGAGGCCTCCACACTTCCCCACTGGCCAGGGCACACCTGCACACTCAGTCCTGAGGAAAACAGCCACATGAACAGTGATGCTAAGGCTTTACCCTCTTGGGTAGAGGCTTCAAAACTCTCCTTTATATAGAAAAAAGTTTTGTCCTCTTAGCCCTCAAAGCAGAAGATGGGGGCCTCTGGCTAGCACCTGAGTCATTCTTCAGTATCTACCTGGAGGGGGCCCCTACCTTCCCAGCTGGGATGCCCCAAAGCTTCAGAGCCCTGCCCTGCAGGGAGTAGAAACCCATAGATGCTGAGTGCCAGGGCTACTGTTCCACAGGGAGGGGCTGGGGAGGGCTGCCTGTGCTTACCCCTGATGGTTTCTCTTTTCACAGGTGTCTGAGAGACGGGGCTGGAGACGTGGCTTTTATCAGAGAGAGCACAGTGTTTGGTAAGAGCAGGGTAATGAGCCGTGGGTACTGACCCCTTTTATCTTACTTGATCATGACTCTGACCTTTGAGCTAATTAGATTCCTAAGTTCATGGCAGACCATTTTCAAGATTCCTACAGGGCACAGCTCTGATTTTATGATCTTTCATATTTTAAATGATCAGTTTTCTTCAAACCTCCTGTGCCTACTGCCTTTCTCTTCCCCTCATAGACACCCATGCCTAGGTGCTTGGCAATGCGTCCTCCAGTCCTCCAAGACACATGTGCTCATGCAGAACAGATTGTGCTGGTTTGTGTTTCCGGTTTCTGGGTTCATAGAGGTTTTAGTGAGCATTAGAAATCCTGCTACTTGGGTTTTCTGCTCAGCATTTTGTTTTAGAGGTTTATCGGTATTGTTGTATACATGTCTAGCTCAGGGGTCCTAACAGTTGAGGAGTGTTCCGTGGAATACATCCACCTTTTACTTCTCTGTCACCATAGTGATGGACAGAGGTTGTGCTCTCTTTTCCTCTACCACATGCAGCCACACGACTGATACCTTCACCTGTGTTCCTTACTTACGTGCTGGACAGCGTCCCTCCTGGACTTATAATAAAGCAGTTGATGAGTATGTAGAGGCTAAACACACTGCACCCAGGACTAGTGGACATAAGCTCACTACATTTCATGCAAGACCAATAGAGACAGGGCTACTATATTCCACCCAGGGCCACTAGAGAAAGTGACAGACACCCACATTCACTCAGGACCATCAGAGACACACCCCACATCCACCCAGGACCACCAGAGAAAGAGACAACACCCACATTCACCTAGGACCATCAGAGACAGACCCCGCATTCATCAGAGGCCACCAGAAACAGACCTCCACATGCACCCAGGGCCACCAGAGACAGACCCCACATGCACCCAGGATCACCAAGCTGCTGTCTGGAATGACACTCTGCAAGTGTTCTAATTTCCCCACAACTTCAGTTAGAAGTATTTTTGACTTTCATACTTTTTGTCCGAATGATGGTTGTAATGCAATAGATAGTTCGTTTTATTTTTAATTTTCATTTCTCTGACAGCTGGTGAGTTTGATCATTTCAACATATTTGCTAGCCGTTTGGGCTTCCCTTTCTTATTTTGTGACATTTGACTACTTTTTAAATTGAGTTTCACACCTTGTTTCTGCATGATTTTGATTCAAGGACAGAAGTTCCTTCTATCTAGGTATCAAACTATTGCTGATTTTAAACTTTAGTAAAACCTCTTCTCAGTCAAAAATCTGACAACGGTAGTCTCTGTTGATCAAAAATCCTTGATATTGATAAGGTCAAATCCACAAGCCTCACCTTGTTGGTTTGTAGTTTTGAGATATTTCAAAGATGCCCTTCTTCACACCCAAATCATAATTATTTCCTAAAATAAGATTTGAAGATCCCCTTCCTCATCTATTTATATGTGCTCTACCTAGAAAGTCAGATATAGATTTGGCTTTAGCATTTTATCCCCTTTACAGTGAGGCAATTTACCTTACAATAAAAAAAGTATATTTTTTCTGCCATATGTGAAGCCAATTCTACACCAAGTTTGTATATATCCAAGTGGACCAGTTTCTGAGCTATTTTATTTCATTGGTGTATTTGCATTTTTTCTGCTTTTGTTACTGTGGCTTACCAATGGGTCTTACTATCTGGTGGAGAGAAAGAGAGAGAGCCAGTGAGAGGAAGAGAGAGAGAATGAGAGAGAGCTCCCTCTCCCCTCTCACTTTATTATTCCTTTTCAAATATACTCAGCTAAAACTTCAGAATTATTTTGTTGAATTTCTGGAAAAAATCATACTTTAATTTTGATTCGAATTGTACTGAATTTAAATTGTTCCATGAAAAATCAGCATATTTATAACATTAAGTTGTCCAGTCCATGGTGATGCTAAATCTCCCCCATTTGATCACACCTCTTTTTAGTTTCTTTGATAGAACTAAAATTTTTCCTTTGTGGGTCTGATGTGTCTTTGTGGGAGGCTAATTATTAGCTACTTAATGGTTTTAGTTGCTATTGTAACATCTTATAGTCCATATTGGTTTCTATTTGGTTATTGTTAATGAGGATAACATCTGATTTTTGTAGGTTGCTCTTATAACTTGTTACTCCTCTGAGTAGTTTTATTAGTTTCTGTTGGTTTCATTGGTTTTTTGTAGATGACGATATCATCTTTTTAAATAAGAGTGTGTCTTTTTCCTTCCAGTGTTTATATCTCACATTTCTTTTGTAAATTGTGTGATCTGGATATCTAGAATTGTGCTGGCATTGTAACAGTGGGCATCCTTGCCTTGTTCCTGATTTTGCGGTGAATGTCTACATTTTCTTCTTTTAGTAAGGTTTTTGCTGTAGATTAATGGCATTTATCAAGCCAATAACTTATGGCCAGGCGTGGTGTCTCACCCCTGTAATCCCAGCACTTTGGGAGACTGAGGCGGGTGGATCACATGAGGTCAGGAGTTCGAGACCAGCCTGGCCAACATGGTGAAACCCCATCTCTATTAAAAATACAAAAATTAGCTGGGCCTGGTGGCGTGCGCTTGTGGTCCCAGCTACTTGGGAGGCTGAGGCAAGAGAATCTCTTGACTCCAGGAGATGGAGGATGCAGTGAGCTGAGATCGCACCACTGCATTCCAGGCTGGGCAACAGAGTGAGACTCCGTCTCAAAACAAACAAAAAAACTTTACCGATTCTATCTATTACTATTTTTCTGAGGCTGAAAAAAAAACCACACACAAATAGATGTTGAACACATAAACAATCGTTCTGCATCTATTAAGATGAAGACGATCTCATGGTTTTCTGCCATTAAATGCAGATTACTTTAGTTTTTTTGATGTTCAGCCATTCTTTTGTTAATGGAATACACTGGTAAACCTTCATTCCAATCTATTAGCTTTTTAAATACTCTGTGAGATTGAGTTAGTTAGTACGTTATTTACAAATTTTGCATTTATGTTCGTAAGTAAAATAAACTTTTAATTCTTCCCTCCTATACTTTTTCTGATTTTGACATCAAGGTTGTACTAATCTCATAAAATGACTCGGGCAAGATTTTTTTCACTTTACACATTCTGAAGCAACTTATATATGATATTCCACATTTGCCTGAACTCATTCATAAAACCATTCTTCCCCTTCTTTTGATATACTCAGTGTTGGAAAGTGTCTCACCTTCCTGCCTTATTCCCTGCCTTGTTAACATTTTTGTCATTTTTATTCTTCCCAGAGATGTGAGTAAGGGAGCAACCCTTGGTGGCCCCCTGAGCTTGTCTCTGCAAAGTGACTTTTCCAGGCAGAGATGCCGCAGAAACAGACGGGTCTGGTTTGGCCTCTCTGGCCTGCCAGGCAGCAGCTGCACGGGAACCCCAGGGTGGCCTAAGTGATTTAGGATGAGGATCACACCTCGGCTGCCCCCTGAGGCTTTTGGGGCACTACCTTTACCTTTCTGAGTGTTCTGGAGCAAACCCCTGCCTTTCTGACCCTCAGTTTTGTCAGCTATCTCCCCAAGCTCAAAATTCTATAGGGAGAAGGGGAACTATAGCTCGAGGTTACTGCTGGAGTCGGCTTATCTAGACTCCCTCCCACCTCACCTTCCCTGCAGAGGACCTGTCAGACGAGGCTGAAAGGGACGAGTATGAGTTACTCTGCCCAGACAACACTCGGAAGCCAGTGGACAAGTTCAAAGACTGCCATCTGGCCCGGGTCCCTTCTCATGCCGTTGTGGCACGAAGTGTGAATGGCAAGGAGGATGCCATCTGGAATCTTCTCCGCCAGGCACAGGTATCTTCACCCACGGTCCTCCCCACTTGCTTGGATATGGGGGGCAGGGAGCAAGGTTTCTTACTTCCCTGACTTCTGCCACTCCAGAAGTCCTGTAGCTTTGCTGCAGGATAGCACACTAATGCATTGGGCTGCTTGCCCAGGCTGTACTGTGGACAGCAGAAGCAATGAAACTCTTCTGTCACACGGGCTGACAGCGTCTTATGATGGGAGCAGAAGCAGGGGGTGGTCGATGCAATCTTCTCAGGGCCCTAAGGTGCTTGGACCTCAGCAACTCTTCAAAGAATGAGCCATAGCTGAGCTTGGGTCTCCGAGATGGCACAAGTCCCTCTGCAGGAGGGTCTCAACCGAGGCTCCTGCTCTCAGTTAGAATGATCCCAAAGCTCCAGATACTCTTTTTTAACATCATTTTTTTGTTTCCTCCCTATTTACCATTGACACCATAATTCTATTTTTTCTTAATTAGGAAAAGTTTGGAAAGGACAAGTCACCGAAATTCCAGCTCTTTGGCTCCCCTAGTGGGCAGAAAGATCTGCTGTTCAAGGACTCTGCCATTGGGTTTTCGAGGGTGCCCCCGAGGATAGATTCTGGGCTGTACCTTGGCTCCGGCTACTTCACTGCCATCCAGAACTTGAGGAAAAGTGAGTGAGCCCAGGAGGGTCCTGAGGTCCGCCTGGTGTGGTCTTCTACTTCCCAGCAGGTGGCCCTACTTTGTGGCGGTCACTCCTTTTCCCAGACACTGTGGGGTCATCGTGGAGGTTTGATGCAGGTGTGAGTGTCTTCTGTGGATTAGGTCAGGTGTCTCTAAAAGAATAGTCTGGCCACCTGATCAGTGCACGTCAGGCTCCCCAGGCCTGGCAGAAAAATCAGTTTGCCTCCTATTAAGTGAGAAACATGAACATGAACAAAGATAGCCAGGACCCCTCCTGGATGAATCCGGGGGCCTGGATTTACCCACACTTCCCAGGCCCAGACCTTGAACTTAGTTGGGGACACCATGGTGGGGGAACTCAGCTATGGCTCCTTCTCTACTGGGGGGCTGGGGGTGGGAGTCTGGGGGAACCCAGAGGCTGCACCGTAGTTATTGGTGGTGATTGCAGGCGTTAGGGGAAGTCAGGGTTGGGCTCAAGGTCCCCTAGGCCATCTCTTGGGACTGTCACTGGTCTCTGGGTCATGGAGCGTTTATCCTCAGAGACAGAGACAATAGGCGCCTCCTGACTCTAAAGATTAATGGATAGATTAGAAGCCAGGGAACTTCTCCAAAGGAACAGAAGTGGGAAACACAGGGAGCTCTGTGGACCTGAAGAAGGGGCTTGGAGCTGAGAAGTGGAGGAGGAGAGGGTATGGGTCCACATGTCCACACATGTACTGTAGCTCCTGTTCCAGGGAGAGTCTGGGCAGGACCCTGGCTCTGGGGAGGTTGGACAACCTGGCAAAGCTCAGGTTGCCCAGCCACCTGCGGTCTTCCCTCTGGCAGGTGAGGAGGAAGTGGCTGCCCGGCGTGCGCGGGTCGTGTGGTGTGCGGTGGGCGAGCAGGAGCTGCGCAAGTGTAACCAGTGGAGTGGCTTGAGCGAAGGCAGCGTGACCTGCTCCTCGGCCTCCACCACAGAGGACTGCATCGCCCTGGTGCTGGTAGGGAGCTCCATCACAGGGGCGGGCGGTGGGCCCGGTGGAAGACCTAGGGCCTGGGCATCTGCTTAAAGTGAAGTCAACAGTCAAAGAGGCCACGGGGGCCTGGGTGAGGCAGGGATGCCTGGAGAGGTGTGCTCAGGGCCAGAAAGCATTTTAGTTTCAAAAAGCAGTTTACTGTGGGTTTCCCACTCCTCTGGTTATAAGAACAACTCAGGATTATTATAAGGAATTTGGAAAATATGGAAAGGTATTATGTTAAAACAAAACAACAACAAACCCCCCAAACCACCTGTGATCTCACACAGAGGGACAGACATGGTTAAAGTCTGGCTAATTCTCCATTCCAGTATTTCTCTGCACATCTGCAGATATGCATGCAACAATAATGAAGTGTTGCAGTATGTCGTTTTTAAGCCCTTTTCACTAAACAGCGTATAATGGGCATTCTTCCACATGAATATTTACTCTTGGAAAGCATTAATTTTTTTTTTTTTAAGAGACAGATTCTTGATCTGTCACCCAGGCTGGAGTGCAGTGGTGCGACCACATCTCACTGCAGCCTGGAACTCTTGGGCTCAAGTGATCCTCCCATCTCAGCTTCCCAAGTAGCTGGGGCTACAGGCATACGCCACCACACCTGCATAATTATTATTATTATTATTGTAGCGACAGGGTCTCGCTTTGTTGCCCAGGCTCGTCTCGAACTCCTGGGCTCAAGCAATCTTCCTGCTTCGGCCTCCCAAAGTGCTGGGATTACGGGTGTGAGCCACAGCACTCGGACGAAAACATTTTTTAAACATGCTTCCAGGATATCTTTTATGTGAATATGGCTCAGTTTAGTCATGCCCCCATTCCTCTTTGTCCCTTACTTTGCTATTATCAATAACCCTGTGGTGAGCATTCTTGAGTAGAAATCTTTGTCCACTTCTCTATTTTTAATATAGTTGTAAAAATATTACTGGGTCAAAGAGGAAGTTTCATACTACTGATGAGTCCATGATCCTGTGTTGTAGCCTGGACTTGTTCATTCTGGTGGTGGGCCAATATGACGACTTCAGCTTATGTGTTGGACAACTTCTGTGTAGCGCTTGGAGTGGAGTGCTAATGAGTTCAGATTAGATGAGGCCAGCTGTTCCCATCTGTGTCCTCAGTCAGTGAGACTGCTCCAGGAAGGTGTCCCCAAAGTGCCAGGGACACAGAAAAGGTTTTGCTCAGAGGACAGAGGATTAGTGCAACCTGTGCCTGGTCTTTCCAGTTGAATTGACAGCCCAGAAAGTAGGCAGGGCTGGGAGAGAATTAGTGGTGCACACGGTGTTTCCTCTGGCTGCTCAGTTTGAATAGTCCATCTCTTTCTGCTGTTTCACTGGTCACCTGACAGAAAACCATTCTCTCAGAGAGCTATATAGACAGGCAGGACGGGATGCAGCCTCACTGTGGTGCTGGAGATCTGCTCTGTCTTTGCAGAAAGGAGAAGCTGATGCCATGAGTTTGGATGGAGGATATGTGTACACTGCAGGCAAATGTGGTTTGGTGCCTGTCCTGGCAGAGAACTACAGTAAGTGGAGTTAGCATCCTCTGGTATATTCCCTCTGGGTCATGGGAGTGGGGCTATGAGTAATCCCATTCGGTGAATGCAGGTGAAACATTATGATGAACAGATACATTCAAAAGGGAGAATCAGGGAAAGAAGAAATGAAAGGGGCCGTGTTACCCACAAAGCCTATTGTGTTGAGAATTAACAAGGGACAGGTTGGTTTTATCTTCTTAATTTTCCAGAAGATCTCAGTGAATTATAACATACAAACAGAAAAGTGCACATAAATGTACAACTCATGGCACTTCACACACTGTACAGTCCATGCTCTCGGGCCCAGAACAAACACTGCAAGTTTCAGAAGCCCCTTATGTCCTCCTGTCCCCCGCCCCCTTACTCCTGCAAGGGAAGCCTCTCTCCTGGCTTCTAAGGTCGCAGATCTAAGTTTGCCTATGTTTTAAACTTCATGTTAAAGGAATTACACAGCATGTGTTTTTTTATGTCTGGTTTCTCTTGCTCATCGTTATGCTTTTCATCCACCTAAGTGTGTAGTTGTAGACTGTTCAGTCTCGTCGCTGTGTGAGTCTACTGTGATTATTCATCATTTGAGTGTGGATGGGCATTTGAGTAGTTTCCAGTTGGTGGCTGTGGTGAATAATGCAGCTGTGAATCTCTGTGCCATGTCTTTTGTTGAACATATAGACGCATTTCTCCTGCATGGAACTGCTGGGACGGTCTCTTTGGATTTGATTCTGCATCATTGAGATTTAAGAGTTTGTGGCTTCTCACTACATCTGAATGGATAATGATGTCTGGCTTGTCTTTATTCTTTCAGAATCCCAACAAAGCAGTGACCCTGATCCTAACTGTGTGGATAGACCTGTGGAAGGTGAGTTGGCATTAGCCACTTTCAGGGTCAAGGATAAGTTCTTGTTGCTGGAAGAGGAAGTGGCAGGAACTGTAAAAAAAACAGAAAGAATTGCAGCCCTAGAAGCTATAGGGCTTCTAGGAGCAATAATTTTAAGGGTGCAAATAATTCACAGAGGAATAGTTCTAATTAATGTTTATATTGACCTTCACACTTGGCAAAGAACATCCATATAGTCCCTCATTTTGTCATGGTCATGGAATGGGGGGTGCTACTTCCCCACCTCATGGGGATGAGGAAACAGTGGCACCGAGAGTCCCCAAGTGCCCAGGATCTCACTCACAGCCATAGGTAATACTGTGGTAGATCCTGGTCTTGACCCCGGGTCCTCGTGACCTGGGACTCGTGTCCCAGTGCTCTGTGCACCACTCCTCCTGCCCACCAGAGCTGGTGCTTGCTCAGTTTCAGAAAAGACTTGCCCTTGGTGGGTGTCTGTCAGATGCATTCTCTCAGGAGGACAACGGCAACCATGTTGAGTTCAACCAGTGCAGGGTGGGTTCAGACTCAGCTCAGGGCAGTCCCTGGGGACATGTGCCCCTGTACCCACACAGCCGTTAGCTGGCTGGATGTTGGTGCTCTTGCCTGATGCACACTGTGGTTGGTGATTTATGCACTGTTGGGGTCTCTCTTGTTGTTTATAGTGTTTGTTGCTGTAGAAGCTTACACTGAGAGATGCATTGCTGGTTTGTAACTCAGGGACATTGTGTGGCTGGTTGAAGACAGTCCCCTGTAATCACTAAAATAATCAGCTTTTCTTACTGTTTTATTTCATCAATCTCACCTTAACATAAGGCAGCAGCTTATGCTTTCTCGGTCTACCTAAAAAGGCCAGTTCTTTGAGGGAATCATTGCCTGGTGTTGCTTCTTGGCCTGTTTTGGCCTGGGCTGTAGACAGCTCCACTGGAATCCATGTGCCAGGCCTCCTGGAGGTTAAGACTTGTTTTTCTGTCATCTGTTATGCCAGGATATCTTGCTGTGGCGGTGGTTAGGAGATCAGACACTAGCCTTACCTGGAACTCTGTGAAAGGCAAGAAGTCCTGCCACACCGCCGTGGACAGGACTGCAGGCTGGAATATCCCCATGGGCCTGCTCTTCAACCAGACGGGCTCCTGCAAATTTGGTAAGGAGTTCCAAAGGTGCGGTGGGTGGGCCACCCTGGAGGGTAGGCATATTGTGCTGTGGAACCTTAGGGAAGGGAGGGGAGGGGATTTGCAGGCTGATAGTGGCCTGCAGGCCTCTTCCAGCATAAGGAAATTCTCCCTGTGGCTGCCCCCTGGAGGCGTGGGTGCACTGGGGGTTTCCCTGCACAGCACTTCCCATGCCCCATTCACCCCACCCCAAGATTAAAGATTGGAATATCTGCCTATTTCGCTGCACCCTAAGAATAAATGCAAGTTCCAAGATGTGCAAATGCTTTTTACCTCTTGGAGCTCCAGACCTAAATTCCTCTTAAACTCTGGCTTCCCAGCTTGGGGAAAGATGTCTGCCTGCCTCATGAAAGGTGACTCCTGTTACTAAGCAAAACTGACGCTTACTCTACACTGCAACGGAGCCTGAATAAGACCTCAAGAGCCTGGCTCCACCTGCTTCTGCAGTTTTCTCTCCCCACCACACCCCACACTCATCCTAGTCAGCATCAGCCACACCCTGCCTGCTGTGGGCCCCGTGGCATGGTGTGTAGCACATCCTCAATGTGACTCCCTTCTTGTATGGGCGTCTCCTAGGGCAGGGGCTCCACTGCATGGGTTTTTGATCCTGGCCGGGGCAGGCAGCTTTCACGTGGCTCTGCTCCTCACCAGCTCCATGGCAGCCTCTGAGCTGTAGGGAAACTGCCAGGATGGAATGGGAACTCCCAGCTTTTCCTGAGGTTGACACATAGTGTGGCTCTTCCAGCAGCAGTGGGAGTCTGATAATGGGTGACGTTTGCTCAGTGGGGCAGAGCTTTCTTGTCACCTTTGTTTATTCTTTCTTGGGTTAAATCACACAATGAACGAATTCAGATCAGGTTCAGCTGCAAGGAACAGAAAACTCCTGAAATAGTAGAGGCTTAAACAAGACAGAAGTTAATTTCTGTGTCATGTAGTCCAGAGGTGGTTTGCCTAGGGCTGGTATGAAGACAATATGGGGTCTGGAACCTGGGCTTTAATCATTTGGCTACTCTGCCATTTGTGTGGCTTTCATGCTCAAGGTCACCTCATGGCCCACATTGCATCTCTAAGTCCAGTCCCTGCTTCTGCATTCTATGTGCAGGATGAAGAAAGAGAAGGAGAAGAAAGGGCAAAAGGCATGTACCAATTGTCTTTCAAGGATGTTTCTGAGAAGCTGGCGCCCAACACTCCTGCTGATATTTCACTGGCCTATAGCTACCCATATGGCCATATGAGCCCCAGGGAGTCTGATAAGTCTAGTCTTTATACCAAAGGGCCAAGCACCCAGATACAAAGCAGGGTTTCCATTACTGATAAAAACAAAATCAGATCCTGGACTAGGCAACTCACAGGCTCTGCTGCACACAGCCATCACGGTCATGAGCTGAGTCCCCAGCTCAAGGCTGTGATGACGGGACCCTCCAGGCAGCCACAGCTCTCATCCCCAGCCTTAGTTGGGTGTCCATCTGTGCCTACAGTCTGAATGAAGCTTTTCTGGTGGGTCCTATGTTGGTGACAACATGTTGCTTTGTGATGGTGAGTGTGTTCTATCTAGATTGCTGTCCTGGGAAGTCTAATGAACTGAAACCACCCTGCATCGGCTGTTAGGTAAAGGTTGCTTGTGTGGACTCAGGTTTGAAGAGCTGACTCCCCGTGTTCCTTCTCTCCAGATGAATATTTCAGTCAAAGCTGTGCCCCTGGGTCTGACCCGAGATCTAATCTCTGTGCTCTGTGTATTGGCGACGAGCAGGGTGAGAATAAGTGCGTGCCCAACAGCAACGAGAGATACTACGGCTACACTGGGGCTTTCCGGTGAGTCTGTGACTGAGCTCCATCAGGATGGGGACTTACCTCATCCCTCAGCATGTCAGCATTGCAGTTCTAAGGAGCCAGATGTGACCTGTCACAGCAGAGTGGGGGTCATCCTGTGGGTCAGCTCATGGGTGGCCCCAGTGAGGGCTGTCCCCACCACACCCACCGCCCCAGAGAGTGGAGGCTGGCACCAGGGCTGTCTGACCTCAGCTCCGCAGTGCTTCTCCCTGTGGCTTTGAGCCAAGATCAACAGCAGTAGGCCTCAATAGCCTCGTCCTGAAAATCAAATGGGTAGAGTGTGGTATCCTAAGTGCTTCCTACAATTCCATTTATGGGGAAGAATTCTCTTTCCCATCGCCGCCCCTTTTCTTCTCACCTAGGTCATGACTATGGCTTAGGTTTCCCTTTTTCTCTGACTTTGGCCTTAGAAATGGCAAAGAGATGGCAGAATTGCAGTGTTATTCTCCAGTAACGAAGTGAAAAATAAGCCAAAAAACAAGTTTTCAGAATTCATAAGTTATAACCACTTAGTGACTTGTAACCACACCCCACGTTTTACAGCACCATTCATCCGGGTGTTGCTTCTCAGGGGCACTATTTACCAGTGTGAAGGGTGCAGAGAGGATCTTCCCCTGTTCCTTTTCCTCCATTTGCCAAGAGTACATTTCACGACCAGATGGCGTCATGTGTCTGAGGGTGTCTGAACTTTTTAATATAAATTCAACAGCCTTGTTCCAGTAATGGAATGACAGAAAAGTAGCTTTTGCTATATAAGTGGCTCATAAAAAAAGACCCAAAACAAAAAAAAATGTTTTGTGAATGTATAAAAATATCTTTAAGGGACTAAGGATTTGCAAATGGAAATGTGATTCTACTCAGAAATGCTGAACACATGTCTCATAAGAGCCCGAAAGAAGCATGTGCTCCTCTTTTTTTTTTTTTCAGACCTGCAGCAAGGTATTAGTTCACTGGAAACACCCACATTTTAATATTCCTAATTATACTGGAAGAAAATCCCTTGTCTTTTGTTTAAATTATATCTAGAATCTAGATTGGGGAAATTTATAGCAAAATCATTAAAAGCTGAAACCAGTGTCATACCCCTTTATTTCTATCATCCTTATAATGCTGGTTCTTAATTTTTAACTTTCTGCTGACTCTGTAGTATAGAAGAAGATCTAGCCTCTCACACTGCCCCCAGCACCTTTTCCACCACACAACCACAGACTTCAACTCTCTTCAGCACCCAACACGCTAATGTCATATTCAGTACTTATGACTGTGTAAGCGTTATTCTCATATTATATTTCCCTTATTGTACAAACTTTTTGTTTACTCTGGAGTTCATAAATGTCTTTTCTTATTTGCTTAATTTTCTGCACTTAAAAAAACACATCACTATCTCATCCCCAAACTGTCTGCCAGTAATGTAAATCTCCTAACAACATGCATACACACACACACACACACACACACACACACACACACACACACACACACACACACTCTCTCTCTCTCTCTCTCTCTCTCTCTCTCTCTCTGGGTGCTATCACAGTTTCATCATTTACTTGGAAGTGCTGCTCCAGAAGGCATCCATCTTCCTGCTGCAGTTTGGACTGGTTGCTGTGTAGGCCGCCTGCACATCTGTGGTCCTGGGGGTCCTGTTGACCATTATTTTGGTGCTTTCCTTTGTCTTACTTCATGTTAGATTGCCTGTTTCCTGGGTCGCATATCTTTAGATTTCTTGGTTTTGTAATGTCTTTTATATAGGGTTTTAAAAGGAGGGCAGGTACACCTGTGTTCAATCTGCCGCTGTAAACAGTAAATTCCTAGAAATAGTTGTCTTTTAGATGTTTACTTCCATATTTCAGTTTTTGGAATGCATATTACAAATATTTATGAAAGCCCCACTAGTTTCTCTTCTGTAATTATGTGTATATTTTCTGGAACATTTTAGGTGCCTGGCTGAGAATGCTGGAGACGTTGCATTTGTGAAAGATGTCACTGTCTTGCAGAACACTGATGGTAGGTGAAGGTGTTTCCTTTTCTCCTTCAAAGCAGAGTCTTTGGCATCACAACACATCTTAGTGTTCAGATTTGCCTTTGGGAAGGTTTTATAACATTTTCCATATTTGTGATTAAAAGAACTCCAAAATTCTTTATCTCAATAGACAACATGATAACATCTGTAGGTGTCATATGGATTTTGAAACGAAATTCATACACACACACTCTCTCTCTTTCTCTCACACACACACACACACTCACTCTCACACACACAGATACTAGCCATGCTCAGTAGCAAATGTCTCCCTGGCTTCCTCTAGTCAACCACAGAAACACACTGTCTGCCCACATGAGATCATGCATGCCTATTGGAAACTGTGGATGATGCTACAAACTGGGTGAACATATGCAAATGAAGCCTCCCTTTATGAAAAAGGAAGTAGAGGCCTTCATTCATCCCCATGTGAGCCTTGGTCTGGAGACTCCTTGGGAGTTAGTGGGAACAAAATTACAGGTGGTTGCAGATGATGGAAGATAATCTTCCAGCCAATGTTTGAACAATCACTCTCTCTCCTGGTCCTCAGCCATTTGCTACCTTCCAATCTGCATCTGTCTCCTTAGCCCCACTTCAGCATTCCAACCCCCAAGTCTCAGCAGGTGACTTGCTATTCTGTTTCCTGAGAAAGAACTGTCTCCACTTTCGGCCTCCCTCCTTCAGTAATCACTGCAGTCTCAGCCACTTCTCCCTTCTGCTTCTGCTCCTTCTAGTGTCTCTTGGGACAGAGATTAAAACAAGACATGTAAATTTGAAATTATTTCAATATCAAATAGAGGAATCCAAGAGAATGAATAAAGTGCTTTCTTAAAGGGAGAGAGCAGAGAGACAAACGGGAGCCGGAACAATGAGCCGGCATCTGCACAAACATAGACATGCATACAATTACATTTAGAATTTACAAGCCATTAACTGAAGTAATCTCCAGGGATCAGATTGATGTCAAATTTAATTTTAACTTTCTCCGGTACTTTACAACTGTATTTTGTTAGAATTGGCTGTATATATTTGATAAACCTATAAAAGTTCCTTTCCTTTCTCTGGTTACACTAATAGCATTTGAATATGAAAGGGAGGAGAAACCAATTTCTCCTTGAATGTAAACCATCTATTCTTTTTCTGGAACTCACTGAAAAATATGGCATAGGTGGAGGGTTTTCTTCTTTAAAAAAATAAGAACTCTAAACAGCTTTATTGAGGTAGAATTCATATACTAAAAAATCCACCCATGCAAAGTGTACAATTCAGTGATCTCCAGCACATTCACAGAGTTGTGCAGCCATCAACACAATCCAACTCTAGAACGCTTGTATCCTCCCATAAAGAAACCCTTGCACCTATTATCAGTCATTGCCCTATCCTTCTTCAGCATTGGCAACCATCAATCCACTTTCTGTCTCCATAGGTTGGCCTATTCTGGACATTTCATATAAATGGAGTCATATAATATGTGGTGGGTTTTTTTTTTTGAGATGAGGTCTTGCTATGTTGCCCAAGCTGGTCATGAACTCCTAGCTTCAAGTGATTCTCCCACCTTGGCCTCCAAAGGGCTGGGATTACAGGCATGAGCCACCGTGCCCAGCCTATTGTGTGGTCTTTTGTGACTGGCTTCTTTCACTTAGCATCGTTTTCGAGGTTCATGCATATTGCAGGATGTACCAGAACTTCACTCCCTTTTATTGCTGAATAACATTCCATTGCATGGACACAGCACTAATATTTGGTATATTTGAAGTTTGTACAGCTTGTGTAGGATGAAGCTCCTTCTCTGTTCCTCACATCACCACAACCCCAGTGTGTGCATTTGGGAGGTCAGTGGAATGGCCACACCCACCCAGAAGAGACTTCTTGGCTAAGCAGGGGAGGCGTGGATGATGCCACCTTCTTTTTCTCCCCAGGAAATAACAATGAGGCATGGGCTAAGGATTTGAAGCTGGCAGACTTTGCGCTGCTGTGCCTCGATGGCAAACGGAAGCCTGTGACTGAGGCTAGAAGCTGCCATCTTGCCATGGCCCCGAATCATGCCGTGGTGTCTCGGATGGATAAGGTGGAACGCCTGAAACAGGTGTTGCTCCACCAACAGGTATGGACCACAGGGCTTCTAGTGCTTTCTTAGCTGTGTGGGCTCATGTTAGGTGAGGAGATCACAGAGCTAGGTGCACCAGCCCACTCGATCCTCTCTAGTCCTCTACTTGAAGCTCATGGTGAGAGTATTGGCTTCATGCTGTGGCGTTGCCCAGAGTGTCAACAAGAACAACAGAGGCTTTTGACTCTGGGCTTTCTGGGACTCACTCCATTTCTGCTGAGACTCTGTGCCCTGGCCTTGTTGCCATCACTGCCTGGCTCAGAGGCTGTCTTTTTCCCTCCTGCTGTTCTTCTGGCAAATGAGGAAGCCACTGAGCCTTCCTCCCACATGCATTAGTATAGTGCTTTTTACTCAGGTGACATTTCCTGAACCTGGGCCGAGTGAACAGTGCTCTAGGCCAGGCCTCTAAAACAGCAAACTCAGAAGGTGCCCTATAGATTTAGGGCTCTCTAAATGTGATTTGAACGAAATCCCAAAATTTTCTTAAAATCTGGGATTTTATTAGAACTTCTATTTTTATCATATAACATCATGTCTCTGTGTGCTTTTGAAGAAAACAACTCAGGAATAACAAGACTGGCCACCATAACTGGCCTTTATGGAGCTCTTAATGTGCACACACAGTGGTGCTGGTGAGAGAGCTGCCGTGACTGAGGGGTTTGGGTCTCAGTCTCCCCACATGGGAGCCTGGGACAGAGCAGGAACTGTGTGAGGGAGGCAGGGTGACCGACCTGCACACTGAGCTGGTTAGTGGCTGAGCCTGGGTTTTCCTAGCAGCCTGCCTCTCTAGAAGAGCTGCATATTAGAATGTCCTGAGCAATTGACTTGTGAGGGCAGATCTCAAAACCCCTCCATTGTTGCCTTGTCACCCATAAGAAGTTGTATGGGAAAAGGTCACAGGTTAAGAAGGAAGGAAAGATGGCAGATGGTAGGAGGTAGGACCAGAAGTGGTGCGAGGCCTGGATGCTGCCCAAGGCGGGCCTGCCACCAGGAGTGTGGGGTGGGGGACTCCACTAAGGAGGTGGAATGACTCCAGAACTCAGCTCCTTCTGCCCCATGGTTTTCTCAGGGCTGTTCTTGGGTGGAAGAAATACCCCTTTGCCTCCTTTAACCCATAAATTCCTCTTTTCCTTAGCTACTCACTGTCTGCCCTTTTGTCGCAGGCTAAATTTGGGAGAAATGGATCTGACTGCCCGGACAAGTTTTGCTTATTCCAGTCTGAAACCAAAAACCTTCTGTTCAATGACAACACTGAGTGTCTGGCCAGACTCCATGGCAAAACAACATATGAAAAATATTTGGGACCACAGTATGTCGCAGGCATTACTAATCTGAAAAAGTGCTCAACCTCCCGTAAGTAGACCCTAGCTAGCATCCCCGAGAAACCACCATGGGTGAAGGTCAAGGTTTGAGGGCCAAACAGCATTCTAGGAACGAACACAGGTGTAAAAATGTTAAGGAAAGATAATATCTCTTTACAGTTCAGGAAATTATAATCTCATTGATAAAATAATTAGAGAATAAAATAGAGCAGTATGTAATAAATTTTTATAAATTTTATAGTACGGATAGTGATGGCACTGTCATGAAATCTTTGGAAACTGATAATCCATTTTATTCAGTAAAATGAAAGGTGCATATATACATATGCATTGAGAAATGACAAAACCAGCCACGTGTGATGGCTCACACCTGTCATCCCACCACCTTGGGAAGCAGAGGTGGGAGGATGGCTTGAGCCCGGGAGTTTGAGACCAATGTGGCCAACACAGAGAGACCTTGTTCTACAAAAATAATTTTAAAAATTAGCCTGGTGTGGTGTCAAGCACCTCTAGTCCCAGCTACTTGAGAGGCTGAAATAGGAGGATTGCTTGATCCCAGAAGGTTGAAGCTGCAGTGAGCTATGATTGTACCACTGCACTACAGCCTAGGTGACACCGAAAGACCCTTCCTCAAAAAAAAAAAAAAAAAATCTGATTCTAGACAGTTACCATAGATGCCAACTATAGAGAAAACAAAATCTCAAAAAAATTCAAGTGTAGGAAAACACATCTTAACCAGGGAAATATGTTGATATTAATTTAATCCCTTAAAAATATTTAGAAGACATCACAGAGTATTGTAAGGCTCCCGGTGATAACTGTGGGATTTCAGTGTGCACAGCTCCCTGTGCACTGCAATCATTCAGATTCCTATTCCTGGTCCCTCACCCAGAGTTGGGGGCATTAGGGATGCTGTTGGTCCAAGGATGGGGGCAGGGCCAGAAATGTCTTTATCGGTAGTTTTCAATGAGAGACAATTTTTCCCCTGAGGGGATATTTGACAATGTGAGAAGCATTTTTTTGATTCTTACAACATAGAGGGTGCTGCTGGTAACAAATAGGTAGAGGCCAGGGATGCTACTAAACAAAGCACAGCCAGCCCCCTGCAATAAAGGGTTATTATCAGGCCCCAAATGTCAATAGTGCCAAGGTTGAGAAACCCTTTTCTGTATTGACAAACAACTCAGGTCACTGTGATGCAGGTCAGGACCACCCTCTGAGAAATATGGCTACAGGGCTCTTCTTGTGAGCAGCCAGCTCAGGACTGCATAGACCACATGCTTCTTGAGGGCAGGCCAGTCTATCCATGCTGTGTCCCCAGCACTTAGCACAGCAACTCACACAAAGCAGGTGCTCAGTAAGGATCTGTGAATGAATGAGTGAATCTGCAGGTGAACATGATTGCAAACAGGTTCACATTCCGGGAGAAGCTAGAGGACCACCAATGTCTTGTGAACTTGAGAATGTGACAGTCGATTCAATCAGAGACAAGTGCAGGGTGGTTGTGTCTCTCAGGCCAGAGCAGGGAAACACCCTGGCTGGTGAGGGCTAGACTCTGGCTCCCTTGAACACCGTAGTCGCTAGGAGTAGGGGAGTGGGAATATGAGTGTGGCAAGCACTGACTCAGTGATGGGAGAAGGGCAGAGAAAACTCTTAGTATTCTCTTTGATTTATTGGATTAAATAACTGGTTTAATGGAAGAAATCAGTTTCTGAATCTCTTGCTCTGTTGTGTCCCACAGCCCTCCTGGAAGCCTGTGAATTCCTCAGGAAGTAAAACCGAAGAAGATGGCCCAGCTCCCCAAGAAAGCCTCAGCCATTCACTGCCCCCAGCTCTTCTCCCCAGGTGTGTTGGGGCCTTGGCCTCCCCTGCTGAAGGTGGGGATTGCCCATCCATCTGCTTACAATTCCCTGCTGTCGTCTTAGCAAGAAGTAAAATGAGAAATTTTGTTGATATTCTCTCCTTATAAAGTGTCACTCATCTTTTCTAGAATTTTATACTGAAATCACATGCCTGACAAAATACCTGTACAGTTGGACCTTCCCTTCCAAGTTTTTCAGGTCCAGCCCCTCCTCTTTCTTGCAGTCTTGGGTATGATGCCCAAGGGTCTGGAATTTAAGGCCAGGCCAAGCACCGGTTTTCCTAAGGGGATCTTGTTGGTTATTCACATAGCTGTCTCAGTGCACGTGCATGTATGTGCCTGGGAGTGTGTGCGTGTCCCCAAGGCAGGGCAGGAAGAGCAAGCATAGGAATTATAACTGAAATGTAGGTTCAGTTGCTCATCACTTGCAGAGTCTAATTAACAAGAGCTAGGTTTGGTATAAAGTGACTTTTATTCCAAAGCTACCTTAGGGGAAGAAGTACAGGCTTCTTTCCTTAAGGGTAACTGCTTCACCTTTGGAGCAGAAAGCAGAGGCTTTTAAATGGGGGGCGTGGCATGCAAGGCAGGAAGTGAGCAGGTAGAGGGTCTGGGTACTGGCTTTGGTGCCTTGTCTACCAGGCAGTTGAGTTGGTTACTGCTGGTGCCTTTGTGGGCAAAACTAGGTTGTAAAAGCAGCCAAAAAATTTCCAGATGGGAGAGTTTCATAGCGGGCATATTTTGGCTTGTGAATTGACTGTTATGTCTCAAGGTAGTCTCTTGGTGGGAGAGAGTTCTGCTCTGTAGCGTCTAACTAAGAGCACATAGTTAGATGAACTTGCCCTGTTGGGAGTGTCTGGTGAAGGGGAGATAAAAGATTATAATTGCATTTCTAAAGAGCTAAGTAGGAAGCAGAGAAAAGGAGAGAGAAGTGAAGACAGAATAATTTTAAATAATGAAGAGAGAAATGAAGAAGGAATAATTTTCCTGCTTTTCCATTGGTTCTTTGGACATAACAGGCAAAAGTGTCAATCAGGGTGAGACTGTTCCTTCAAGGGCAGAGATCAGACAAGTGTCCTGAAACTCTGCCTCCATTGTGGGGGCAACCATTTGGCCATGTTCCCCACTGTCAGTGAGATGAATAGCTCTGCTGCTGCCTGCAAAAGCCTCTGAAACCTGTCAGGAAAGGACATTAATTAAGGTCCCATAATGCTAGGATGAAGCTCTTTTCCTATTTGCTACTTTGAATTATGGCCTGATATGTTGTCCATCCTCACTAACATGAGAAGATTAGTCAGTGAGCAACATCTGATGGGGTAGCCACAGCAGTGATAATGCCAGCACTCTTAAACATGACATTTGAACAGTATGAACTTTCTTGTCTAAATAAGATACTAAAGTGAAATTGAGGCCCACCTATGAAATTCTCCTGTTCCAGGTTGAAAAGAAATGGAACATCGCTGTGTCTCTCTGTTCACGCTAGGTTATATTGCTGTAGCAAATGGCCTCCAAATCAAAATCTTAGTGGCTAACATGACAAAAATGTGTTTCTCTCTTGTGTCCATCTCCATCATGGGTCAGCAATGGATCTGTGGCTCATGTCTTTATTCTGAGACCCAGGCTGAACCAGCAGCCCCAATTTTGGGCATGTTGGGCTTGAGGCAGAGGGGAAAATATAAGAGACAGAGGCAGCTGCTCTGCCTATGGAGTGCTATTCTTTTATTCCTTTATTTTCTTAATAAACTGCTTTAACTTAAAAAAAAGAGACAAAAGCATCATACAATAATACTTACAGTGTCTGCTTGGCAGAGGCCATATCATCTTTATCATTTCATTGGCCAGAGAATTCACATGGCCACAACATCAGTGAAGTCGCCCAGGAGGAAGGGGCAGTGATAGAGGACTGGGGTTAGTGCAACAGTGCAAGGAAAAATCTTCAGAGCATTTCATAGTGCCCAGCCAGAAGGCCATCACAGGAATGTCCCACCCACCCACAAAGGCTTCTCTGCAGTCCTAGAGAGGTGTCCTTTGCCCAGGTCCCACCCCCTTCCCAGAGCATGGCCTGGTAGGTGTGGCTGGATCTCAGTCCCTGTGTGCCACTCACCAGGATGGTTGGGCCTCTGCCTGCACAGCTGCACAGGCCACCCCAGAAACAGAAGATTGACTAGATGCAGGATGCTTCCTGTGATATTTCACAATTTATCCTGCATTAATGATATTTTCCCATACAGAGAACCATGCAGTAGTTCCCAAGGTTGGGTTCCCTGAGGGGGAATCATTCATATTTGATTTCAGAAACCCTCCCTTCAGGCCATTGCTAACTTTTGCTGTAACACCAGTCACTCTCTGAGGTTCAGTAACAGCTTCATCTTCCTCACCCTGTGCCACAACTTTAAGACTGGTTTGGGCACATCCTCTTATCATTTTTGTGTATGTCTCCTGGGGTCTCTAAGTCCCAAATCTTTCCTTAAAAAGTTATTTCTGTAGAGCACCTGATTCTGTCATTGTTCAGGTTGCCACTATGTAACCCACATGGACCTAGGGAAACTGAACAAAGGGGGCAAACGTGGGAATAAAAGACAAGAGACAAAAGAGTATATTTGGAAGAAGCGGTCAGGGGGCACTTTGCCTCTAGTGGACAAGGGCCCTGAGCTTTACACAACCCTCCGTAGTGATTAGACAAAAGAGATAGTGAGAAGGGGGGTGTGGAAGAAGGGATCAGCTGCTCAGTCCACAGTAGGCTTGCAAGACTGCATTCTCCAGATGTCCCAGTAGATAACCTCAAGGAGCCTGGTGCCAGGAAGTGATTGCCCTCAGCAAACCTTCTGGCAGTGGGAGCAGTCGTGAGTTTGCCCACATCCTGCATTCATGATAAACAGTTTGCTGTTTTATCATATAGCCTCCAGTGGAATGATGAGTTGGTCAGTCCCACGAGCCTTAGGCTCCCTAAATATCCCCCTTTCTGTTTATGAATTAATTGAAAGAATGTAAGGCCAGGGTGGGCAGCTCTCATTTTCCGATTGGTGGTCCATCCAATTTTACAGGCTATGAACAGAAGACAGAGACAAAACAATATTATTCCAAGAACTACATGTAAGATGTTAATGTAGTGCCTTAGATAAGTCCAAGGATTGAGGCTCTCCAGGCCTTGCTGGAATTTGGTCCAGTCTTCTAAAGAAGGCTGAAACTCTTGAATTTGCCTATGTAAATCAAGAATTTTGTTTTGTAATTCACCAATATCAAAGGTGATGTTAGATGTGAAAGCTCCCTGCAAATGGGCTTTCACAACGTCCCACAGATACTCACTTTGGTTATATTCTAAGTTGGTTACACAAATATGAGTGTGATTAAAATGACAATGCAATCAAGCTTTGTGCTTTTCCCCTAACCATAGAACTGTGGATTTCAACATTACCACTTTATTGGGAGAACCCACCCTCAGTATTTCAACATAGGTTCCTTCTATTTTCCATAAGTGTTGGCCAGCTGAGAAATAAAGAGAGACAGTACAAAGAGAGGAATTTTACAGCTGGGCCACCAGGGGTGACATCACATATCGGGGGAACCCACCCCCAATATTTCACGTAGGTTCGTTCTATTTTCCATAAGTGTCGGCTGGCTGAGAAATAAAGAGAAAGAGTACAAAGAGAGGAATTTTACAGCTGGGCCTCCAGGGGTGACATCACATATTGGTAGGACCGTGATGCCCACCTGAGCCGCAAAACCAGCAGGTTTTTATTAAGGATTTCAAAAGGGGAGGGGGTGTAAGAACAGGGAGTAGGTCACAAAGATCACATGCTTCAAAGGGCAAAAAGGAGAACAAAGATCACATGCTCCTGAGGAAACAGGACAGGAGAAAAATCATAAACTCCTGATAAGGGTCTATGTTCAGTGGTGCACGTATTGTCTTGATAAACATCTTAACAGAAAACAGGGTTTGAGAGCAGAAAACTGGTCTGACCAAAAATTTACTACAGCAGAGTTTTTCCCCACTCTAGTAAGCCTGAGGGTTCTGCAGGAGACCAGGGCGTATCTCAGTCCTTATCTCAACTGCACAAGACAGACATTCCCAGAGCGGCCATTTATAGACCTCCCCTCAGGAATGCATTCTTTTCCGAGGGTATTAATATTAATATTCCTTGCTAGGAAAAGAATTTAGCGATATGTTTCCTACTTGCACATCCATTTATAGGCTCTCTGCAAAAAGAAAAATATGGCTCTTTTTGCCCGACCCTGCAGGCAGTCAGACCTTATGGTTGTCTTCCCTTGTTCCATAAAAATCACCGTTATTCTGTTCTTTTTCAAGGTGCACTGATTTCATATTGTTCAAACACACGTTTTACAATCAATTTGTACAGTTAACACAATTATAACAGTGGTCCTGAGGTGATGCACATCCTCAGCTTACGAAGGTAACAGGATTAAGAGATTAAAGACAGGCATAAGAAATTGTAAAAGTATTATTTGAGAACTGATAAATATCCGTATTAAGATGAAATCTTCACAATTTACGTTCCTCTGCTGTGGCTCCAGCTGGTCCCTCTCTTCGGGGTCCCTGACTTCCCATAACACCACTTCAGTTTGTAACTCAGTGTTAATTTTATTCTGAAGTAGCCATGCTTGGTCGGCTGTGTGTGTCCAGTTCTCCATGTACTGAGCTGTTTGAATAGAATTATGCAAAGCTACAGAGGACATCACAACAGAAGTTATTAGTGCGACCAAGGAAACAATAGCTAAAATTATTATGTCTAAGGCTCTACAGACATGATGAGTAAGCTCAGTTAGAAGAAGTTTCACAAAATGCAAAGCAGGTGTGGCAGCCCAAGCCTCGGACAGATTAACAGGAATACATAGCCCAGGGATGTGGCCTAAAATCATCAAAGTAGAGATATTATGTGTTTGCAATGTGCTATGATTAATGCAGTGATATAATTGGTAAGATTTACAGGTCAATTGGGTATTGTTTACCTGGAGCTGGTCCTTCTTAGCTGTCAAAAAGACATAAGGATACACCATGGAATACTATGCAGCCATAAAAAAGGATGAGTTCATGTCCTTTGCAGGGACATGGATGAAGCTGGAAACCATCATTCTCAGCAAACTAATACAGGAACAGAAAATAAAACACTGCATGTTCTCATTCATAGGTGGAAATTGAACAATGAGAACACTTGGACACAGGGCAGGGAACATCACATACCAGGGCCTGTTGGGAGGCGGTGCTGGGGGAGGGAGAGCATTAGGAGAAATACCTAATGTAAATGATGAGTTGATGGGTGCAGCAAACCAACATGGCACATGTATACCTATGTAACAAACCTGCAAGTTGTGCACATGTACCCTAGAACTTAAAGTGTATATCTATCTATATCTATAACTATATCTATATCTATATCCATATCTATATCTATATCTATAAACACAAACTGTAAGTTGAGTAGTGATATTCTTTACAAATATAACATTAGAACTGTGTTGTGACTCCAGTTGGCCTTCTCTCCGTCTTTGCACTCAGGCTCAGCTGGCTCATGGCTCGTACCGGGGGGACCCTGTCCATGGTTGGCCACCCTGGGTTCCTCTAGTCTCCCGTTCCATGGTTGCACACACCTTGAGGGCACCCACACGGCTTGTCCATCTCCTGTAAAAACACAAGCATACTCTCTTCCCCACGTCAGTAAATCCACCAGACCTTTCCATTTTCCTTCTTCCAGGGATTTCCATAACACTTTTGGATAAATTTTCCTCTTTTCTTCTAACACTTGCCAATGTCTTTCTGCTGGAGTCTTACCATCCATACCAGGAGTCAAAAAATTTAAAGTAAATAAGGCTAAATGTAGTTTTTATTGAGGTGGTAGTTGGCCTCCTATACCCGCTTTTTGTCTTTTCAACATGCATTGTAATGTTTGATGTGCCTGCTCTATAATGCCTTGTCCTCTAGGATTATAAGGAATTCCTGTTTTATGGGTTATAGCCCAAAGCTGCAAGAAATTTTTAAAAGCATGACTAGTATAAGCGGGTCCATTGTCAGTTTTTAATTGTTTAGATATCCCCATATGAGCAAATGATGACAGACAGTGTCGCTGTACATGACCAGCTGTCTCACCTGTTTGGCATGTAGCAGGCAGCATATGAGAATAAGTGTCTATAGTCACATGAACATAGCTCAGCTTATCAAAGGTTGCTGTGTGTGTAACATCCATTTGCCAGATTTCATTTGGAGCCAAACCTCGTGGATTACATCCTTCTATAGGTGTGGCTCGAGGGATATACTGCATAATATAATACAAACCTGTAGGAACATGTGAGTAAGGGCGGAAGTATTTTGGTGCAGAAGCACATGAGATGGTTGAGCTTGCTGAAACACAGAGGCAATCAGTTTGTCTGTTTTCTCATTACTTAGAGATAGCGGCCCAGGAAGTTGTGTGTGAGAAGGAATATGAGAAATATGAAAAGGAGCTGCACTAGAACAAATAACTTGTTGAAGTCTTAAAAATAAATTAGCAGTTCTGGGTTTAGTGTACTTTTAATTGTAGCAGTTTCTATGTGACCGGCTACATTTACGACATAAACTGAACACAGACAATGTTGATAGGATCTGAAGCTGTGAGCTGTAAAACCTGAATGACTGCAATTAGCTCTGAGCATTGAGCCTAAACGCCAGAGGTCATTATTGTTTGAGTATGTTTTAGTCCATAGATAGCAGCACGACTTTTGGAAGAGCTTCTAATAGAGCTATGACACTCACTGCATGGCCCAAGGATCCATTCCTTGGAATCTGTGAGGCCAAGAACTCCAGGTCAGAGAACAAAAGGCTTGCCGCCATCTTGGGAGCTCTAAGAACAAAGACCTGCTGGTAACACTGACACATCAGCTCCCGTATCCATAAACCTATAAAATTTATTTCCTTTAATTTGTACTACACAGGTGGGTCTATTAGAGGCTATGGGTCGGGATAGATAGATTTCCCGTGTAGCTGTGCTCCCAAACCCTTTATTTCCTTGTTTCTCCTTTCATGGAGAAGGGTGTAATTTGCAGGGAATAAGTAATAATTGCACTATGTATTCTCTCGGTTCAAAAACCCGAAGATCTCGTGACAATAAAACTACTTGAATTTCTCCTTCATAATCAGAGTCAACAACTTCTGCGACTACAGTAATGCCTTCGCAAGTTAAGGTGGCTTTTGCCTAAAATTAGTCCCATATATCCTGCTGGTAAAGGTCCCCAAATGCCAGTGAGAATCTTGGTGGGTTTGTCTTCCCCACCTTATGTAACCCTTTCTCTGGCTGGGAGATCTAATCCTGCACTTCCTGGAGTTCCTCGGGTGAGGGACTCAATATGCCTCTGGGAACCCATGCCTGAAACAGGGTTGAGGTCTGAATTGGGAATGCCCTCATTGTTTGTGAGGCCCGGGTACAGGCCCCCATCTCATTTCCCAACAGGGGGGTGCCATTCTGATGAAATTTTGAGCAGCACTGATTAGCCGAGTTATTTCCTTTGTCATAGCGAGGACAAAGTCCTGGTGTTCTTTCCGCTGGGGGCCGGGGGGAAAAGCATTGTAAGATCCTTTCTGTCCTGAGATCTGGTGGCATTCCTTTTTAAAATGTCCAGTTTTTCCACAATTATAACATTTTCCCATTTTAGGGTTTGACCCTTGGCTCTTTTTAGATTTGTCAACAGCTAAATTAGCCATTGCTTCAGCTAACATTGCAGATCGATAAAGCTCAGTTGCTACATCTTAACAAGCTCTGAGAAAATTTCCCAAGTTTTTGTACACCTAACCGGTGCCAGTGCACATTTACAATCTGCATTTGCATTCTCAAAAGCTAGAGTAAAGGTTAGCATTTCTGCAGCCAAGGTATGAGGAATCTGATGCCTCACTGCCTCTTGTAATCTTGCAAGAAATTGTGCGTAGGGTTCCTGTGACCCTTGCATGATATGTAAAAATGATAGTACTGGGACTCCCTCTTCAGGAATTATGGCCCAGGCACATTTAGCAGCCTGTGTGCACTGCTGATAAGCAGCATTTGTGAGTGCTAGTTGATGTACCAGGTCAGAATAAGGGCCATTACCCAATAGCCTATCCTCTGTAATGTCTCCATTTCCAGCAGCATGGTTCTGTCTAGCCTGGTCTGCACCCTGTTCTTGCCAGTTTAAATTCCATGTCAGATATGCGCTAGCAGACAAGCAAGTTCATGCCAAGTGTTTCACATCAAAGGGTAAAAGACACATAGCACCAAACATAGATTCTAGCAATCCTAAAGTGAATGGGCTCTGTATGCCATTATTTACCACACTCACTTTTAATTCCTTTAACAACTTAAACTCTAGTGGAATGTGTTCATGATTAAGCTGCTGTGGATTATTTGGATCAGGCCTTACGGAAATAGGAAAAGTGCAAGGTCCTAAGGGCTCTCCAGCCGTGGTGGCAGAGCGTAAAATTCTTTGTATTGGGGTCTCTGTTTCTGCCACCGAAGGAGGCGGTACAGATGTTTCTGCAACTGGAGGGGGCGGTATAGGCCAATTTTTATCCTCCCTCTCCTATTACTTATTTTCAACTGGAGCTGTGGGTGGGACAACAGATTCTTTCAGTTTTTTACATTCAGCCTGCTGTCCCGCAGAATAACAAGGAGATAATGGCAGAAGTACAGTACGAACTAAACTCCAAGTGGAGAAAACTGAAGAATCAACTTGAAAACCTTTTTGATGAGCCTGTTTTCATCCTTCTGCTCTATCCCAATTTTCTACATCAAGAGTCCCTGCCTGTGGAAACCATGGGTTATGCATAATGACTTCCTGTAGCATCGTAGTTAATGTGAGAACTAACCTGAGCACCAGTTTGTTTCAACAAAACTTTAAGCAACTGCACATAATGTTTTTCTTCAACAGACCAATTCTGCCCCATGTTACCCTGATTCAGAAAACTTCCCATTCCCAGTACTACTTTAAGGCACTGCTCCCAGTAGCTCTTTAGGGCACTGACCTTATATCTGCTGCCGGCAGACTTGTCCCGGGATCCCCATTCACCTTGTCAATTTCAATTCCTCTGCTCCAGCAGATCTTCTTCATTCACATCCTCATAGTCCCTGTGTTCGGACGCCACTTGTAGAGCACCTGATTCTGTCGCTGTTCAGGGCGCCACTATGTAACCCACACGGACCTAGGGGGACTGAACAAAGTGGGGTGAAAGCGGGAATAAAAGACATGAGACAAAAGAGCATATTTGGAAGAAGGGGTCAGCGGGCAGTTTGCCTCTAGTGGACAAGGGCCCTGAGCTTTACACAGCCCTCCATATTTATTAGGCAAAAGAGATAGCAGGAAGAGGGGCATGGAAGAAGGGGTCAGCTGCTGGGTCCAGAGTAGGCTTGCAAGACTGCATTCTCCAGATGTCCCAGTAGATAACCTCAAGGAGCTCGGTGCCAGGAAGTGATTGCCCTCAGCAAACCTTCTGGCAGTGGGAGCAGTCGTGAGTTTGCCCACATCCTGCATTCATGATAAATAGCTTGCTATTTGATCATAAAGCCTCCAGTGGAATGCTGAGTTGGTTACGTCCCACAGGCCTTTGGCTCCCTATTTACCCCTTCCAGGTTATTAGCCATGACTTTCCCTCTTTGTTTCTCTTTTCTATACTTTCCATGCATTCTACAGAATAAAGTATCCTGGGGCTTTAAAGTAATCTAATTCCTACTGAATCCAAAATAATCTGATTTAATCCTTGAATTTTCAAACAATTTCAATGAATTTCGTTTTTCACCAGGGTTTGGACCTCCCCCATAATAAAATCCCTTATTTCTTTTTGCCACTTCAGTCATAAAATCCAACCTACCATTTTCCATTGAAAGCTGAGTCTTTCTTATTTACATAAAAATTGTTGGATGTATCTATGGACAAACCAGGGGAAATTAAGTGTGTGGTGGGGAAGTGTTAAGAGGGCCTCAGAGTGGCTGCCGACCAGCTCCATGCATCCCTAGGTGAGTCCCCATCCATTCTCTCCCTCATTCTTAATGTGTTTCCAAACAGGTGAGGAACAATGAAAACCAAGTCGGACATTCTAGTGCTAATTATATAGAGAGAATTTATGTAAAATGTGATAAATGCAAAATATTTCATCAGAAGGAGTATTAATGTTAAATAACCTCAACTCACTAGTAATTAGGCAATCATTTTCATTGATTAGCACAATTTAAAATTCAAGTTGCTAATGATATTCAGTATTGTGAGGATGTAATGAAACAGATAGTCTTATTCAGTATCGGCAGGACCGTATTATTATACATACCCTTAGAAGGACAGTTTAGCAACATCTCTCAACATTTTAGGTGAGAAATTTATCTGCAGCTGGTGCCTCGGTGCTGATGCTGGGGGATACTGGTGAGCATGGCGCAGCATTGGATGGGGGGCTCCAGGCTTCAGGCTCCATGCTTCAGACTGCAGGACCTGGAGCTGCTTCCTGCATCACAGCAGGGCTGCTACAGTGTGCTCTGGTGCAGAACTGGCAGGGGTGCCTGCAGGCCTCTTCCCCAGCATGTGTGTTCACTTTTTTTTTTTTTTTGAGGCAGGATCTCACTCTGTTGCCCAGGATGGAGTGCACCGGAGCGATCACAGTTCACTGCAGGTTCAACTTCCCCGGTTCAGGTGATCCTCCCACCTCAGCCTCCTGATAGCTGGGACTATAGGTGCAGGTCATGCGGTGTCTCATGCCTGTAATCCCAGCACCTTGGGAAGCTGAGGTGGGTGGATTACTTGAGTCCAGGAATTTGAGAGCAGCGTGGGCAACATGGCAAAACTCCATGTCTACAAAAAATACAAAATAATTAGCCATGCATTCACTTCTGAGGGAAAAGTCATGGACTTTGTGGTGCTGTGAACCCCATGTCACTCATACCAGAAAGAACATTGTGTGCTTTGGGGTCTTGGGAAAGCTGACTGACCACCTGAGGTGATGCATACTTATTTTTTTATTTATTTTTATTTTACTATTATTATTTTTTGAGACAGAATCTCACTCTGTTGCCCAGGATGGAATGCAGTGGTGCGACCTCGGCTCACTGCAACCTCCGCCTCCTGGGTTCAAGCGATTCTCCTGCCTCAGTCTCTCCAGTAGCTGGGATTACAGGTGCCTGCCACCATGCCGAGCTTAATATTTGTAGTTTTAGTAGAGACGGGGTTTCACCATGACTGCCAGGCTGGTCTTAAACTCCTGACCTCAAGTGATCCACCTGTCTCCACCTCCCAAAATGCTGGAATTATAGGCTTGAGCCACTGCGCCCAGCCAATGCATACATTTTTCCTCAGGAGATTAGCTTTTACCAGCAAAGGGCGTTCAGAATCAGTTAGCTGACCATTGTTTTCTGAAGTAATCACAGGCCAGTCCCTAGTGGGAGAAAGAAGTGGCCTCTGTAGCAGGACACCTGGAGCTCAGCCCCAGCTCTGCTGTGTGGCTGTGTGACCTTGGGTAAGTCCCTTAACTTTGCTGGGCTCAGCTTTCTTTGTAGGCAAAATCAGGGGCTTGAGCTTGTTCTCTCTACAGCTCTCCTACAGATTGAGTCTGTCTGCAATCACAAGGAGCAGGAGAGGAAGAGACTTAAAATGTGTTATTGTGGTCAGCAGCTATGGGCTGAATGTTTATGTCCCCTCCCAGCCATTCTACTCTTTAGCTTAGAGCTATTCTCCACATGGGACCCAGTGGGTCCATGAGGTCAAACTATTTTAATGATGATACTCAGAAGTTATTTATCTCTCTCCTTATTTTACGAGTAGAATTTTCCAAAGGTTATTTGGCATTTGACAGTCTAACAGATTGGATGGAGAACAAGACAGAGAATCCAGCTTCTGGCCAGAAGTGGTGGCTCACACCTGTAATCTCAGCACTTTGGGAGACCGAGGCAGGAGGATCACTTGAGCTTAGGAGCTCGAGACCACCCTGGCCAGCATGGCAAGATCCCATCTCTACCAAAAAATATAGAAATTAGCTCGCATGGTGATGTGCGCCTGTGGTCTCAGCTACTTGGGAGGCTGAGGTGGGACGATTCCAAGGATCACTGTTGTTGCTAATTTTTTTTCTTTTAAAAAATACAGATATTTTTAATAAAAGTATGTTAATTATGTTAACCTGTAATGGGCTTATTATTTCAAAATCAATTAACAATGTAAATATTTAAAACTTCTGTGTTAAAATTTCTAATAGTATAAATAGCAGTAGATTTAGCCCACTCTAAGGGAGATGGTTGTGCTTTAGTCAGGAGTAGGCCGAGGCAGCCTTCTGGTGCAGCATGACTCAGTGGGTTTGGAGGCAGGCACACAACTCCACACATTATGTAACCATGCCATGTGAGGTGCATTAGGTGACCACTCATATGAGCACGTGCTTGGCTCAAAGCCACTATTGTCTGTAAAAGGTAAAATTACCCTGCTGACACTACATATGGCTTGCACCCAGAGAGAGAATAAAGCCATGTCGAAACCGCCTACTCGAGTGTTTTTCCAGTTACCTGCCACCCACCCACCAACTCCCCTTGGACTTTAGTTTGGGCTAGAACCTGACAATTGGCATCACGAACAGGATCCTAAGGTAAGTGAGCCTTCGGTCCCTGCTGATTCCAGGTTGGCCATGTGACCACAACATGGGTTGTGGTACCCGGTGGTAGCCGTGCTGTGAGGGTGGGCCTGAGTGGAAACCTGGGTGGCAGTAGATGGGTCCCCCATGAGCATGGAGAAGGCGCTGAAGCAGCTGGAAGTGCAGAGCACCAAGAAGGAGAGAGCCTTTGCTGGCAGAGTTGGATGGGCATTTTTAACTGTGCTAAGAAAAGTACACACCCAGTCCCTGAGGGATGCAGACTGGAGGTCTGGCTACACCGATCTGGAAAATAATTAGAGGCTGCCATGAATGGGGACCTCCAGGTGCAGGCAGGATGCCTGGAGGTGTGGCTTCAGAGCTTGGAAAAGGAATTAGAGGCTACCATGAATGCAGGCCTGGGTCCATCATCTTGTCTGGAGATCCCCACTCAGTTTCATACCAAGGAGGAAGAACCCCTGTTGCGGGCTCACCCGGTGGTCTGACAGAAGGTAGATCATGAACAGCCACTGGGGCTCCAAGGGTGGACTCAGGGACTCCCCACCATAATGCAACACATTTCGTATATTGCCTGTACCCCAACTGAGTTGCAGGAATTAGGCAAGCAGTGTTGCCAGTGTCCAGGGGAACCCCTGCCTGCCTGGATGCTTCGTCTGTGGAACAAGGGAGCAGATGGTATCTCCCATTCCACCTCTGAGATGGACAAGCTGGCCTCCACCATGACTCACCCCTCTCTCTGTCAGCGGCTGCAAGTGAGCAGGTGGTTAGTGGCAGCGCAAGGAGACCACACCCTGACTGAGTGGCTACAGGCAGCCATATGAACTGTGTGGAATAATGCTGGTGAAATGCCCAAAACTGTGAGTAAATGGCAGTCATATGCCAATTTGGTGTAAGTCATTCGGGAGA
This sequence comes from Homo sapiens, assembly GCF_000001405.40. Classification (NCBI taxonomy): domain Eukaryota; kingdom Metazoa; phylum Chordata; class Mammalia; order Primates; family Hominidae; genus Homo; species Homo sapiens. The sequence goes on along the minus strand of NC_000003.12, from coordinate 46,422,635 downwards.
TGGGTATGCGGCAGGCTATGTTTGTCCTGAATACCTGAGGGCCAGATGATAAATGTTTCACCTCCCACATGAGGGATCTCATGTTGGGTTTGATGCTCCTGAGCCCCTTTGGCTCCCTAGCTGCTGTCCTCACCCCATACGTAGGGCACCGCATACATGAAGTAACCACTGCCATGGCGGCTCTCAGGGAAGCAGAAGGCCTTCAGGGGGATTGGAGGGTCCACACCATAAAGAAGGGGAAGTTACCCCACCCACAGGGGGCTCCCCCATAAAAAAAGGGGGCCCCAACGAGTGACACGCTCACAGATGTGGATAGATTTGATTTTGGCTGGGGTTGACTGAGAGAAAATTGATAAGCAGCCCAATGAAATACTCCTAACTTTGCGGAGACAGTTGTATGCAGGGCAGCAATTCCGGAAAATGCCCAAAGGGGAGAAAGGCATTGCTGTGTGACCTGGTCCTACCCAGCTCAGAGACTACTTGCTGCAGCCAGGTGGAAATGTAGAGCCTTTTCTGTTCAACTAGGGAACTGGCCAAAGGTGTCTGGCTTGGGGGGACACCAGATGACCAGAGGCCACATGTGGAATTGGCAATCCACTGGTCCCCCACCAATGTACAGTGGGTGCTGGTGCTGGTAGATACTGGCATAGATTGTAGCCTTGTTTATGGGAACCCAGTTAAGTTTTTGGGCAAATCTGCATATATTAAAGGTTACGGAGGCCAGTCAGTGAAAGTGAAACCTGTATCTCTGTACCTTGGCATTGGCCACTTGGCTCCTTGCTTATACACTGTGTATGTCTCTCCCATACCTGAATACATTCTGGAGGTGGATATTTTACATGGCTTGGAAGCTGTGCCATCTATCATGGATTTGATGAACCACTCGACAATGGAATTAGGACAGTACCACTATGTGGTGGACTTGGCCAATGCATTCTTCTCAGTTGACCTTGCTCTAGAGAGCCAGGAACAGTTTGCCTTGATGACAATGGACTTTCACAGTGTTGCTGCAGGGCTATGTGCATAGCTCCACCATATGTCATGGTCTTGTTGCCATGGATTTAACAGCCTGAAAATGTCCAAAGGGAGTCCACTTGTTCCATTACGTTGATGATATTATGTTAACCTCTGATTCTCTTGCAGATTTAGAAGCAGTGGCACCCCTCTTGTGGCAACATTTGGCAGCATGCAGTTGGGCCATCAACAAATCCAAGGTCCGAGGGCCTGGATTACCTGCTAAATTCTTGGGAGTTATCTGGTCGGGTAAGATGAAGGCCATACAAGAGGCTATCATTGACAAAATTTAGGCATATCCCTGGCCCACCACGGTGAGGCAGCTGCAAACTTTTGTGAGCCTCCTGGGATATTGGTGGACATTCCTGCCTCATTTAGCTCAAATGATAAAACCATTGTATCAGTTAACAAAGAAGGGAGCAATCTGGGATTGGGCTGATGTGGCTGAGACTGGCTTCCTGGCAGCCAAGTGGGCTATTCAGCAGGCACGAGCCCTGTGGGTATTTGACAAGGGGTGCCCATTTGAACTGGATATGCATGTGACCACAGATGGTTTTAGTTTGGGCCTGTGGCAGCACACAGAGTGCCTGAGAATGCCAGGAGGCTTTTGGTCCCAACTATGGAAAGGAGCTGAGCTCTGGTATTCCTTGATAGAGAAATAGCTAGCAGCTGTATATGCTGCCCTTCAGGCTTGTGAGAAGTGATAGGATGGGCTACAGTCACAGTGTGGATGACTTACCTGACAGCGGGATGGGTGCATTCATGTGTAATGACCCCCCAGACTGGGATGGTGCAGACATCCACTTTGGCAAAGTGAGGCACTTACTTGGAGCAACAGAGTACGCTGAGCACAAGCCCATTAGCAGCAGAGTTGCAAGAGGTCTTGGGACCTGCAGTCCTAATGCAAGAGAAGGCCATGGGGCCTGAGGCACCCCTTGACCCTGAGCCACTGCCATTTAAGGAAGGGCGTCCCTCTATTCCTGATGGGGCATGGCACACAGATGGGTCTAGTCGAGGTGCTACTCCTGCTTGGACCAGTGTTGCAGTCCAACTTAGTACCAAAACCATATGGTTTGAAACCAGATGTGGACAAAGTAGTCAATGGGCTGAATTTAAAGCAGTATGGATGGTGATCAACAAGGCGGAGACACCTATGGTAATCCGTACCGATAGCTGGGCAGTCTATGGAGGCCTAACTTTGTGTTTAACTACTTGGAAAATACAGAATTGGCTAGTTGGCCACCAACCCATTTGGGGCCACCAACCCATGTAGCAAGACCTCTGGGAAATGGGTCATTGCAAAGATGTAACTATTTATCATTTGTCAGGCCATATGCCTCTGGCCACCCCCAGCAATGACGAGGCAGAAGCCTTGGCCAAGGTCCGATGGTTAGAGTTGGCATCTACATGAGATGTGGCCTTGTAGCTACACCGGAAACTGGGACATGCAGGGGGTAAACTGATGCAACAAGTCAATAAATGTTGGGGTCTGTCTCTGCCCATGCAAGACATTTGGGAGGCTTGTCAGAAATGCCCGGCATGTGCTCAGGCATACCCTAAATGGAGGCAGCTGTCCAGTGCTACACAAGTGACAACAGGGCAAGTGCCCTTGACCAGGTGGCAAGTAGACTACATTGGGCTGCTGCCGAAGTCACAAGGGTATACTCATGCGCTAACAGCTGTGGACACAGCCACAGGCCTGTTGTTTGCCTATCCTTGCAGGGTGGCCAACCAACAGCACACCATCCAGACCCTGCAACACTTATGTGCTCTATATGGTTGCCCTTTGGTCATTGAGAGTGATGGGGGACACATTTTACTGGACAACAGGCACAACAATGGACATAAAGTAGGGATTCCATGTACCGCACAACTTGCAAGCTGTGGGTATGATTGAGTGATATAGCGAGCTCTTGAAGAATGGGTTTTACTTGCATGTCACACTCCTGTCTTTGCAGGGCTGAAGTTCCAGGCTGGACCTGATGCTCCAAACCTTGAATGAATGGCCATGGAAAAGCAGCCCAGCCCAGGTGGAGGCTTTGTTACATGGGCCACCACCCCTATTCAGTTGCAGATACACACCAAGGGTAACCGCCTCTGACCAGGTATGGGGATGAACAGTAACCTGTTGTTGCCTGCCCCAACGTCCCTGAAGGCAGGGGAACAGAAAACCTGGCTGTGGCCATAGCCCCTCCAAGCCCCCGGCTGCTGGTGGTTGTCCATCGTAGCTCCCTGTGGGGAGGGCCTACAGTATGACTTGTATGTCACTCTTTGGGTGTTCAATGAATGGTCCCCGAAGTTAACTGTTTGTAGGAAAACGGCCAGGGAAGAAACTTTCCTCCAGGGTTCAAATGTACTGTCTGTGTGGCCTACTACAAGCTCCCCTGTGACTTTCGCATGAATACAGGACCCAAAGGAACCATGGGGAGCTGAAAAGGTGTGGTACTATTGCCCAGGGCAGAACCCCTTGGGGGCTGCATTGTTATCCAGGGATGAAAGGTTAGCCTGTATTTTACCTGAGGGATGTGATTTTCCTCTGTTAGTACCTATGCCTACTCTGTCATTCCAACTGTAGGTTAACATGCTCCAACTGCATTGTGGACTGGGCCCACACCTACACTGAAGTGACCAATGTTTCCAACTGTTGGATCTGCACCGCCCTTCTAGCAGCTGCAGATGGCTTGCCTTAGCACATACATTCAGCATCTGCAGAGAACCAGACATGGCTGGAGACTTGGGGTCCCATGGCTGATGCCTGGAACGCAACGTGGCAAGTTTTGGACAAAGGATGCCACAAGACCCACAGCACAGCCATTCCCTGGCTGGCCCATAGCATTTATGATGGGTGGGGCTGGCTAGTGAGGTAACGTGCAGTACCCCTGGCCCAGGCACTGTGGTGCATATAGCAACACTGGGGTAATAGCACTGTGGGATGGGTACCCGTCACAGTGTGTGTAAGCATAATACATGTCACCACACCAAAGGTATGGTGGAAGACGCGGCCCCACCAAGGGGCCTCGATGGACTGTGTGCCCCCTGGGAGTTTATGGGTCTGTGGGGACACAGGGTGGCCTTACCTATAAGCAAACTGGACTGGACATTATACCTGAGGGTGGCCTCATGTACCTGCCACTGTTCTCACATTGCCCAGATGCCTGCATAACTGGGAGGTGCTACACTCTCGGTTTTTGCAAGTGTAATGAGCACCCTGGTGGTTTTACCCCTTGACAGGCACTAGCCCTGGAGTGTGTGTCACAACTGTAGAAGCCAAGTTACTGCTCTTGCAGAGCATGCTGCTCAGGCTCTGAATTACACCTGAGTGGCCCTCTTCCCATTAATGGATGAGGTTGATCAGATCAGAAAGGTGGTGTTGCGAAACCGAATGGTCTTAGACATAGTAACTGCTGCCTAAGGAGGCACCTGTGCCCTTTTAGGAACACAATGTTGTACCTTTATCCCTGACAATTGGCAGAACATAACAGCAGCCCTGCAAGGGGTCTCACAGGAGATTAAGGTAGTCAAGAGCCTTACTGATGACCCCCTGCAGAGATGGTAGACATCCCTGGGCTCTGGCCTACGCTGGGCCCTGATAGTCATAAGTAGCATAGCTGGAATCCTAGTCGTGAGCTGTTGCTCTCCGTATTGTTGCTGTGGATTATGGATTCAGGGCTCCACCCTACGGGCACATGTCCCTACCTGGAGGATGCCCCTGGCCTAGGGGTGGAGTGTAAGGAAGATGGCTGCGCTTTAGTCAGGAGCAGGCTGAGGCCACTTTTTGGTGCACCATGACTCAGTGGGTTTGGAGCGTAGGCACACGACTCCGCACATTATGAACCATGCCACTTGAGGTGCATTAGGTGACCACTCACGTGAGCTCGTGATTGCTTCAGAGCCTCTATTGTCTGTAAAAGGTATAATTACCCTGCTGACACTGGACATATGGCTCGTGCCCAGAGAGAGGATAAGGCCATGTTCAAACTGCCTATGATTCCTCGGGTGTTTTTTCAGCTACCCCTCACCCACCCACCAACTCCCTTCGGACTTCAGTTTGGGCTAGAACCTTACACCCACATAAACTAAAGCTGTATGGGGTCCTCAGTTTTCAAGCACATAAAAGTATTCTGTATCCAAAAAGTTTGTGAACCACTGCCCTAGAGAAACTTTCCATGGCGTGCAAGATGTATGTAAGAATGCCCAGTAGAGACATAATAAGAAACCAGAAAAAGTGGAAATCTCAATGCCTGTCATCAAGAGAGATAAATGCAGCGTGGTCTATTTCTGTTCTCCTCACATTGCCCAGATGCCTGCTTAACTGGGAGGCGTTATGTTCTCAGTTTTTGCAAGTGTCATAAAGGAGTGAATGGAGCATTACCTGTCATTATAGACACTGCAAAATGAGCTAGTAGCAGGATTTTTACCACAGGTACCCATAAGCAACATGTGGCATGGTTCACCATGGTTTTACATTGTTGTGTAAATAACTTAAAATTATGTGAATAATGTAAAAGCATGGTGAACAATGCCATGTTTTGCTTATGGGTACCTGCGGTAAAAAGCAAAAATCATGACCCTGAAGGGGTGAGCAGGCCTACAGGTGCTGGGCAGGCACTGTCTTGCAAAGAGCACAAAATGTGCAGGTCCCTCTGGGAGTGTTATAGTGGGTAGCTAGTCAGAAAGAGCAGGGCAGGAGAGGGCTCCCCATACCCCACACACCAGGAGTGTCAGGTGACCATCAGGTGATGGTCTGGCGGTTGTTGACTGTCTTTCTAAAGTAATAATTGGTCACACCCGGCAACAGGGAAAAGCCGGCTCCTAATAGATAGAAAACACTCGAAACTGGTGAGCAGTAGTTTCCCTATAAGATCTCAGGAGTTGAGCCAGTGGGCTCAGGCAGGCACATGGGACAGCCCACCCCAAGGGAAGAACCAGGGGAGAAATAACGCAAGACCCCGAAAGCATGCTGACGTATAAAACCCCAAGTCAAAAGGTCAAACCACGCACTTGCTTTTTAAGTCGTCCACTTGGCCCTCTTCCAAGTGTACTTTCCTTCCTTTTGTTCCTATTCTAAAGCTTTTAAATAAACTTTTACTCCTGTGCTAAAACTTGCCTCAGTCTCTCCTTCTGTCTTATGTCCCTCAATTGAATTCTTTCTTCTGAGGAGGCAGGAATTGAGGTTGTTGCAGACCTGCGTGGATTTGCTGCCAGTAGCAGGAGCAGAGGACTAGGCCTTGGAGACGGTGAGGGGGCCACTCCCTCCCTATCCCCAGGCATCGGTAAGATCTGAGACAGACTGCTCTTCCCTTGGAGTGTATTGCTGACCTTGCCAACTGAAAATAAACAGCTTCTGATAGTCTTTACTAACAGATAATAGAAAAGAAAAATTGCCATCTGCACACCAGGTGCCAGGAGAAGGGTTGATTAGCTGCAGAAATGAAACAACACCTGATCCTGCAGCTGCAGCTGGAGCCCCCGCCTGATTAAGTTTACACTGGTCCACTGTCATTTTCCAACACCTATTTGTCTTCTGCACAAACCAGATAGGTGAGCTGAATGGAGAGAGGTGGACATCATCATCCTTCATCTTTCAAGTTCTTGCTACAATTCCTCCAGACGTGCAGTGTTGTTTTGTTTAGTATCTTGGCAGGTAGAGGGAGTTCCAAAGGCTTCCACTTGGCCTTCACTCTATGGATCAGAGAATCAATATGGGGATTCTTCCCCGATGCAGAGTATCTCTATTCCAATTATGCTTTCTGTTAAGAAGATTGTTTCTTTCTGTTTCTCCAGTTGATGGGGGCACTGGGCTTATAGTTCTCTGTGGGAGGAGTTCTAATTACAGATTGGATTTCTTTAGTAGATGTGAGATTATTCACATTTTATATTATTTTTCCATGTCAATTTTCTTTATTTTTCTTTGTCTTTTTAAAAGATGGGGTCTCACTATATTTCCCAGGCTGGTCTCAAACCGCTTGGCTCAAGTGATCCTCTCACCTTCGCCTCCCAGAGTGTTGGGACTACAAGCATGAGCCACTGCTCTCAGCTCAATTCTGCATTCTGGAACTGGGGGAATAACTATAGGATAAGTTCAGGGACCCTCTAGACTCACAGTGAAACAGACCTGAGCTCAAACTCTAGTGACCCCTGACCTCTATGAAGCCCTACTTTGGCTGGTAGACCACAAAGATATTTTGGGTCTCTTAGAACTGGTGTCAGCGTAGAGCCAGTGTCCTGGAATCTCCAAATAGCCTAATTATTTCCTTTTCCTCCATGGCTTTCCCTGGTAAATGGCCCTAAGTTGCTTTGGGGAAGGCTGGGAAAAAAGATTATCAGAATAAAATGCCGGAAATGTAACAGGGTCCTTCCTCAAGGGGAGCCAGCTTACCTTTCATTCAAGGGGTTCTAGGTCTATAAACTATGTCAAATCTGGGAATTGATTGAATTGACTCTCAGTTCTGGTGACTAAAGTTAGACTTCTGTTCACTAGAGATAGAACTCTTCTGCTTATACAGATCAGGTAAAAATTTAGTAGACCGTCCTTCTATTTCAATTCCAGGGACACCATGATCAACCAGCCAATGCCAAAGACCTCTGGGGGTCAGACTATTCTGAGGACTGCTTTGGCTCCACCGTCCACAGTGGCAACCACACCCACTTGGTCTTTTGTAAGTGTTACCACGTGGCCTGTCCTTCCTCAGAATCCCACCATCCCCCCTGTATTTAGAAACTCCAGTTTTGTAGCATTGCTCACTACAGCTCCTGATCTACAGAGAAGAGCCACCACTTAGAGATTTTTTTTTTTTTTTAAAGATGCGGGACATGGATGAAGCTGGAAACCATCATTCTCAGCAAACTATCACAAGGACAAAAAACCAAACACCCCATGTTCTCACTCATAGGTGGGAATTGAACAATAAGAACACATGGACACAGGAAGGGGGACATCACACACCGGGGGCGGGGGGAGGGATAGCATTAGGAGATATACCTAATGTTAAATGACGAGTTAATGGGTGCAGCACACCAACATGGCACATGTATACATATGTAACAAACCTGCACTTTGTGCACGTGTACCCTAAAACTTAAAGTATAATAAAACAAATAAAAAATAAAAAAAAATAAAGATGCTGGAGCTCATTTACACTTCCCAGTGTGGCAAGGGTGTGTCCTCTAGACCTGCGCTGGGTGGGTGAGTGAGTCTTAATGATCCAGTAGATCCACTAGCACTGCCATCTCCCTAAGCACTTAGATATTTTCTTCTATGTGACACCACTGAAGTTCTGGCATTCCTACTTCAATGAGTGTAGGCCACCTTTGGGTTGATTTTTATTCAACCGACAAGCAAAGTGTTAGAGCCATCCACGGCTCCTCAGGCTAAAGCACTGACTCCTTCCAAACTCTGGAGGGGCTGCTCAGATGGAAACTGGGATTCCCAAGTGTGGCAGTCCTGCTGTGGCAGTTTAGGGAAGAGGAAAGGCCTGGCCGGGGCTGCCACCCACCACACTGTCACACTTCCTGACTGCCTGCTAAACAGAGTCCTGGGATCATTTATCTTTGCTCTAGTTCTGACTGCCGAAAAATATTTAGTTTTTAAAAATGAATAAATACCTTAAAGTTAAGGTGGTCAGATTTCGGGGAAAAAAAAGAAAACAAAGGGAAAAACAAAACAAAACAAAAAACAGGATACTAGGATGCCCAGGTAAGTCTGAATTTCAGATAAATAACAAATACTGCAATTGTCGTATATGGGTTGTACTTATACTAAATAACTATTAGCTGCTTAACTGAAATTTAAATTTAACTGGGCATCTTATTTTGTTTTTTCAACTTCAAATTGTATTGTTTTTCCATTCAGTATATCAACTGTTTCCTGTTTTAAAACTAGTTCCGGGCCAGGTGCAGTGGCTCACGCCTGTAATCCCAGCACTTTGGGAGGCCGAGGTGGGTGGATCACCTGAGGTCAGGAGTTTGAGACCAGCCTGACCAACATGGTGAAACCCTGTCTCTACTAAAAAATACAAACAAAAAAAAAAATTAGTCAGGCATGGTGGCAGGCGCCTGTAATCTCAGCTATTCAGGAGGCTGAGGCAGGAGAATTGCTTGAACCCAGGAGGCAGAGGTTGCAGTGAGCCGAGATCACACCTTTGCACTCCAGCCTGGGCAACAGCGCAAGACTCCATCTCAAAAAACAAACAAACAAACAAAAACTAGTTCCATTTGTACCCACGAGTACACAGAATTGAGATGAAAAGGAGACAGCTCATGAGATTTCAATCTCTCTCTCATATGTCCCTAGTTAGAATTACCTCAATGTAACAGGAATTGTTTTTTGTATTAGAAAGTAATTTACAGACAAAATAGAAACACCAGTTTTTCTTGAATAGACTAGCCATATTTTGCTTTTCATGGTTTGTTAGTTTTCTAATGCAGTCACTTATGGAAAAGTGGAAAAGCATGTGCTATTTTTATCTTTAGGAAACTGTGTTCTTGGTCTGACATGGGAGGAAGACCTTGTTAGCTGTCAATGTTCCAAGTATATTACACTACTTAAGTGTTCAGGCCATTGTGGCTGGTGTCATTCAGCACACACTTTTGCTTTTCATTAACCATTTCAGTCTCAGCCACCATACGAGTTTATGGATCTTTATTCTCTATATGCTCCATGTTTTCATTTGGAAAATCCTGATAAGATTGTTCTTTGAGTTCATTGCTGTGTCTGTAAACATGGGAAGATGATGCCATTTCCTCTGAGATTCCTGTCCTACCTATCGGAGGAGGAGAAGTGGATGGAGAGTCCGGACCTACTTCTGCAAATGTGTGAAGAGAATTTCTGTCCCTTCTTCTCTTTTTCTTCAACCTTTCTCATCCTTTTTTAATATAGACTGGATCACTCTCTTCCCTGGTCTCTCCCTTGACTTGCCCTGGTGATTTTATTTGCCATGGCAGGTCATTCCCGATGAGACTGTGCTCCCTGTGGGGGCACCCCCAGCAGCCTCCTTCTGCTCCCTGTTCGGTGATGGGGGTGACAAGTTGTGCCCATGGGCATCCCGTTTTAGCTGCCAATTCTACTTGGGAGAAGAAACAGAGGCCCAGGCACTGGATCTCCTCCGGCAAATGCTCAAAGTATATTTCCAAGACAAGTCACACCAACGTAATGGAGTGCCTGGAGCCTGAGGGGGATTTTAAAAAATAGCCTTTTTGAGGTATAGTCAACACATAATAAATCACGTATACAACTTGTTACGTTTTTGACATATGTATATACCAATGAAACCATCACCACAGTCAAAATAGCAGACATATCCACTGTCCCCCCGAATTTCCTTGTTCCCCTTTGCAATCTATTCCTCTCCTCTCCCCTCCAACATCTCCAGCAACCACTGATTTGCTGTCGCTATGGATTTGTTTGCATTTTCTAGAATTTTATATAAATAGAATCACAAAATAAGTACTTTTAAAAAATATCTGGCTTCCGGCTGGGCACGGTGACTCATGCCTGTAATCCCAGCACTTTAGGAGGCCGAGGCAGGTGGATCACCTGAGGTCAGGAGTGTGAGAGCAGCTGGCCAACATGGCAAAACCCCGTCTCTACTAAAATTACAAAAATTAGTCAGTTGCTCTTGTGCATGACTGTAGTCACAGCTACTTGGGAGGCTGAGGCATGAGAATTGCTTGAACTCAGGAGGCAGAGGTTGCAGTCAGCCAAGATCACACCATTGCATTCCAGGCTGGGTGACAGAGCGAGACTCTGTCTCAAAAATAAATAAATAAATAAATAATTAAAAATAAAATTAAAATCTGGCCTCCTTCATTCAGCATTTTGAGATTTCGTGCATGCTCCTGTGTGTATCAATAGCTCGTTTCTTTTTGTGGATGAGCAGTATTCCATTAGATACACAGGCCAGTATTTGTTTATCCATTCACCTGTTGATAGACAGACTTTTTCTAGTTTGAGGCTATATAAATAAGGCTGTCATGAACATTTGGGTCCAAATCTTTGTATGGACATACATGCTCATTTCTCTTGGGTAAATACTGAGGAGTGAAATGGATAGTAGGTATAGGCTTTGCTTTTGGTGACACTGCCAATTTTTCCAAAGTGATTATACCATTTTACATTCCCACCAGCAGGGTATGAAAGTTCCAGTTGCTCCACAACCTTTTAGAAGCTAGAAAAATTGCCATTTAAAATGTCACCATCAGTTTCTTTCTTTCTTTTCTTTTATGATAGTGACCGGCATTCGCCTTTGGAATGTAGGGATCCTTTGTTCTAGGAAGGACCCTTGAGTGACTTCTTGCAGTTTTATCTATTACTTGTGCCCATTCCAGCTCACCTTGAGGTCAGACCCATAGCCCTATTATGACTCTGAAAGAGCAGAGCCAGCTACAAGCCCTCAATGAGTGGCATAAGGTGCCAGAGAAGAGTCTGTCATCATGGGCTCAGCAAAACTGAAATCCCTGGCATATATCATTTTATTCCTCTTCCTAATTTCTCTCCAACTGACGCTGCTTCATATTTCCTCTCTGCCTCCCTCCACTGCGCTTCCCACCCTCACATCTCCAAACCTCTCTACTTTCCTGAATAATTCACCCCAACTCTAAATTCCACATTGTCTTCAGCACAAAGCCAAACCCTTACTTAGCTGAGTTTCTTCTCCCTGGAACAGTGGTTCTCAGAAGGAGGGCCTTGGGTCAGCAGTATCTGCATCCCCTGGGGAATTTGTTAGAAATGCATATTCTGAGGTCACACTCCAGACCTCCTGAACCACAAACTCCGGGATGGGGCCCAGAACTCTGTGTTTTAGCACAGGGCTTGTGATGTGAGCTGGCATTTGAGAGCCACTGCCATGGAGTGTGGTTTGGAGCCAGTTATTGTTGTATAAGCATGTCCCTTGGGGGTCTCATCCGCTATCCTAATAGGCTCTTTGAATGTTTCATCTAACACAAATAAGGGGTCTTTGGTTATGGGGTGGCATATGGAGAATTCTCATGTTTGGAAAATCAGATTTTCTCCACCTCATTTCATCAATATAGAGCAAATTTCCTTCCACCACTGTTGAGTAGGACATTAAGGACCCCTTTTAATTGGCCAGAGACTTGGGTTTTAATGAGTCAGACATCTCTATGTGTCCCTATGTGAGATGCTGTGCCCATGGGTATCATCGTTTTTGCCTAGGAAGGAAAGTGCCTCCTGTGAAGGAAAGACAGGGTTCCACTGCTTTCCTGTAAGGTTTAGTGCCGTGAACGTGTGCCTGATGCCAGGAGGGGAGGAGTGTGGGCTGGTGCCCTGCAGTGCGGCAGCAGTGGGCGGCCTGGGTAGGTTTTTAGCAAGCATCAGTGCCAAGCCTCCAGCTCTCTTTAGTGCAAGCAAGATGCTGGGCCAGCAGGAGGAGGCAGCCAGCCCAGGCCCTATGTCTGCAGGACTCAGCCGGGAGTGGTGATTGTCCCCTGGCAGCAAGGCCCTGGTAGCTTTGAGGCCTCAAAGGGCCAGAAGCAAGATTATAAAGAGACCAGTGAGTGTGGAGTCCAATTCTGAACACCAGGAACAGGAAAATGTTTTTAGGATCAAGGATGCATCATCCTTACGGATCTGGGGGGTCTCCGGGGAGGTAGCTCACATGTTGAGGTGACCTTCTGCTGATGTGGCAGGTGGGAGCCTGTGTTCTACTAACTCAGCCACAGAAAGGAAGTGGGACAACCTTTTGTAGTTATGTGCTGGTGAGGCCTGAGGTATGTGTTATACTTAAAAGGACAAAGCATTCATTTTGTTAGACATTTCTAAACATAATTTCTCATTTGCTTTTGTTAAGTCTCCTAAGATTCCATAGTCTTGATAAAGTACGAGAAAATACCAGAAACCTTGGGTTAGGGGAAGCTGGGGGCCTAGGGGTGTGGCAAGTAAGCAAGAGAATTTAGAGAACTTCGACAGAACAAGTTACCTTACCTCTTTTTCCCACAGCTTCCAGCTAGCTAGTTCTTCTCATCACCGGCGAGGCAATGAGCCTGAAAAGTTACTCCCATATAAATGGGCTGTCTATAATTTGGAATGTAGTTAAATTGGTTTTAAAATCAACTTACAAATTATTTTAAAATACATTAAATAGATGTTTTAAAATACATTTATTTCATGTCGTTTGTCCCCAGGGTTTGGAGTTTGATGTTCTGGACCAAGCGTAGGCTCTGAGCAAATGCTACCAGGGCTGGAGAATCAGTTCTGCCACTTCCTAGTTATGTGATCTTAGACAAATTTCCGCGCCTTAGTTTTCTTCTCAGAGAAATGAGACTAGTCCTATCCACACTATGGACAAGTGGTAGGAGGCGAAGGAGCTCACGTTTGTAAAGAGCCTTGCACGGTGCCTGAGACAAATTCAGTGCTTAGCAAATGTTAGCTCACCTCTCCCTTTTCTTCCTGTATCCGATTTTGTATACAAATGTGTAGAAAATTTACATGAAATAATGCAGAAAGATGAAAATCCATGTTTATTCTTCTTGCATTTGGTGGATGCTAGTTTACACTTCGGTGGAATGGTCAGGTTCTTCCCTCGATGTGCCTTGTGCAGACTGCCCCCTGGGTTGAAGTGGGGTGTTACTACGCAGATGGAAACAGCGGCAGAGGTATTTGCTAAATGTCCCATCAAGAAACGCATACAGGAGAGGGTTGATGCAGCAGTGGGTGGTGGCGATGAGTTTAGTGATGTGAACACTTTTGTCCAGATTGTAGCTGCTCTTGCAGTCACTCAGGGAGAAGTGTTCTTTGAAAGTGGACAGGAAAAATGCAATATTGTAGGGCGCCCACATCAGAAGGAAGACTACCATTATGGCAAAAACAAGCTTGAAAAGGCTATACCTCTGCTCCCTGAACCTTAGTGTTTTTCTCATTTGCACATAGAGAAATGTAAAAATAAATAGGGGGAGGACAAGAACCGAAATGTTCATTTTTAAAGTCAGAAAATGCTTCCAGAATGTCTCATCAGCTGGCAGGAAGGGAGTTCTGCTAAATGCACACTTGTATTTCTGGTCTTCCATCTGAGGTTTATAAACCACGAATTCAGGCAAAGTGGCCAGAATGGCTGTTACCCATGCCAGGACACTTGTAATGATGCCACAGGGCACCCTCCTCCTGGCTGAGAAAAAGTTTCCCTTGTGCAAAAACACTAGGTACCTTTGCACAGTCAGAAGGCAATTGAAAAATGTCTCACTGTACAGGCCCACGAAGTACAGTCCAATGAGAATTTTACACATGGGATCGCCCCCAGCATGAGCCCAGAAGGGCAGGGTAAGCAAGAAACACAAGTTAGAAACTGCCAAGTTTAGAAGATAGATATTTTCCACGCGTTTGAGTCCTTTATATTTTACCAGGATAAGCACAACCAGGAGATTGTCCAGGACACCGATCACAAACACAGCAGAGCAGAGTGATGGCACCAGCTGGGCTGAGAGTGCCTGGGCGTCATACTTGTCACATTGCTCTGCCTCATCGCTCTCCAGTTCACCTTCTATGAGGACATCATATTCATCCTCTGGTGCCAGCGTGTAATTGGCCATCTTCAGACTGCCCTGTGGAGAAATGGGAGATGATTTTCCCCTCCGACAGCTGCCTTATCCTGGAGGAAACAACAAACTGGACCTGGATTCATACAGCCCCACTTTCCCTTTCTGGAGCTACATTTTAGCCAGAGTAATTCCCTATTTCAGAAGACTGAAATAAACATTTCTTTAACGTGTGCCCACTTCCCCAGAGCAGCACCATTCCCAATCTAGTTGTTAAGCATGTAAGTGCTTAGCAGTGTGCCAGGTGCCACGGGAAATAAAGCTGGCATGACACCGCCTTGGTAGAACTTACCTTCTTTTAGCAGAAACAGGACTTGCCTACATGAACACAATATGTAAGAAAATATATAATTAAAGAGAACCAAGTACGATGGCTTACTTTTAAGAAACGGGTGTAGATCATAATTTCTGCATTTTAAAAAGTTTGCTCACCCCCCGAAGCAGCTTCCTGTGACAGCTGAGACGTTTTTCTCTCGAAGGGTATAAATAAATGTTTGCAAAAGTGAAACCATGCTCAGCATCAACATGGCCATAAGGGGTTAAATACATAGATGACACACAGATGACTTACCACTGGGCTGAGCTCCTGCAGGGGAAGGGCGCAGCCTCCAGACCCAGCATCCGGGAGCTGTGGGAATGGCCCCGGACAGTGGATGCCCTCCTTTTGATCAGACTGCTCCTGACCCTGAGGGGCACGAGAAACCACTGTTGATTCCCCTGGTGGCTCTACCCGCCCCACTCACCGAGCTCAGGGACCAACTGAAATAAAGTACTCAAAAGCTCCCCCAGGCCTCCAGAGGATCTCTGAAGCGTCTGAAAGCAACCGGGAAGTTGTTTCCTCCTCCCTCTGGCCCTGTACCCCGCCTTTGATTTCCCTGTGACCTTTGACAGCCGTCTTCTGGCCTTCTGAGATAAGGGAACTGTGTCACTGCCGCTCTGAGTGGTAGCAAGGAAGTGATGTCAAGGTGCTGAGAACTGCCAAGACGCTCTGGCTTGTGGCATGTGACACTCTGAGTAGGTAACAGGTACCAGCTACTGTCAGCAGGGAGGAAGGTATGTGGTGACCACGAGTCCAGACCTGAGGGTCCTGACCCTCTAATGCGGCCTCTCACCAGTGTTCGCAGAAACCCACCCGCTGATTCAATACGGGGACCAGGAACCTGCCATGACAGTCACGGTGTGTTTGGGTTTTTATTGTCATTTTTGAGGGGCACTGTGTGCTTTGGTTAAGACTGAGGCCTCAAAAGAGAATTTTAGGAAAATGGAAGCCACAGGGTGATGTCAGCTGGGAAAAGGCCAGGGGCAGAGGTGGGGTCTCAGCGGCAGTGAGCATAGGGCTGCCCTGGGTGTCAACACTGAGGAAAGCAAAGGGGTTTGCAAGCAGCCAGAAGTGATTGGTGCTGTGACTCATGGGGGAGCTGACCCCACTCGGAAAAGGAGAACCCAGAGGAGGAAAATCCCGTGGTGATGACACAGAGGCGACATCAAGTTGGGTGGGAGAGAATGTGAGGAGGACAAGTTTAACCCCAAACTGAGGCTGGGGGCTAGGGTAGGTTTGAGTCCAGAGAGAAGGAAATTGAGAGAACAGCCCAGATTTGGAATGGTGGGAGGAGGCTGTGGGGAGGGGAGGCTGTGGGAAGAGAGTGGGACGGGGAGGGCACGGTCTGGAAGAAGGACGAACCGAGAAGAGGAACTTGAAAATAATGAAAAAATCTAGATGAGCTTCTCTTGGGTCAACGACTCAGCAGCTGTGACTAACCTAATTTGGGGATCAGACCTATTTGCTTAGAATTTATATATTGATTAAATGACATCCTTTTCCCACCAAAGATGTGTCTGAGGTAGGATTGAATACAAAATTTGTACCTGTCAAAATAGAAATAGAAAATTAAGAAACTAGCCTGGCACTGAGGCGCATTCCTACAGCCCCAGCTACTCAGAAGTATGAGGTGGGAGGGTCGCTTGAGCCCAGGAGTTTGAGGCCAGCCTGGGCAACATAGTGAGATCCCGGATCTATAAACAATATAAAAATTAGCCAGATGCAGTGGCAAGTGCCTGTAATCCCAGACATTCCAGAGGCCAAGGTGGGATGTTCACGTGAGCCCAGGAGTTGGAGGCTGCGGTGAGCCATGATCATGCCACTCTGCACTCTGGCCTGGGTGGCAGAGCGAGACACTGTCTCTGGAAAAAAAAAAGAAGAAGGAGGAGGAGGGGCGGGGAGAGGAAGGGAGGAGAGAGAACTATTAAGAGAAAAATAAACACAGAAAGAGCCCAGACAAATATGTGATTGAGCATTAAATTTAACTCCACGTGTGCCGACAGACAAGGCAGAAAGAGAAACACAATGATGTTTGATGGCAGAGGAGTTGGTGCTGGTGGGAACCTAAGCTGTAAGTGCCCTCTCCTCTCTTGTGTGGGTCTCCTGTGAGTGAGTGAGTGGGGGTCATGGTGCCCTGGGACACTCTTCCCACCCCCTACAGCCTGGGATCAGCAGTGGCCCCTCCTCCTGGGTCTCTCCACCTCCTGCAGCTGGGCAGGACACTCAGGATCTTGAATGAGTAGGTGCGGGCAGCTTTACTCTCGATACTCATGGATCAGTTCCAGGAAAAGGAAGGAAAGTCAAGTCAGACTTTGAAACTTGCAAAACGCTGGGAGTACGCACACTCTTCCTCATTAGTAGAGGACAAAAACAGCAGTCAGGCACCTCATGTACCGCATGTCACAGAGTCATGTGAGATGTGAAATTTCCCAAGTAAAAACACAGAATCATGTGAGGTGTGAAATTTCCCAAAGAAAAATGTTTTGTAAATTCAGGATCACCCTGGCTTACTAATATTAGCATGACCTTCACTTTCAGTATTATTTTATTTTTGCCTGATTCCCAGCATTCTGCCTATCCACACTCAGGCCATGAGGTCCTTGAAACTTCTACATAGGAAGGAAGGAAGAGTTTAGAAGGCTGCAGTTGAGGCGAAAGGAAAGTTCTCTTTATTATTCTCATATCTGAAGCCATAATAGGGCCTCCTTGTTTGTGAAACGACATCACATTCTGCAGCCTTGGCAAGTGGTCCACAAAGCTTACCTCTGAAGGTCTGAGTTCCTCTTTATCACTATAATTTGACCCCAGTTTTAGTCGAAGGAACTATCACTGTATACTCTCATTCCCCACTACGTGTAGATCACTCATTTACTTAATTCAATTATTCAGCAAGTATTTCTAGAGTGCCTAGCCTGTGCCTAGCTCTGTTCCAGGTGCTGGGGATGCACCAATGGACAAAATAGGCAAAAATCCTGACCTTCACAGAGCTCAAGTAAATTGTAGATTAGTAGGAGAGAAGTGCTATGGAGAAGGCGAAGCAGGGAAGGACAGCAAGAGAGGCCAAGGTGGCTCAGGGATCACATTTTAAATAGTGTAGTCAGAAAAAGCCTTGCTGAGAGCTGGCTGTGGTGGCTCATGCCTGTAATCCCAGCACTTTGGGAGGCTGAGGTGGGTGGATCACTTGAGGTCAGGAGTTTGAGAACAGCCTGGCCGACATGGCAAAACTTCATCTCTACTAAAAATACAAAAATTAGCCAGGAGGGGTGGCGATGGGTGCCCGTAATCCCAGCTACTCGGGAGGCTGAAGCAGGAGAATCACTCGAACCCAGGAGGTGGAGGTTGCCGTGAGCCAAGATTGTGCCACTGCACTCCGGCCTGGGTGACAGAGTGAGACTCCATCTTAAAAAAAAAAAAAAAAAAAAAAAAAGAGAGAGAGAGAGAGAGAGAGAGAGAGAGAAAGCCTTGCTGAGAAGATGGGCACTAAAGCCACAAATGGTTGGGTCCAATAGTTCATGATCATTGTCTCATTCTTTCTTGTCACTAAGTTCTTATATCAGGGAGGTTGAAAACACACACTGGGTGATAACCTTAGCAATAATTTTACCGAAGACGCAGACATATTCTTCTTAATATATTGACCCTCAATAAAAAAGGCAAAGGATGTGAGGCTCCAGTTACTGATTTATCGCCTTTCAGCTCTTCATTCACTCTTCTGTGTTCTGCTTTGTGAGTCTAGAGCTGGACCCCATAAACATTTCTCCTTTGCCAGTTGCTGTAGAAGGCATAAGAGGGTCGCAGTAAGAGGCAGAGTTTTTTCTTTCTGGTTCTGGGATTTGTTTTTATTTTGTTTTTGTTCTTTTGGCTGATTTGCCAGTGCTGGGTGGAGACCCTGCAGTGCCCACTCCTCAGTGAATTTTGCCGACACCACGACAGTGGCTTCCTGCTGACTTTTGCTGGCACCCTACTGGGTAGCTTCCTAGTAAATTTTGCTGGCACTCCAAGAGCGTCTTCCTCGCCAGAGGCATGCCCACATTCTTGGGAATCTCACTGGTACCCCTTCGGGCAGTTTCCTGCTCAGCAGCCCCAACCTGCCACAACTCTGCAAACTTCTTGGGCATCCATTGGGTTGCAGCCACACCCCCTCCAACAAGGGTGGATCAGCTGGGGAGGGAGGGCATTTTTTGAGTTCGCCCCTTCCTTGGCTGCTGTGCCTTAGCTTAGAGGTTATGGCTGCTCTCTACATCTGCCATTCCTGCATTCTTCAGCATTCTCCTTACCCCCTTTAGTAGTTCATACCCTTTTATAAGTTAATAACTCATTATATTTAATGTTCATGTGTGGTTTCTGTCTTGACTGTATGCTGATTGATACACACAACATTAAATTTAGTTCAGGGAAGGGATGGGGAAATGCTAGGATGATGCCTTTTTTAGAGATCTAACTTGATCTTGAGAAATAGGTATTAGATCAAAGAGCTAAAAACAGAAATCCCATTACTGGGTATACACCCAGAGGAATATAAATCATTCTACCATGAAGACACACGCATGTGAATGTTCATTGCAGCACTATTCACAGTAGCAAAGACATGGAATAAACCTAAATGCCCATCAATGACAGATTAGATAAAGAAAGTGTGGTACATATACACCATGGAATACTATGCAGCCATGAAAAGAACGAGATCATGTTTTTTTGTGGAAACACGAATGGAGCTGGAGGCTATTACCCTTAGCAAACTAACACAGGAACAGAAAACCAAATACCTTGTATTCTCACTTATAAGTGGGAGCTAAATGATGAGAACACATGAACTCAAAGAAGGGAACAACAGACACCGGGGTCTACTTGAGACTGGAGGGCGGGAGGAGGGAGAGGAGCAGAAAAGATACCTATTGAGTACTGGGCTTGATAGCTGAGTGATGAAATAATTTGTACAACAAACCCTCATGACAAAAGGTTACCTACGTAACAAGCTTTCACATGTACCCCAGAACCTAAAATAAAAGTTCAAAAAATTATTGTTTAAATGCATAATAACAAATTTGGAAAATTTCAAAAAAAGAGAAATAGGTATTAGAATGTTTAGACTGATGATAATTTAATCTGTCCCTTACTATGGCTTCTTCAAATATAATCTTTCTTAGATTATCAATTAGTCAATCCATCTATCTAATTTTTATTAGCAAATAAAATGTTACAGAAAATTTGTATAGAGAAAAACTATGATAGTGATAATCTCACATAATAGCCATTATAAGTTTTAAATACCACTGCTTCTTAATGGGAAATGTAGAAAAACTACTTTTAGAAAACAATCAATTTTCTTCTGAATTAGTTGTTTGATATTGAGTAGTAGATCAAAGAGGTAAATAATGGCATATAATTTTAAGGCTTCGGAGACCATCTTATCCTGCCCCCAGATTTTCTTTCCCATAATTGGCTGATCCCTAAAATTCCACCTCAGTACCCAATAATTAGTAGCTGTGATACCTGGGAGGGCAGATAATATTTCTAAAATACAGCTGTGTTGATAATCCACCCTGGAAATACAGATTTTATATGTACTTACTGGGAGTGAAATAGTGTTGACTATTCCCTAAAGCAGTCTTTCTCAATGCATGTTGAGTTTATTCCGCAGTATGCTAAAAAGTGTAAAAAAAAGGATGGGAGGCTATTGCTCATTTAAGTTTGAAAAATTGCTGGACTAAAAAACTAAAGCAAGTTTCTTTACTACAGGACTTCTCAGAGCCCTTCATATACTAATAGGCATTATGATCCTTCATGAGGAAGAAAGGGTATGGAGTGTTTCCCAAAATGTTTTGATCATGAAACCCCTTTTAAAATTTTCATACAGGTACTTATAGGCTAAAAGTTCAGTGAGTATATTCTGAGAAATGCTTCCTTAGACATACAAATACTACTGTGTGGTCTAGTAATAATAAATAAATAAATATATTATTAATTAAATTAATAAATTAATATTATTAATTAAATTAATAATAAATAAATATTACTGTGTGGTCTAGTGCACCTCCTGCCCCAGCTCTGAGGGAGCCTAATTGACTGAGGGGCCCAGCTGCTGCACTCTGAGACCCATGTCTGCGTTCATGCCAAGGCTGTGCCCTCCGTGGGCTGCTCCCACTCCATGACACTATTAGGGACACTATGATAGGCCCATCCCTTGGAGAGGGACTCCTCTGATGGGTGCCTTTGGCACATGCTTCAGCCAAACCTTGCGTCATTCCCCATCTCCTTCACTTGGAGTCAGACCTGCTTGTGATCTCATGGCTTTCCCAGCTTCTCCTGGCTCCCTTTGCAGTCCTGCAAATGTCACAGACATTTCCTCTATTATACTTCTTGTATGCCAGACCCCACCTTGGGTTCTGTATCTTGAAAGATTTGGACTAACATAGTCTTGGAAGGAAGGGCATCATTTTCTAGAGTCTTGAGTCCTTTGCTTACCATGAAGTAATACACTTTGCAGCATTTCGATCCCTTTCTTCTTACCTCCCATTTTCCTGTGGCCTGCGTGGACCAATCCTTTTGGAACACATAAAGCCACTTAATTCCATCATATTCCCATTCTGTCATGTTTGGCCAACTCCTCAGCTCATATGACTTTTTCTATTCCTCGTTCTTTGATTTGTGCTTCCTCTGCCCTAATCTCACCTCCCAATATTCCACTTTCTCCCACGCTTTTCCTCTGTGTCTCTGGAACCTGAATTCTGACAATTTCCCTGACATCTTTGATTTATGCCAAAAACATTCGCACCATCTCCTGTCCCTTGAGGATACTCCTTCCCTCTCACATCTGTCTCAGATTTGGGAGTCAGAAGGTGACATCCTTGGCCTCGGTGCCATTTTTTGGCTATTAATTCCCTTCTAGATATAAAGGAGACTGCTGTGGGCTCCACTTCTCCAACTACATTGCTCTCTGCTCCACCTCACTGCTATCATCCACTGACTGCCTGGTTGCCCCTATTTTATTCAAGACTTGTGCACATGGATAAGGGGCTTCTATTCACCCCAGTTTCCCACATCATCCTGGTGGCTTAGTTGTCCATGTGGACCCCCATCTGGTGCCCAAGTCTCAGCTCATTAACTCAACTCCCTGGCCTTCGGTTTCACTCCACTAGTGCCCAGCTGAGGTTTGTTAACATTGATTTACCACTGAATTCTCACAATAAAATTTCTCACTTTTCTGATGACAACTTTTACTCCTTTGGTTTCTCTCACTCCATTTATTCTTTGTGTAATATGTGTTGTTCATCAAGCCTTCCAGCCTCTGACTATCAGCCCCTCCCACGATCACATCCCTCTTTATCTAGCTGAGATCCAGTAGTCTGCCACTTAGTCATTCTCTTGTCAACACCCTGACCTCTCTTGAAGCCCCAGCCTTAGATAAATTATCCTCTACATTTTTTCTTTGAGTGTGTGTTTCCGAGAACAGCTGTTTAAAACCACTTAGCAGCCGGGCTCAAGCTTGTAATCCCAGCACTTTGGGAGGCCGAGGTGGGCAGATTACTTGAGCCCAGGAGTTCAAGACCAGCTTGGGCAACATGGCGAGACCCTGTCTCTACAAATGTACAAAATATAGCTGGGAGTGGTGGTGTGTGTCTGTAGTCCCAGGCCCGGGAGGCTGGGGTGGGAGGATTGCTTGAGCCCGGGAGGCAGAGATTGCATTGAGCTGTGATTGTGCTACTACTACTACACTCCAGCCTGTGTGACAGAGTGAGACCCTGTTTCAAAAAAATAAAAATAAGTAAAACCGCTTAGCTATGTGGACAAGATACATTGGTAATTTAAGATCTTCAACTAGCTTCCAGAGATTCTTCTAGATTCCCTGATAGCTGTTCTGAGTGTGACAAATTGTCACTTTATCCAATTTTTCCATCAACTATTTCAAGCTACCTAAAGCTTCCAGTCTCTTCACCCCCGTTCTAATGACTCCCATTTACTCTCAGGAAATGATCTCATCTTCTGCTTTTCTCAGAACTCCTCAACTCCTCAGGCCCCAACTTCAAATGCAACTGTGGTATGTCTACATTTTTCCTCTCTCCATGGACAGAGTTGCTCCTCTAACACCAAAGGCTAATCTCTCCCCCTGCACTCTGGATCTCATTCCGTTTAACCTTCATCATTTTTTCCCACATTTTCTTTGAGTCCCAACTTTTTCCTCTCTATTAGATTATTCAGAATTTTTAAATGCTCAGATCTGTCCCTTAAATAAAGATTACAAACCCACTTTGACCTCAAACATTGGTCAGACCATTTACTGTCTCTTCTCCCCCTCTTCCAGGCAGTTTCACTAGTTGTCCAAACTCTGTTTCTACTTCATCACTGCTCATTCCCTACTCTACACCCTGCAGCCTGGCTTCTGCCCCCACCATTCCACTGAGATTGGTCTCCCTGGGTTCACCCACACATCCTTGTTTAAATGTAATCAGCTGCTGGGGCAGCTAATGCATCAAGTGCCCATGAACAGGAAGTGTCCAGGATCTCCCGGCTCTCCATTACTACAGACAATAACAACAACAAGACGCAGACATCAGTCCAGCCCACAAACACCATTACATTTAGAGATTCCCAAGCTGAAGTGGTGCTTAAGATTTTTTGACACCTGTTAAAATGTTATAGAATCTAAAAACATTAATACAGGACTTTGCAGTGAAGATGACAGTGTAGTGTAGATGAAGATGAGTAAAGCAGGATAGCAGACTCTTCCCTCCTCTAATATCTCAATGACCAAAAACTAGTTTTAAAACTATAACATCTGCTGGCAGCAACTGAACAAGAAATAGGGCACAATCTTACATCAAAACGTTGAAACATGGTGCTTTAGAGATATGCCTAAACCCAATCCTACTGGGTTTCCCAATCCTATGGAATAAAGAAGGAAAATAAAGAAATCCTGAGAATTGTCTAATACTCTCCAATCAGGAGACAAGTGGCCTTGGGGGGTGAATATGCATTCCTAGAAAGAAAAGAAAAATATTTCTTCAGTTTGACTTGAAAAAATGGAAAAAATTAAAAAAGAAAAAAAGACAAGAAAAAAGAATTTAAAAAACCCTATTGAGTTAAAGCTCCTACATTACAGAGGGTAGAAGGGTTTCTAGGACTTTTCATAGACCAGGACAATGTGCTGAGTTAGGACAATAAGACAAATTCCAAAAGAGTAAGACACCCTTGTATATACCGAATTGGCTCTGGTATAAAATTTGTTGCTTTTTTTGGATTTTGATTTTTTATAAAAACAATTTTAATAAAGTAATGATTTCATCAAATCTTTAAGGGTTATACTAGTGCGTGGAGCTTCTTAGAGGTATACAGAGGTTTATTAGCTCTGCCAGCTATCACTCAAGGTGATCCATTTCCTTGTGTGCCTTGCAGTTTCAATGTGAGTGTGTCTTGACTGGGGATTATTTTCTCTGCAGTAGCTTTTCATGGCTTGAAGTGGGAGCACTCCTTTCCAGAGGAGTTTTGAGTTTGTTTCAGCCGGGAACATTGAGGGCATCAATGGCCTGATATGAATTTTCCGCGCCTGGGTTTTGGGGTCTTCCATTTTGAGGGTATTATAAACCTGTGCATGAAGCACAGGATTTGTAGTCTCAGAGATTTTTCCCATACCACTTAAAGCCTAGGCAAAAATAGATAAGTGTTTGTGTTTTCCTCTGCCTGTGGGTGAATTTCTTCTAGTCCCCCTTTTCCCAAGTGCTAGATTTACATCAGGATCTCTCAGTTCCGGCTCCACATACCCCATAGGCTTCAGCCTTGCTGTCTGCCCCGTGTCGGAGTTACACGGACATGGCCTTTTTGATGCATGTGGGCTTTGATTTGTCTGCACCAGACAGTGACCGAAATGATCTCTTTCCATTGAGTAGCGTTTCAATGACCGTTTGTTGTAAAATGTGGTTCCTTTATTCATCTCATAGATATTTAGTGCCCACTGTCTTATAAATCTTCCTTTTGCCCTTCCATATCCATTCTCCACTCTCTACCCAGCTTTATTCTGGGGGATGCTCACCTTATTAACAGCAGGCTCCCCTGTCTTTCAGTTTTCAGTTGTGTTTGGCTGATGGGGAATTTTAGGCAGAAGATTGGAGAGCAAGGTCAGGGGAGTCAGGCCCTGGCTCCCTCCTGATGGGGTCTAGTGGGCTGATGTGTCCCTTGACGTAAGGGCAGCTCTTGTCAGGCAGCTCCCTCCCCTTGCCCTGTCTGGCCTTGCAGTGGGAATAGTGCCCTGCTCTCACTGGCACCAGGCACTGCACTGTGTATTGTGGCCTCCCTATACCTTGTCCAAATTTTTGTATAGAATCCTTCATTAAACTCACCTCAGTTGCCCTACTTAAGTGTGCCGTTTGGCTTCTGCCAAGCTCCTGAAGGACACCTCTCCCAAGTCCCAGGAACTTTGCCAGACCCTGGGGAGAAAATAGTGAACAAAGTGGAACCGTCCTCTGTCCTCGTGGCACTGGCATTCTAGAGGGAGATTCAGGTACGGAACTGACTATAATTCAGGGAGTCATGTGCCAAGCTGGGGGAGCACACAGGAGCAGTGGGAGCTGTCCCAAGAGCACCCGGCCTGGCTCACGAGAGGCAGGGGAAGGATTCCCAGGGTAGGTGTTACCTCAGTCAAGGGCGCATGGATGGGAGCCGGCCAGGTGAGGTGTGGGCCTCTTGCCCCCACTCCTCCTTTCCTCCTAATGTCTGCTTTTCAGGTTCTTGAGGGACCACCTACTTGTCAGAGATGGGGCAAGAAAAGAGAGAGTGATAGAATTCAAGGTGGTGACATTTTATTATTTATTAGCACCTGTGACTGAGTCTTAGTGAAAGAGAAAATTGAAACCAAATGCCAGACTATTTTAGGCTGGATTCCTGGGAATCCAGGGCTCAGGCTCTCTGAGAAGGAGAGTTGTATGCAGCAGACTTGTGGGGAGGGCTTCCAGGAGACACAATTGGAAAGGAGAGAACAAGACAGGACCAGGCAGAGGGAGAAGCTGCCCACGTGGTCACAGAGGAGGCCTCAGTTATTCCTACAAGGAATTAGGAATTGAGGGGAGGGCGCTAGGCCTCTGCAATCCAACATTAGCCAGTCATTGGCTCAGCCATCCCTGGGAAGGGGGCATTGCCTGGGCAGGCAGCTCCAGTTCCCAGAAAGGGGAGTAGATCTGAGTTCCAGCACCTCTGTTCCCATCTATGGGAGTGGGAGCATGGAGAGATGCATTGGCTTGAAAAGGGCATCTGGGCAGAGTCTCACAGTATCCACTGTACAGGTGGAAGGTTCTGAATTTCCTGCAAATTTCATTTACTCTGAATGATAGAAAATGGAAACAGAAATTTCTAAAGCCACAATGTCACAAGACCGTGGAACCCACATGTGGGCACACTGAAGGAGGAAGTCACGTGCACAGGAGGCCACACTGCCCACTCACTCCCTTAAACTATGCTGCTGGGGACTCATCCATCATCATTGGAGTGTGAAGTGCCCAGTTTTCACAGGGTCAGTCGAGTTGGGCAGACACTGGTCTGATATGAATCATCTTAAATAGATAAGAAACGTTTCTTTTATGAATAGAGGTAAAAATTAATACACAAAGTAGCATCCTCATTTAAAAAATATTCCCTTTAGTAAAATTAAATGACACATTGTAACTGTGCAGGAAAGGGTTTGGTCCTGGTCTTCAGTCTGGGTGGTGAGGCCCCTAAGCTGGGGACTGTGAAGGCCCTGCTTCTTCCTGCTCACGTCTCCCCCAAGGACAGTCCCAGAGTCTCCACAGAGGCTCCAGAGCCTCTTCCTTCCCAGGACCCACAACCTCCTAGCACTTGACTGGAGCCAGCTCCTACATCTGCACAGAGTCCACGGTTCCCATCTCAGCCACACCTTCTGGAAAGGGTCTTGGAAAGGGCCCCTTCCCTATCTGGTAAACCAGGACCTTCAACTTCAGAGGCTGGTCCTGTCCTCTCAGGAGAGCCCAGGGCTTGGGGGCAGAACCAGGACCTTCAACTTCAGAGGCTGGTCCTGTCCTCTCAGGAGAGCCCAGGGCTTGGGGGCAGAAGTTGTGCTTTTCTAGGCGGAAGGAGGGAACATTACTTTGTATTCCTTTGCCATGAGTGGGCAGAGGAGGAGACCAGGCAGGAGTTACAAAGTCTTTCTGCATTCCGATTGCATCACAGGGTTCCATGGATGTTTTTTCCACTCTTACCTTACTCTATGTCTCTGCAACATTTGACGTTGCTGACACTTCCTCTTACTCCCACAGCCCTCTCTCCCACAGCCAATCCCCCGGATTTGGCTCTTTCTTGGCACATCTCCTCACTGTTCTTTAGGGCTCCCTTTGCTGCCTGCATTCCTCCGGGTTCTGCTTGAGCTATTGAGTCCACCCCTACGGCATCCACTGCCTGTGACCCCAGATGTCGATCTCTACTCAGTCACTCTGCTGAGTTCAGTGTCAGCACATCCAGCTTCCCCTGACACTGCCACCTGGAGGTCCCCCAGGATATCCAACTCAGCCTGTCCTGAAAACCAAACTAATTGACCCACATCCTAAAACCAGTGCTCCCCATTTCAATGGGCCAAGACCCAAGCCTTGATCATATGCCTCCCTAAAAGTCCTGATAATCCAAGTCCTCCCTTGAGCCCTCAGAG
Source organism: Homo sapiens (assembly GCF_000001405.40). Lineage (NCBI taxonomy): Eukaryota > Metazoa > Chordata > Mammalia > Primates > Hominidae > Homo > Homo sapiens. The sequence continues at coordinate 46,395,108 of NC_000003.12, read as the reverse complement.
CCATTAACTTCTCTCCAGTCAGGGCTTTCCTACCTTGGAAGAGGCCTCTGCTATATTCTGGAGAGAGCATTGCCAAACCTCCACCTAGGGGCTCTCCTCCATTCTTGCCTTCTTCCAATACAGTCTCCACATCGCCAGGGGCAATCCGAAGTTCAAAATAGGAATCTACTCCCTATCTTGAAACTCCTCTCCACCCATGCCATGGGCCCACACTCCTCAGTGCCCACGGTGTGCAAGGCCATCCCCACCTGTCCTCTCCTTCCCAGGTTCCAGCCCCATTTCTTTCTGCTCCCTTCTCACTTTCTGCTCTCAAGATGCCACTTACCATTTCCTGAAGTTTCTTTCTTCCTACATTTTCTCACACACCGTTTCCACAGAAATTCCTCCATTCCTGTCACGTACACTTTTCCTTGTAATTTCTCCTGTGTGAGAGACCCCACCCCATTCCAGATACAAACAAGCTGGGAAAGACACTGAGAAGTGCTGGAATCTCAGGACGTCTCGCTGGCTGGGGGATGTGAGACATGTTCTCCAGGTGTGCACGCGCCACTGGGGAGGCTTGAGAGAGTGGTGTTCTGGCCCCTGGTGGGACTCACGATGGGCATTTGGGAAGGCAGTGGAAATGGTAGAGTGACAGGAATGAGTGGGTGAAGAAAGAGAGAGTGCTTGTGGACAGCCTGACTCTCCTGTGGCCATGCTAAGAATCCTGAATGTTCCACAAGTCTGGAGTAAGTCGCCGAAATCTGCCAGGAGCCTGTAGCAGCCCCTGACATGCCCCAGAGCCCTCCTTGATGAGGATACAGTAAGGAGGAAGCACTAGAGCAGGGCTCCTCAGCCACAGCCCTGTTGATGTTCTGGATGGGTAGGTTTTTGTTGCTGGGGATTGTCCTGAGTGTTCCAGGATGTTGAGGTGCATTCCTGACCTTCACCCACTAGATGCCAGCAGCACTGTGCCCTCAGCTGGGACAACTAAAATGTCTCCAGATAACACTGATGTCTCCTGGTGGAACTGTCATCCTCTGCTGAGAACTGAAACGCTGGAATTAGTAACTGTGGGGTGGGAGAAGGGAAAAAGATTGGCTGGGGAGCACTGAACAGAAAAGGAATCCTACGCATCTTGCATTTGACTGAAAAATCACGGGGCTGGATTGAACATGTTAGGAAGGATTAAATGGGTTCTAGAAAAAGTGCAGTTCAGGAGGGAAAATGTTGTTTGGTTATAAAATGGTTTCATTTGTGCCGATTTAACCCTGAGATATCAGAAGGCTCATTCTTGGTTCTCAGGTTTTAGCTGAGCCACACCACCTGCAGGAAGCCAGCTCTGATAGCCCAGCATGGGGCCTGGAAGCCCTCCTATGTGTTCTGGAGCACGTGTCACTCTATGTTGCAATTGCCTCTTGACCTCTCTGGCTCCTATCTGCATACTCTTACCTCATTCCTTGAATACAAGAATTTGTGCGCTGTTGTAACCCTAGCACCAGCATACTTGCTTCTCAATAAATATCTGTTGAATGAATGAATAATTTTCAGTGCAATTCCCTTGAATTAGTGACACTTTTCCCTATAATTTTTTACTAAATTCTTGGTGGAAAAAAAATTTTTTTTTCTTCTTCTTTTTTTTTCTTTTCTTTTCTTTTCTTTTTTTTTTGTGGCTCTGTTGCCCAGGCAGGAGTGCAGTAGTGTGATCTTGGCTCACTGCAGCAACCTGTCAGGCCTCTGAGTCCAAGCTAAGCCATCATATCCTCTGTGACCTGCACATATACATCCAGATTGCCTGAAGCAACTGAAGAACCACAAAAGAAGTGAAAATAGGCCGCTCCTGCCTTAACTGATGACATTCCACCATTGTAATTTGTTCCTGCCCCACCCCAACTGATCAATTGACCTTGTGACATTCCTTCTGGACAGTGAGTCTCAGGAACTCCCCACCGAGCACCTTGTGACCCCTGCCCTTGCCTGCAAGAGGACAACCCCCTTTAACTGTAATTTTCCATTACCTACCCAAATCCTATAGAACCACCCCAACCCTAACTCCCATTGCTGACTCCTTTTTCAGACTCAGTCTGCCTGCACCTACATGATTAAAAAGCTTTATTGCTCACACAAAGCCTGTTTGGTGGTCTCTTCATATGGATGCGCATAACATTTGGTGCCGAAGACCCCGGACAGGGTGACTCCTTCGGGAGATTGGTCCCCTCTCCTCACCCTCACTCCATGAGAAGATCCACCTACGACCTCAGGTCCTCAGACCAGCCCAAGGAACATCTCACCAATTTCAAACCGGGTAAGCGGTCTCCTCACTCTCTTCTTCAGCCTCTCTCCCTACCCTTCAATCTCCCTGTCCTTCAAATTCCAGTTCTTTTTCCTCTCTAGTAGAGACAAAGGAGACACATTTTATCCATGAACTCAAAAACTCCAACATGGATCATGGATTTGGGAAGACAGCCTTCCTTTGGTGTCTGATCATCATGGGGACACCTACCTTGATCTTTCACCCACATTCCATTTGGTGTCTGATCACCGGGGGGATGCCTGCCTTGGTCATTCACCCACATTCCCTTGGTGGTAAGTCAATTGCTGGGACACCAGCTTTGGCTGCTAACCCACATGACAGCCCAGGGCTGCTCACCTCCCCCCTTCTCCATGTCTCTACCTTTCTCTTTAAACTTACCTCTTTCACTATGGGCAACCTTCCACGCTTCATTCCCCCTTCTTCTCCCTTAGCCTGTGTTCTTAAAACTTAAAACACCTTTGACTAACACCTGACCTCTCCAAGTTGGCACCAGAGTGGGGTAATTTTAAGGGGCTTATAAGCCTGGCCATCAATACCCACAACAGTTATGGAGGCAAGGGAAACAGGCCCTTGAAAAGAAGGTAATGTGGAGTGGGTAGCTCCCATATTGATTAAGAAGGGCATGGACTTGGACAACATTCTTTTATGCACTCTTTTAAAAACCTAAACATCTTATTTTCTTCTGTAATACTGCTTGGCCCCAATACAAACTTGACAATAGTTCCAAGTGGCCAGAGAATGACACTTTCGATTTATCCATCCTACAAGATCTAGATAATTTTTGTCGTAAAATGGGCAAATGGTCTGAGGTGCCTGACGTCCAGGCATTCTTTACACATCAGTCCCTCTCTAGTCTCTGCTCCCAATGTGACTCATCCCAAATCTTTCCTCTTTCTCTCCTGTCTGTTCCTTCAGTCTCCACCCCAAGCTCTGAGTCCTTTGAATCCTCCTTTTCTACGGACCCATCTGATTTCTCCCCTCCTCCCCAGGCTGTTCCTCGCTAGGCCTAGCCAGGTCCCAATTCTTCCCCAGCCTCTGCTCCCCTACCCTATAAACCTTTGGTCACCTTCTCTCCTCACACCTGGTCTGGCTTACAGTTTCGTTCCACAACTAGCCCTCCCCCACCGGCCCAACAATTTCCTCTTAGAGAGGTGGCTAGAGCTAAAGGCATAGTCAAGGTTAATGCTCCTTTTTCTTTAGCTGACCTCTCCCAAATCAGTTAGCGTTTAGGCTCTTTTTCATCAAATATGAAAACCCAGCTGAGTCCATGGCCTGTTTGGCAACAACCCTTAGACACTTTACCTCTCTAGACCCAGAGGTGCCAGAAGGCCGTCTTATTCTCAATATGCATTTTATTACCCAATCTGCTCCTGACATTAGAAAAAGCTCCAAAAATTAGATTCCAGCCCTCAAACCCCACAACAGGATTTAATTACCCTCGCCTTAAGGTGTACAATAATAGAAAAGAGGCAGCCAAGTGACAACATATTTCTGAGTTGCAATTACTTGCCTCCGCTGTAAGAGAAACCCCAGCCACATCTCCAGCACACAAGAACTTCAAAACACCTAAACTGCAGGGGCCAGGCATTTCTCCAGGACCTCCTCCCCCAGGATCTTCCTTCAAGTGCCGGAAATCTGGCCACTGGGCCAAGGAATGTCCCATCTGTGCGAGACCCCACTGGAAATCAGACTGTTCAACTTGCCTGGCAACCACTCCCAGAGCCCCTGGAACTCTGGCCCAAGGCTCTCTGACTGACTCCTTCCCAGATCTTCTCAGCTTAGCAGCTGAAGACTGACACTGCCTGATCACCTCAGAAGCCTCCTGGACCATCACAGATGCTTTGGGTAACTCTTACAGTGGAGGGTAAGTCTGTCCCCTTCTTAATCAATACGGAGGCTACCCACTCCACATTACTTTCTTTTCAAGGGCCTGTTTCCCTTGCCTCCATAACTGTTGTGGGTATTGTCGGCGAGGCTTCTAAACCGCTTAAAACTCCCCCACTCTGGTGCCAACTTGGACAACATTCTTTTATGCACTTTTTTAGTTATCCCCACCTGTCCAGCTTCCTTAATAGGCTGAGACATTTTAACCAAATTATCTGCTTCCCTGAGTATTCCTGGGCTGCAGCCACATCTCTTTGCTGCACTTTTACCCAACTCAAGACCTGTTTCACATCCTCCCCTTGTATCTCCCCACCTTAATCCACAAGTATAAGATACCTCTACTCCTACCTTGGCAACCGATCATGCACCCCTTATCATCCCATTAAAATGTAATCACCCTTACCCCGCTCAATGCCAATATCCCATCCCACAGCAGGCTTTAAAAGGGTTAAAGCCTGTTATCACCTGCCTGTTTCAACATGGCCTCTTAAAGCCTACAAATTCTCCTTACAACTCCCCTATCCTACCCGTCCAGAAACCGGACAAGTCTTACAGGTTTGTTCAGGATCTTCGTCTTGTTGATCAAATCGTCCTTCCCATCCATCCTATAGTGCCAAACCCGTACACCCTCCTATCTTCAATACACCCTTCCACAACTCTATTCTGTTATCGACCTCAAAGATGCCTTCTTTACTATCCCCTTGCATCCCTCCTCCCAGCCTCTTTTTGCCTTACTTGGACTGACTCTGACACCCACCAGTCCCAACAACTCACCTGGATTTTTCTACCCCAAGGCTTCAGGGACAGCCCACATTACTTTGGCCAGGCCCTTTCTCATGATCTGCTTTCTTTTCACCCATCTACCTCCCACCTTATTCAATATGTTGATGATCTTCTTCTTTGCAGCCCCTCTTACCAATCTTCCCAGCAGGACACTAGCCTGCTTCTTCAACATCTTTACTCAAAGGGGTACAAAGTATTGCCCTCTGAGGCACAAATTTCTTCCCCTAGCATTACCTATCTTGGTATAATGCTCCATCAACATACACATACCCTTCCTGCAGACTCTGTTCAGTTAATCTCCCAGACCCCAACCCCCACCACCAAACAACAACTCCCTTCCTTCTTAGGCATTGTTGGATATTTCCAACTTTGGATACCGGGCTTTGCTATCCTAATCAAACCACTTTACTAGCTCACAAAGGGTAATTTAACTAATCCCATAGACCATAAGTCTTTTCCCCATTCTTCCTTTCACTCTCTCAAAAAGGACCTGGAGACAGCTCCCACACTAGCACTCCCCGACTCGTCCCATCCTTTTTCCTTACACACAGCTGAAATACAAGGCTGTGCTGCTAGAGTCCTCACACAGGATCCAGGCCCACGACCTGTTGCCTTTATCTTCCAGTCCTCCAGCAGGCTAGACAGGAAATTCGCCAGGCTGCTAATCTTCTCTTGCCTCCTCCAAACTCCCAGCCATGTGAAGATACCTTAGCTGGGCAATCAGTCCTTGTCAAGTCTGACCCCTCACACTCTACAGCTTTGATGGACTGGACCCTACCTGGTCATTTATAGCACCCCAACTGCCATCCGTCTGCACGACCCTCCCCATTGGATTCACTGTTCCAGAATAAAGCTGTGCCCATCAGACAGCCAGCCTGATCTCTCCTCTTCCTTCTGGAAGTCGCAAGTACTCACCCCTACTTCCCTTAAACTCACTCGCATTTCTGAAGAACAATAATAACCCTTATGAGCCTAATACATCTCTTCATTCTATTAAGTCTATTTATCCTTACCCTACTTTTTGCAACAGAGCTCTACGCAGTCACCCCCACTATTTGGACTGTGCCCCCAAAATTTGTCATCTCCACTATCTTCTGTCTAGTCATACTCCTATTCACCATTCTCAATGACTCATAAATGCCCTGCCCCTGTTTACACTGCCAGTTTACACTTTTCCTCCAAACCATCATAGTGGATATCTCCTGGTACTATCCCCAATCCGCCACTCTTGACTCCCTCTTGGAGTGGACAGATGATCTTTGCTGACAGGGCACCCTCCAATACTTTCACCCTGATGAAGTTCTATTCTTTACTTTTATACTCACTCTTATTCTCGTTCCCATTCTTATGCCACCCTCTACCTCTCCTCAGCTATCTCCACCACACTATCAATCTCACTCACTCTCTCCTAGCCATTTCTAATCCTTCTTAACAAACAATTGCTTCCTTTGCATTTCTCTTTCCTCCAAAACTGCTGAGGCCTTGACTTACTCACTGCTGAGAAAGGAGAACTCTGTATATTTTTAAATGAAGAGTGTTGTTTTTACCTAAATCAATCTGGCCTGGCATATGACAACATAAAAAAAACTCAAGGATGGAGACCAAAAACTCACCAACCAAGCAAATAATTATGCTGAACCCCCTTGGGCACTCTCTAATTGGATGTCCTGGGTCCTCCCAGTTCTTAGTCCTTTAATGCCTGTTTTTCTCCTTCTCTTATTCAGACCTTGTGTCTTCCGTTTAGTTTCTCAATTCATACAAAACTGCATCCAGGCCATTACCAATCATTCTATATGAGAATTGCTCTTTCTAACAACCCCACAATATCACCCCTTACCACAAAATCTTTCTTCAGTTTAATCTCTCCCACTCTCTAGGTTCCTGTGTCACCCCTAATCCTGCTTGAAGCAGCCCTGAGAAACATCACCCATTATCTCTCCATACCACCCCCAAAAATTTTCGCTGCCCCAACATTTCATCACTATTTTGTTTTGTTTTTCTTATTAATATAAGAAGACAGGAATGTCAGGCCTCTGAGCCCGAGCTAAGCCATCATATCCCCTGTGACCTGCGCTTATACATCCAGATGGCCTGAAGCAACTGAAGAACCACAAAGAAGTGAAAATACCCAGTTCCTGCCTTAACTGATGACATTCCACCATTGTAATTTGTTCCTGCCCCACCCTAACTGATCAGTTGACCTTGTGACATTCCTTCTCCTGGACAATAAATCTCAGGAGCTCCCCACTGAGCACCTTGTGACCCCCGCCTGTACCCGCAAGAGGACAACCCCCTTTAACTGTAATTTTCCACTACCTACACAAATCCTATAAAACCGCCCCATCCCTATCTCCCTTTGCTGACTCTTTTTTCAGACTCAGTCTGCCTGCACCCACATGATTAAAAAGCTTAATTGCTCACACAAAGCCTGTTTGGTGGTCTCTTAACATGAATGCACGTAACACAACCACCTTCAGGGCTCAAGAAATCCTCCTTCTCTGCCTCCTGAGTAGCTGGGACTGCAGGTGCACACCACCACCCCCAGTTAATTTTTGTATTTTTTGTAGAGACGGGGTTTTGCCATGTTGCTCAGGCTGGTCTTGAACTCTTGAGCTCAAGCAATCCACTTGCCTCTAGCACCTAAAGTGTGGAGGGAGAACTACTTCATTCTGAGAATGTGGGAAAAGTGGGGACTTTGTGTCCATGTTACTTCAGGCACAAGTTGCAAGAAGAAGAGGATGGCTCAGGTTTGCCTAGCAATAAAGGACAGTGCTGGAAGACTGGTGGCATTGGTCATAGGAAAGAAGGAACTACCGGACATGTGGACTTGGAAAACACATGACCCAGGGCAGTTCTGTGATGGGACATCTTCCTTGGATGGTCATGGGTCTCCTTTCCAGGGCACTGCGTCTGTAGGGCTGCATCATGCTCACGATTTCTGGAAGCTAGGATCCGATTGACTCATCTTGGGTAGTACACACTTAGAATTCATAGTAGGAAGGGGGTATCTTTCATTTGTGTCCACCACAATGGTCCTTGAAGAAAGCTCTTTTTCCTCCACTTCCCTTATCTCTTCTCTCTTCTCTTCTTTTCTCTTTTCTTTCTTTATCTCTCTCTCAATTTTATTATGAAAATATTCAAATATTACATGGGCAGAAAATAGTATTAATATGTTAAATCTCCATATTCCCATCACTCAGTTTTAACAATTACAAACATATGACCAACACTGTTTCCTCTATGCTCCTCTCCCTTCCCTCTGCCTCTCACCCCACTGGATTATTTTAAAAAGAGTCTAAACATCATATAACTTAATCCACTAGTATTTTAGAGTGTATCCTTAAGAGATAAGGACTCTTTAGAAATAGCTACAAAAGCATTATTGTACCCCAAATTAAAGCATAATTAACATAATATTATATCTAGTCAGTGTTCAAATTTCTCCAGTTTTCTCAAAGATGTGCTTTCTCATTGGTTTGTTCTAACCTGGACATAAACAAGACCAGTGCTCTGCATTGCACTGTTAATGTGCAACAATTCCTTTCCCCCTGTCCCACCTTGGCCCCACCTTTTCCTGTAGAACTTTCTATATTCTGGATTTGGCTGGCTGTCTACCCTTGCTTTCTCACCATCTCACTGTCTCTGCCATAGTCCAGGCCTGGTCAGGCAGGGAGCTTGTGATTCCTCCTGCCCCTTCTCTGAGTCACTTCCCTTTGGTCTATGGACAGAAGGCTTTTTCTGAAAAAGCAAGTCTGATCATGCTGATACCAGTGGATTAGGGGAGGTCCCTAAACACTGGTGAGACGTTGACTGCACCTGGTGTCCAGGCTGTTGACGCTGTCACAAGAAGGAATTCAAGGACGAGTCAGAGAAAAGTGAAAGTAGAGAGATTTATTGCAGAGCAAAATGCACACACTCAAGAAATGGGAGTGTGGTCGGGTGGGGTGGCTCATTCCTGTAATCCTAGCACTTTGGAAGGTGGAGGCAGGCTGATCACCTGAGTCCAGGAGTTCAAGACCAGCCTGGGGAACATGGCAAGACCCTGTCTCTACAAAAAAAAATACAAAATATTAGCCAGGTGTGGTGGTGCACGTCTGTCCTCCCAGCTACTTGGGGGGCTGAGGTTGGAGGATTGCTTGAGCCTGGGAGGCAGAGGTTGCAGCGAGCCAACAAAGTGAGACCCTGTCTCAAAAATAAAATAAAATATGGTGAAACCCCATCTCTACTGAAAATACAAAAAATTAGCTAGGCGTTGTGGTGGGCGCCTGTAGTCCCTGCTGCTCAGGAGGCTGAGGCAGGAGAATGGCCTGAACCCTGGAGGCAGAGCTTGCAGTGAGCTGAGACTGCGCCACTGCACTCCAGCCTGGGTGACAGAACCAGACTCCATCTAAAAAATAAATAAATAAATAATAAATAAATAAATAAATAATAAAGGGAAGTGCAGGCATACTCAAGAGAGAGAGAGTTGCGCCCAGTAGGGTTTGGGGCTTCTACATTATGGGTTTCTTTAACCAAAGGATGGAATATTCATGAAGTTTCCTGAAAAAGGTAAAGATTTCTCAGAGCTGTGGTGCCACCCATTTTTACACCAAACATGAGTGTTCCAGGAAATGGAATGGCCCTGGTGGGTGTGTGATTTGGTATGTTATTGAGCATATAATGAGGTTCCAGGCAAAACCTAGGAGAAACTCAGCACCATATTGGATCCAGTTGCTTTTAACCAGCCTTGGCTCACACCCTGGTTCTCAGGTTCTTATTGACCCCTGGATTATGCAGCTATTTCAACAGTTTCCTTTTTTACTAGTCAAACTGCTGCCTGGAATCTTCCATTCTCCTGTGACCACCCTTATTATTCCTGTCTCAATACTACCATCTTGTTTAACACAGTTAGGGGGTGCCTGTGGCCTGTAGAATAAAAACTACACTTGACAGCTTGACATAGACATTGCAAACAGTAAGCATTCAATAAATGCTGAATTAACACGTGAATGGGGACTGTGGAGTGATAAATAGCTAATGCACTCGGGTACTGTGCTGGGGAGACTCCTTGTTCCCCTTCACCATATGCTTTGCTTCTGCTCCAGTGGAGGGCAGAGCAGAGGGGAGGGCTAGAAGGAGTACCTCCCAATCTTCTTGTCACTCCATACTGCCCACTGCTCCTGATCTCCTGCAGGAGGAATGCATGCACGCAGCCAGACACACACACCCACACTCACACCAGTGTCTGTCTGTCTGTCTATCTATCTATCTATCTATCTATCTATCTATCTATCTATCTATCTATCTATCTATCATCTATGTACCCTATCCATCTATCTACCTATCTATCATCTATCTCAAGTCAGCTGTGCTACTTTAGGCACCTGGACTATACCTTGCTTTATTTCACCTCTGCACATTTGCATAAGAGTTCCTACTCCTATGCTCCACTCAGTAGCTTCTAACTAATCCTTATTCAACTGCAGCAATGCTCTCTAGGATTTTTTCCTCCAGACCCCCATCCTTGGATTGGATAACTCATCCTCATCTGGCTCTCAGAGCCTTATCCCGACACTGTTCACAGTAACATAGGCATTAAAAAGAAATTTTTTTCTTTTTAACCTTGGTAAGGTTTTCCTTTTAATGAAAAGCAGCCCCCAAATCATTTCTTTTCTAGCAAAGAGCAACCTGTAAAATTGGGCTGCAGACATAGATAAGCAATCTGGAAGCTTGCAAGAGTGAATGCCGGCAGCTGTGCCAATAGGAAAAGACTATCTGGGGGCCAGGCATGTTCAACATGGATTCTTCATCTTCCCTTTTCTTTGTCAACCACGTGTACAGTAAGGAACAGACAACATGGCACCAGCCAGGTATAGACCCCGTCTGCGTAATAAAAGATTAGGATGGGATGGCCAGCTTCTTTGTATGCTATGTAAACATCACACCTGGTCTGACCAATCTCTCGGGTCCTAAGTAAATCAGACACCACTTCCTCAAGCTCGTCTATAAAATGCCTTGCATTTCACCACAAAACAGGAAGATCCACTCAGGTGCCCCTCTCTCTGTGCAGGCAAGAGAGCTATTCTTTTTTCTCTTTCTTTTGCCTATTAAACCTCTGCTCTTAAACTCACTTCTTGTGTGCCTGAGTCCTTGATTCCCTTGGCGTGAGACCACAAACCTCAGGTATTCACCCCAGACAATGATGCCACTTCAACAGTACTTTTCAAACTTTGCCTTTTTGCTTGCTTTTCTCTCTAAATAGTGAATTTCATAAGGACAGGGACTCTCTTTCATGGCATGAGTTGGCATCTGGCACATAGCTGGCCCTCCTTCAATGTTTGCTGAATCAATGAATGAATGCTGAATGTTGAGCTGCAGATGGTTAGTGCACAACTGAACTAGAGGGGAAGTAAGAACCCCCTTAGGGGTTTCTTTTGTTTCTGTTTCTGCTTGAAGGAGGACAGAAGCTCTGCCCAGTTTCCTCTCCTTCTCAGAGGACGGCTGGAGGAAACACTTCCCATCCCTCTCTTACCCCTGGCCATCCCTGGCCTCCACAGTAGGAGAGTGGCGGTGGGGTTTATTGGTTGCTCTCCTTTGCATAGGCACAGCTGAGGATGAGGGCCCCGGAAGTAGACTGAGGCGCGTGGTATGAAATCCTACTTGTTTCCTGTGCCTAAGCCACCCCTGCCCATGGGGCTTTGCCAGAACTTCTCATTGGGTTTTGCTTACCTAGCTCTTAACACGTTAATTCCTACTTGCTCTTCCTTGAGTGTAAGCTTCTGTCAGAGTCCAGAAGGAAGGGGTGGGGAATTGGCCTGCTGCCCTCACTCTCTCAGTTTGCTTTGAGCTATGGAGTCTACATCTGACCAGAATTATTGGTAGCAGGTTAATCCACCCTAAAAGGCTTTCAAAAGGAGCTACAGAAGACCAAGCAAATTGAACACAGTGCCATAAAGTTGTGAGGCCCTTTCCATCCATTACTTACAAAATCATGCTGTTGATTTCATACCCATGAGCCCCTGGCTGACTCTGGTCGGCCAGTGCTTCTCTCTCACTGCAGAGAGTGAGCTGGATTGCCCGCTATGTCTAAGTGCACTGTTTGGGGGAGCACATCCTAATCTGAAGAAGAAATAGCCATTATTAGCAAATTATTAAAGTGGCTAACTGTTACCAGAGCTTTTATGTGCCAGGCACTGTGTTAAGCCCTCAACATGCAATTTCTCATTTATCCTCTGAACAAACCTGTAAGGCAGATACTATTATTAGCCCCAATTACAGATTAGAAAGCTGAGGCTTGGAAACAGTAAGCAACTTGCATAGTAATTCAAATCTAGGAAACACTGATGCCAAAGTTCAAATTATATTAATATTTATTATTTATAATATGCCAGACTCACACTGTCTCCTACAGTAGCCATTGGCCACATTTAAATTAAATCATGGAAAACATTCAGTTCCTCAGTCACACTGGCCACATTTCACCCTGGCCTGGTGGCTACCATTTTGGATGATGCAGATACAAAGCATTCCCGTCATTACAAAAAAATTATATTGGATCTCCCTGGTCTAGATAATTTATACCCCAACACAACCCTGTCAGGTTGCTATTAGTAATGAAGCAGCATCATTTGTATGGGGTAATACACAAGGTTCGTTGCCTCATGCCAAGGAAATCAAGGATGCTAACACATGAGCAGTGAGTTTAAGAGCGGAAGTGTAATAGGCAAAAGAGAAAAGGTCTCTCGTGCAGGAGGGGGTTCCGAGTGGATCTCCCAGTTTCACGGTAAAATGCATGGGGTTTTATAGACTAACTTGAGGAGGCGGTGTCTGATTTACACAGGGCCCAAAAGACTGGTTGGACCAGGTATGCCATTTACATAGCACGGGAAGAAGCTGGCCATCTCACCCTAATCTTTTATTATGCAGAAGGGTTCTCTACCTGGCCCGTGCCATGTTGCCTGTTCCTTTACTGTACACTTGGTTGACAAAGAAAAGGGAAGATGGAGAATCCATGTTGAACATGCCTGGCCCCCAGATAGCCTTTTCCTATTGGCACAGCTGCCGGCATTCACCCGTGCAAGCTTCCAGCTTGCTTATCTATGTCTGCAGCTCAATTTTACAGGCTTCTCTTTGTTAGCAAACAAATGATTTTGGGGCTGCTTTTTGTTAAAAGGCAAATCTTACCGAGGACTCTCTGACCCTCACTAACCACCTAAATAATTTCTTTTTAGCTCCTGTATCAGTAACACCCCAAATTACTACTGGAAATCCTTTTAGATCCTGAGAGCCAGAGACGTTAAGTCACTTGCCCAAGCTCCCACAGCCCCAAGGCTGGAACTCGAGTCAGTCTGACTTTCAAGTCCCTGCCCTCTTCTCTGCTGGGCTCTGCTTTTTGGCACAGGAAGATTGAGTTAGCCAATCAACAGAGTCCTTATTTGATTATATGTCAGGAAACCATTAGGATTCTCCTAAAAAGGATTTTTGAATAGTCTTTGGTAATGGCAGTAAACCTAAGTAGAGGAATTTTAAAGTGAACATAGACAATATTGAAATTCTCCCATTAGTTTCTTATTTTTAATCTTAATTACATTTTATTATATTCAGCGGTATGCAGTTTCAAAAGGAGGAATTGTCTTGACTCAAAACCAAAAAGATTAAGTTATCAGATATCTGCTCTTCAGTAAATAGTAGGAGGTGTTTGTGTGTGTGTACATGTGTTTAAACCATATGCCAGGATGTATAAGAGTTGACAATTTAAATCTAAATTCTAATTCTCTGCAGAATTATCATTGCCTGATCAGGGCTGGCATGAGTTCCCAGTTCTTCAGGAATAATGCTTTCATGGAAAGAGTTAAGAAGGATGGCTCACTGCAGGGATAAGGAAATGGGGGGAGAAGAATCCTTTAGCCACATAAGCAAAATCTATATTTATTTGAGAAACATCTCAGACAGGCCCTTTTCTATACAAGAGACTTCTTCTCTATTGAATTTGAAGTTGCCAAGCTCAGCATGGGCGCCAGACATCCCACTTCTGTTTACTTTTCACTTGGAAAGGAAGGGTGAAAACATAACCCAAAACCAAAAATGAAAGTGAAATACTTGGAGCCTCAAATACAGATCTTTGGTATTGCCAATGAAGTCTAGATTCACATGCTTTAAAAAAACCAGCTTGGGGAATGTTCTGTTATGAAAGTTGAGACTCTTCCTGGTGCACATGCCACCCCAGGCCAGGCAAAGTCTTGCTCAGACAACAGCCCTTGCTGTCAGTCCAACAGGCTTTAGGCAGTATTTCTCAGACTTGGCTACACTTAGAATCACCTGGGGAGCTTCTACAGTGGGGAACCACAGGGCAGCAATGCAGGCAGATCGAATCAGAACTATTTGAGGTTGGATTTAACCTCACTATTTGTAAAACTCCCTGAGTGACTCCAATATGTTGGCTTTTGTGAATTTATTAGCACACAGGTGCTGATCGTGAAGGGAGTCACGAGTGCTCCTACTTTCCCTACTCAAAGGCTCATCGCTGGCGTGCCACTGGGAAGCACCATCAAAACATGCCGCTGTTGGAGCCCACTCCAGACCCACGACATCAGAGTCTCTGGGGCTTAGGGCAGGCAATGCTCTTCATTTATAAAGCAAAGGGGTTGGGCTCACTGGTCCTCAACAACCTTTTTGTTTTCAAACCATAGGATTCCATAAGAGGGTTTGATGTAAACGAGGTGATAATGTAACTGAGTATTCCCTTTTTTCTAAGTAAAAGGGAATAAGTTACAATTATTTTTTAAATTATTTTCTCTTTTCTCCTTTCCTCTTGTACCCCACTTTCTACTTAGCCCTTTAGAAATGCAAATCTCACCTTTTACTTCCCCTTCACCAGACATTCTTTACAGGGCAAGTTCATCTAACTATATGCTCCAAGACAGAACTTTCTAGAGAGTTAACAGCTGATTTACAGACCAAAGCATGATCTCCATGGAACTCTCACCCTTCAGGGGGTTGCCATGGAACTCACCCTCCAGAAAGGCAGGTTGAAGGCATGCCCACTATCCACTCCCACCTAGAGAGTTTTAGGCCACTTTTTCAACTTATTTCTGCCTATGAAAGTGCCAATTCAACTGCCTGGATAGATCAGGCACCATGCCAGTGTGCAGACCCCCTGCCCTTGCTCACTTCCTCCCCTGCCTTTTCAAAGTGCCTGCTTTCTGCTCCAAAAGCAAAGCAGTGCATTTACTATTTATTTATTTATTTATTTATTTATTTATTTATTTATTTTGAGACAGAGTCTCACTCTGTCACCCAGGCTGGAGTGCAGTGGCTAGATGTCAGCTCACTGCAACTTCCACCTCCCAGGTTCAAGCGATTCTCCTGCCTCAGCCTCCCGAGTAGCTGGGATTACAAGCACCCGCCACCACGTCTGGCTAATTTTTTGTATTTTTAGTAGAGGCAGGGGTTTCACTATATTGGCCAGGCCGGTCTTGAACTCCTGACCTTAAGTGATCTGCCCTCCTCGGTCTCCCAAAGTGCTGGGATTACAGGTGTGAGCCACCACGCCTGGCGAAGCAGTGCATTTAGAGGCAGGAGGCTGCACCTCTTCCCTGAAGGAGGTTTGGAATAAATCATTTTCTTTATATCTGACCTCGCTCTTGTTAATTGGATTCTGCAAGCAATGAGTGACTAATCTGCGGTTCAGTTACAATAACAATAATAGAGAAAGGAGAGTGCGAATGATAAAGAAATTTACCATGGTGTATATGTGCCACATTTTCTTAATCCAGTCTATCATTGTTGGACATTTGGGTTGGTTCCAAGTCTTTGCTATGTTCATGTCCTTTGTAGGGACATGGATGAAATTGGAAACCATCATTCTCAGTAAACTATCGCAAGAACAAAAAACCAAACACCGCATATTCTCACTCATAGGTGGGAATTGAACAATGAGATCACATGGACATAGGAAGGGGAATATCACACTTTGGGGACTGTGGTGGGGTGGGGGGAGGGGGGAGGGATAGCATTGGGAGATATACCTAATGCTAGATGACGAGTTAGTGGGTGCAGCGCACCAGCATGGCACATGTATACATATGTAACTAACCTGCACAATGTGCACATGTACCCTAAAACTTAAAGTATAATAAAAAAAATAGAAGTAAAAAAAAAAAAAAAAAGAAATTTACCAACATCAAATCACATTTGATTATTTCAAACACTTGGTACCCACAATCATCAGATATACAGGATTATAGAGAGAAACAAGGGAGGAGCTTGAAGCATTTTATGCAATATGAAAAATGCTTAGTCACAAAACATTTTCTGATCTTGTTGCAAGCTCATGAGAGCAGCACACTGCAGAGATTGGTCTGGGTGTTGGAACCTTCATTCCACGACAGGCATCAACCTGTACCCCGAATGGAGACTCCTCTCGGTTTTCAGAAATGATGAATGTGAGCTGTGCACTACCTACCCTGAGCCGCTGTGGAAATACCTCTTTTTCACAACTGGGATGGTGCCGGCAGAGACAAACATTAAAGAGCTGAATGTGAAAAGCCTCCTCGTGTGTCTTCTCCATGGCCAAGTCTGGAAGTTGAACACCCTTGCTGGTTTGCCAATGTGGCCTCGCGGGGGCAGTATGACCCAAGGCTTGCCATGGCTTCCTAGCTTGTAAAAGATTCACACTCTTCCATGAATGCTTTAAAAAAACTAGTGACCACCCAGAGAAACAAAAATAAGTCCCCAAAACATGACAGAATCACAATGACACAAAACGGATTATCAAACCACGTAGTAACAATAAGGAGGCAAATAGAAGTCAGTCTTGTAAAATTGCTTATAGAAAATTAGGAAGGAAATATATATTATATGCATGCATATTAATATAAAGATATATGTCATATGACAATATATATTAATTATATAAAAATATGTATTTGTATACAGAATCTTAAATATTAAGGGTTGACTCTGTTTTGGAAAAATACAAGCAACTTTTACAGTGAATTTTATTTCAAAGTATAGGAGCTATCGAAATGTTTTCACGTTTTTGCCTCTTCTGTTCAGCCTTATCCCCGAGGGTTGTGGAAAATCTCCACGTACTCTGACAATAAGTAAGTGGATGTGTTAACAAGCTACAAGGAACTGCAGTTAGAAAGTTCATGATTTGTTGGCCGGGCACAGTGGCTCATGCCTGTAATCCCAGCACTTCGGTGGGAGGCCGAGGCGGGCAGATCACGAGGTCAGGAGATCGAGAGCATCCTGGCTAATACGGTGAAACCCTGTCTCTACTAAAAATACAAAAAATTACCCAGGCGTGGTGGTGCATGCCTGTAGTCCCAGCTACTCAGGAGGCTGAGGCAGGAGAATTGCTTGAACCCGGGAGGCAGTGGTTGCAGTGAGCCGAGATCGCACCATTGCACTCCAGCCTGGGCAACAGAGCGAGACTCCATCTCAAAAAAAAAAAGGAAAGTTCATGATTTGTTTTCTGGTTCACATTTCTGCTTCTAGCCCCCAGGGTAGTTGGTGGTAATTCTTATGTTTTCATTATAAGTGTTAACACTTGAGCAGTTATGTTTGCATTTGGAGCTCTATCTCTCCCCGTGATAGAAAATAAATGATTTGTAAATTTAATCATAACAGTTGAAATGCCATTGCATCTTAATTTATTCAGAGCGATTTAAACTAAGAACCCCTGGAGTACAAAATGTAAACAGAATCCCAGTTTATGAATTTTCACATTACTCTTCCTAAGGACAGTCACCTCTACTTTGACTTTATCCATGGCATGCAATCTCCTCTTTGATAGAGACCTCTGGGTGGAGACAGAAGGTACGTTCACCCCAGAGTTGGTGAATAAAGTCAGATCCTGAAGGTCGTGAGTTGAAACTCCAAGGAGTAAAGGCATGGGCCTGGGGAGGTAATGGGGACGGGCTCTGGAAAGGCTGGCAACACTGCAAATAGCTTTTCTTCGTGCTAACGTTGGAAGACATTTAATAAGATGGAAAAGGAAAAACGAGCAATTGACATGACTGCATGTATGTCAGCCACAAAAGCTGATACCTTCAAACCTCCCTGCCGCACTGCCTTCCTCCTATGGGATGGATCTCCCTTCTCCATGGCCCCTTCCTTCTACCCTAACCCCAGCCCCCTCCTGCCCTTCCTTGGTTCATTCTACCTTTTACCCTAACAGATGAAAGGCAATCCTTCAAGTCTTGGTAGGGACAAGCTGCCCTTCTAGTCAGATCAAGCTGTTCTGTCTTCTGCTCATTTCATGCACCTCCAAATAGGACCACGGGCAGCTTTTGCATCTGCTGCCCATGACCTGTGCTGGGAGATGAGTGTGCAGTGACTGAAAACCAGCATGTTCAAAATGTGAACGTGACCCAGACGGGTCCCCTCCACCTGTAGCACCTGTCCTCTCTCAGGGTAAGAGACTCGTGCACATAAATCCAAATGTACATGATTGTCATGACTGCAATTAGAGCCAAGTTTTGGGGAGGGATTTTAAATGAAAGAAAAGCATCCTCATTCTCACATATGATGTGCCTACAACTCAGGGCTGCGGGTAAGTGACCAGGCCATGACGTTGCATATCTTCTTCATTTTCAAACATAGACAACTAACTTATGGCACCAATTCTCTTTTTTAAAACATGGCAATTCTTTTGAGTAGTGGAATTAAAATTTGAATTTTAAAAGTTTTCAAGTCAATTGCTCAGCAACCAGCAACCTTACTCTTAGAGGTACCATCTCTAAATACAAACTATTCTGGCAATTTGTCTCAGGAAAAGGGTCAATTTTAAAAATTATTTAAAAGAAAATACAAAAATACAATTATCTCTCTCTTTGTATACATCACACACACATGCACACACACTAAGGAAGAAAACAGCTGCTTATAAAATGCTCTGGCAGTTTTATGTGCTATTCTCTAAATGTACACTTGACTGAAAGAGCAAGAATATAATGAATTATTTTAGAAGGTGTTTTTTATTAGATGCATATTTTCTTTCAAGCAATTTGTAACTTTCACATACATAAGAATATGCAAATACTAAGATGTCAGAATGTCTTTGACTTGGCCCAGAGGGTAGGGTCCTATGCTACTGTTGCACTCTCCACAACTTAAGAGCAAAAGGAAAGACATTTCCCTTCGTTGCTTCCTGCTGACAGCCACAATGCTCACCGTTCATATTCAGAGGCTGAGAAAGTCAGTAGCACCTCTTATTATTCTGACACCTTCATTCCCTGAGTAGTTCTCACCACTTACTATTCCCTCACCTTACCTGTACTATGATGGTTTTAGCCATCCCCCAAATTCAAAACAGTCTCAAGTATGTGCACAATCATATGAGACAGAACAGAAAAAAACCTCTCTCTCTCCCTTTGAAATGAATATACCCAAACACTAAGGGGTATATTCATTTCAAAGGGAGGGAGAGACGATTTTTTCTGTTGCTTCTGGTTTGTCTGGAGAAGGCATCTGGAATAAGTACCTAAGGCGCCCCCCCCACCCCCATTCAGTCTGAAATACGGAGGCTGGTAAATTGTACTTTTGTGGGTTTTAAGGCTCAAGGCAGCTTATTTCCAAATGAATATGTCCCTTCCCCCCTTTGCCTATTGACGGTTAAATGCAGAAAATGATACCTACACTTGTGTGCACTGGGCAGGCAGCATCTTAGTTTTTCAGGCTTCCCTCACCTCTATGGGACCCCTTTGCTCAATGCTTTGCTCAGTGCTATCCCTGAATGAGTAACTAAGAGTTTGATGCTTATTGAATGTGTAGTATGTGCTAAATGCTGCCTGTGGTTGCCTCATAGAATCCTCCCAACAACCCATGAAATGACTACTAGGTAATCAATCCTCACCTAGATCTCATGTGTGAGCTGAAGTATGTTCCTAGACCTCATACCTCGTGTATTCATAAATCTAGTCTCCTCCTGGAGACCCCTCAGTATTTCAGCTGGGATGGGAAGGAAATCTATGAAGTCAGAAGCATTCAGTGAAAGACAGCCTGGAGTCTGGGTGAGACTGTGTTCAAGCTCTGCAAACCAGACCCATCCTTTTACACCAATCCATCTTCTTCTTGACCTAAACCTCCTCCTCCTCCTTCTGTGCTTGATGTCTTTTCAAGGGTTTCTCCAATCTGCTTGAAGACTAGGGATTCTCTCTGACTCCTCTCTGACCCTCACTTCCAACCCAAATCCACCCCAGTTCTGCTGACTCTGCATCCTCATATGCTGCACGAATACCTCCCTCCTTCCCATCCTTACGAATACCTCCCTCCTTCCCATCCTCACGCCTTGAGCTTAGCAGAGGCCATCCTCACCCTGACCTGAGGGCTGTTGGTGGTCTCCTTGCCCTAAATGCTCATCCTTCCTGACCCTCCTTTGGCCACAGAGTAAACCTTCTGCAACACCAACCAGGATCTCCCTGCTCAGCTCATGACTTAGACGGAGCAATGCCGTCAAGGTTCTTCATGATCTAGCCTTGTCCTTCCTCCCCATGTCTTCCCAACCAGCTCTGTCTCCTTCTACAGCCAAGCTTGCCCATGCAGTGCTTGCAGTGAGGCTTCTGTCTTTGCCAGCAATAGATGATCCAACTCAAATTCCTTCTCATTTAAGAAGCTTCCCCAGCTCTCCCAGGCCACAAGTCTCTCGCCTGGTTCTAAGTCAGTGAAACTTATTAACCATACCTTGGAGGGGAAATCACACATGAAAAGTGTCATTTCTTTACTAATCATATTCATGTCTTTTCTCCCCATAGCAAGACAAAGACCTGTTTTAAACACATTTACAACCTATATGTTGCCTTGTACTAGGTAAAAAGTTGTACATTTCTGAAATAATTTTGGTATTTCTGTTCAGATCACTAAACTCAAGAATCAGCAATTCTCTGAGGCTTTCTTTTAAATATACATAAGGAACTTTCGGAGTGAAGGGAGAGTTTGTCAATAACTTGATGCATGTGAAGGGGAGATAAAAAGGTTGCTATTTTTCATCAACATATTTTGATTTGGCTTTCTATAATTGATGGGCTTAAAAGATCTAATCTACTTTAAACAGATGCCAAATAAATGGATGAATCTTAGACCCTCTATAACAGTAACTTCCTTTTAAAAAAGACCTCTCCCACCCCACCCCCAGCCCAGGCTGTGTATGAAAACTAAGCCATGTGCACAACTCTGACTGGGTCACCAGCCCACTTGAGTCCGTGTCACAAGCCCACAGATATTTCCTGCTCCCCAGTGGATCGGGTGTAAACTGAGCTTGCTCGCTCGGGAGCCTCTTGCTGGAAAATAGAACAGCATTTGCAGAAGCGTTTGGCAATGTGCTTTTGGAAGAAGACTAAGAGGTAGTTTCTGAACTTCTCCCCGACAAAGGCATAGATGATGGGGTTGATGCAGCAGTGCGTCATCCCAAGAGTCTCTGTCACCTGCATAGCTTGGTCCAACCTGTTAGAGCTACTGCAATTATTCAGGCCAAAGAATTCCTGGAAGGTGTTCAGGAGAAGGACAATGTTGTAGGGAGCCCAGAAGAGA